>NC_000007.14:62506779-62809809 GCF_000001405.40 Homo sapiens
GAATTCTCAGTAACTTCTTTGTGTTGTGTGTATTCAACTCACAGAGTGGAACGTCCCTTTACACAGAGCAGATTTGAAACACTCTTTTTGTGGAATTTGCAAGTGGAGATTTCAAGCGATTTGATGCCAACAGTAGAAAAGGAAATATCTGCAAATAAAAACAAGACAGAATCATTCTCAGAAAGTGCTTTGTGATGTGTGCGTTCGACTCACAGAGTTTAACCTTTCTTTTCATAGAGGACTTTGGAAACACACTGTTTGTAAAGTCTGCAAGTGGATATATGGACCTGTTTGAGGCCTTCGTTGGAAACGGGATTTTATCATATAATGCTAGACGGAAGAATTCTCAGTAAATTCTTTGTGTTTTGTGCATTCAACTCACAGAGTGGAACGTCCCTTTAGACAGAGCAGATTTGAAACACTCTTTTTGCGGAATTTGCAAGTGGAGATTTCTAGCCATTTGATGCCAACAGTGGAAAGGGAAATATCTTCAAATAAAAACTAGACAGAATCATCCTCAGAAAATTCTTTGTGATGTGTGCGTTCAACTCACATAGTTTAACCTTTCTTTTTATAGAGCAGTTTGGAAACACTTTGTTGGTAACGTCTGCAAGTGGATATATGGAACGCTTTGAGGCTTTCGTTGGAAACGGGATTTCTTCATTTCATGCTAGACAGAAGAATTCTCAGTAACTTCTTTGTGTTGTGTGTATTCAACTCACAGACTGGAACGTCGCTTTACACAGAGCAGATTTGAAACACTCTTTTTGTGGAATTTGCAAGTGGAGATTTCAAGCGATTTGATGCCAACAGTAGAAAAGGAAATATCTGCAAATAAAAACAAGACAGAATCATTCTCAGAAAGTGCTTTGTGATGTGTGCGTTCAACTCACAGAGTTTAACCTTTCTTTTCATAGAGGAGTTTGGAAACACACTGTTTGTAAAGTCTGCAAGTGGATATATGGACCTGTTTGAGACCTTCGGTGGAAACGGGATTTTAACATATAATGCTAGACGGAAGAATTCTCAGTAAATTCTATGTGTTGTGTGCTTTCAACTCACATAGTTTAACCTTTCTTTTCATAGAGCAGTTTGGAAACACTCTGTTGGTAATGTCTGCAAGTGGATATATGGACCGCTTGGAGGCTTTCGTTGGAAACGGGATTTCTTCATTTCATGCTAGACAGAAGAATTCTCAGTAACTTCTTTGTGTTGTGTGTATTCAACTCACAGACTGGAACGTCCCTTTACACAGAGCAGATTTGAAACACTCTTTTTGTGGAACTTGCAAGTGGAGATTTCAAGCGATTTGATGCCAACAGTAGAAAAGGAAATATCTGTAAATAAAAACAAGACAGAATCATTCTCAGAAAGTGCTTTGTGATGTGTGCGTTCAACTCACAGAGTTTATCCTTTCTTTTCATAGAGGAGTTTGGAAACACACTGTTTGTAAAGTCTGCAATTGGATATATGGACCTGTTTGAGGCCTTCGTTGGAAACGGGATTTTATCATATAATGCTAGACGGAAGAATTCTCAGTAAATTCTTTGTGTTGTGTGCATTCAACTCACAGAGTGGAACGTCCCTTTAGACAGAGCAGATTTGAAACACTGTTTTTGCGGAATTTGCAAGTGGAGATTTCTAGCCATTTGATGCCAACAGTAGAAAGGGAAATATCTTCAAATAAAAACCAGACAGAATCATTCTCAGAAAATTCTTTGTGATGTGTGCGTTCAACTCACATAGTTTAACCTTTCTTTTCATAGAGCAGTTTGGAAACACTCTGTTTGTAAAGTCTGCAAGTGGATATATGGACCGCATTGAGGCCTTCGTTGGAAACGGGATTTCTTCATTTCATGCTAGACAGAAGAATTCTCAGTAACTTCTTTGTGCTGTGTGTATTCAACTCACAGAGTGGAACGTCCCTTTACACAGAGCAGATTTGAAACACTCTTTTTGTGGAATTTGCAAGTGGAGATTTCAAGCGATTTGATGCCAACAGTAGAAAAGGAAATATCTTCAAATAAAAACTAGACAGAATCATTCTCAGAAACTACTTTGTGATGTGTGCCTTCAACTCACAGAGTTTAACCTTTCTTTTCTTAGAGCAGTTTAGAAACACTCTGCTTGTTATGTCTGCAAGTGGATATTTGGACCTCTTTGAGGGCTTCGTTGCAAACGGGGTTTCTTCCTTTCATGCTAGACTAAGAAGAGTTCTCAGGAACTTTTTTGTGTTGTGTGTATTCAACTCACAGAGTTGAACCTTGCTTTAGAGAGAGCAGATTTGAAACACTCTTGCTGTGGCATTTTCAGGTGGAGATTTCAAGCGATTTGAGGACAATTGCAGAAAAGGAAATATCTTCGTATAATAACCAGACAGAATCATTCTCAGAAAGTGCTTTGTGATGTGTGCGTTCAACTCACAGAGTTTAACCTTTCTTTTCATAGAGGAGTTTGGAAACACACTGTTTGTAAAGTCTGCAAGTGGAAATATGGACCTGTTTGAGGCCTTCGTTGGAAACGGGATTTCTTCATTGAATGCTAGACGGAAGAATTCTCAGCAAATTCTTTGTGTTGTGTGCATTCAACTCCCAGAGTGGAACGTCCATTTAGACAGAGCAGATTTGAAACACTCATTTTGCGGAATTTGCAAGTGGAGATTGCTAGCCATTTGATGCCAACAGTAGAAAGGGAAATATCTTCAAATAAAAACTAGACAGAATCATCCTCAGAAAATTCTTTGTGATGTGTGCGTTCAACTCACATAGTTTAACCTTTCTTTTCATAGAGCAGTTTGGAAACTCTCTGTTGGTAATGTGTGCATGTGGATATATGGACCGCTTTGAGGCCTTCGTTGGAAACGGGATTTCTTCATTTCATGCTAGACACAAGAATTCTCAGTAACTTCTTTGTGTTGTGTGTATTAAACTCACAAACTGGAACGTCCCTTTACACAGAGCAGATTTGAAACACTCTTTTTGTGGAATTTGCAAGTGGAGATTTCAAGCGATTTGTTGCCAACAATAGAAAAGGAAATATCTGCAAATAAAAACTAGACAGAATCATTCTCAGAAAGTGCTTTGTGATGTGTGCGTTCAACTCACAGAGTTTAACCTTTCTTTTCATAGAGGAGTTTGGAAACACACTGTTTGTAAAGTCTGCAATTGGATATATGGACCTGTTTGAGGCCTTCGTTGGAAACGGGATTTCTTCATTGAATGCTAGACGGAAGAATTCTCAGTAAATTCTTTGTGTTGTGTGCATTCAACTCACAGAGTGGAACGTCCCTTTAGACAGAGCAGATTTGAAACACTCTTTTTGCGGAATTTCCAAGTGGAGATTTCTAGCCATTTGATGCCAACAGTAGAAAGGGAAATATCTTCAAATAAAAACCAGACAGAATCATTCTCAGAAAATTCTTTGTGATGTGTGCGTTCAACTCACATAGTTTACCTTTCTTTTCATAGAGCAGTTTAGAAACACACTGTAAAATCTGCAAGTGGATATATGGACAGTTTTGAGGCATTCGTTGGAAACGGGATTTCTTCATTTAATGCTAGACAGAAGAATTCTCATTAACTTCTTTGTGTTGTGTGTATTCAACTGACAGAGTGGAACGTCCCTTTAGACAGAGCAGATTTGAAACACTCTTTTTGTGGAATTTGCAAGTGGACATTTCAATCGATTTGATGCCAGCAGTAGAAAAGGAAATATCTTCAAATAAAAACTAGACAGAATCATTCTCAGAAACTACTTTGTGATGTGTGCCTTCAACTCACAGAGTTTAACCGTTCTTTTCTTAGAGCAGTTTAGAAACTCTCTGCTTCTTATGTCTGCAAGTGGATATTTGGAACTCTTTGAGGCCTTCGTTGCAAACCGGATTTCTTCATTTAATGCTAGACTAATTAGAGTTCTCAGTAACTTTTTTGTGTTGTGTGTATTCAACTCACAGAGTTGAACCTTGCTTTAGAGAGAGCAGATTTGAGACACTCTTGCTGTGGAATTTTCAGGTGGAGATTTCAAGCGATTTGAGGACAATTGCAGAAAAGGAAATATCTTCGTATAAAAACCAGACAGAATCATTCTCAGAAAGTGCTTTGTGATGTGTGCGTTCAACTCACGGAGTTTAACCTTTCTTTTCATAGAGCAGTTTGGAAACACACTGTTTGTAAAATCTACGAGTGGATATTTGGACCTCTTTGAGGCCTTCATTGGAAATGGGATTTTTTCATATAATGCTAGACGGAAGAATTCTCAGTGAATACTTTGTGTTGTGTGGATTCAACTCACAGAGTGGAACGTCCCTTTAGACACAGGAGATTTGAAACACTGTTTTTGTGGAATTTGCAAGTGGAGATTTCAAGCAATTTGATGCCAACAGTAGAAAGGGAATTATCTTCAAATAAAAACTAGACAGAATAATTCTCAGAAAATTCTTTGTGATGTGTTCGTTCAACTCCCATAGTTTAACATTTCTTTTCATACAGCAGTTTGGAAACACTCTGTTTGTAAAGTCTGCAAGTAGATATATGGACCGTTTTGCGGCCTTCTTTGGAAACGTGATTTCTTCATTTAATGCTAGACAGAAGAATTCTCAGTAACTTCTTTGTGTTGTGTGTATTCAACTCACAGGGTGGAACGTCCCTTTACACAGAGCAGATTTGAAACACTCTTTTTGTGGAATTCGCAGGTGGAGATTTCAAGCGATTTGATGCCAGCAGTAGAAAAGGAAATATCTTCAAATAAAAACTAGACAGAATCATTCTCAGAAACTACTTTGTGATGTGTGCCTTCAATGCAGAGAGTTTAACCGTTCTTTTCTCAGAGCAGTTTAGAAACACTCTGCTTGTGATGTCTGCAAGTGGATATTTGGACCTCTTTGAGGCCTTCGTTGCAAACCGGATTTTTTCATTTAATGCTAGACAGAAGAGTTCTCAGTAACTTATTTGTGTTGTGTGTATTCAACTCACAGAATTGAACCTTGCTTTAGAGAGAGCAGATTTGAATCACTCTTGCTGTGGAACTTTCAGGTGGAGATTTCAAGCGATTTGAGGACAATTGCAGAAAAGGAAATATCTTCGTATAAAAACCAGACAGAATCATACTCAGAAAGTGCTTTGTGATGTGTGCGTTCAACTCACAGAGTTTAACCTTTCTACTCATAGAGCAGTTTGGAAACACATTCTTTGTAAATTCTGCAAGTGGATATTTGGACCTCTTTGAGGCCTTCGTTGGAAAAGGCATTTTTTCATATAATGCTAGACGGAAGAATTCTCAGTAAATTCTTTGTGTTGTGTGCATTCAACTCACAGAGTGGAACGTCCCTTTAGACAGAGCACATTTGAAACACACTTTTTGTGGAATTTGTAGGTGGAGGTTTCAAGCGATTTCATGCCAACAGTAGAAAAGGAAATATCTTCATGAAAAACTAGACAGAATCATTCTCAGAAAATTCTTTGTGATGTGTGCGTTCAACTCACATAGTTTAACCTTTCTTTTCATAGAGCAGCTTGGAAACACTCTGTTTGTAAAGTTTGCAAGTGGGTATATGGACCGCTTTGAGGTCTTCGTTGGAAACGGGATTTCTTCATTTCATGCTAGACAGAAGAATTCTCAGTAACTACTTTGTGTTGTGTGTATTCAAGTCACAGCGTGGAAAGTCCCTTTAGACAGAGCAGATTTGAAACACTCTTTTTGTGGAATTTGAAGTGGAGATTTTAAGCGATTTGATGCCAACAGTAGAACAGGAAATATCTTCAAATAAAAACTAGACAGAATCATTCTCAGAAACTCCTTTGTGATGTGTGCCTTCATCTCACAGAGTTTAACCTTTCTTTTCTTAGAGCAGTTTAGAAACACTCTGCTTGTAATGTCTGCAAGTGGATATTTGGACCTCTTTGAGGCCTTCGTTGCAAACGGGATTTCTTCATTTGATGCTAGAGAGAGGAGTTCTCAGTAACTTATTTGTGTCGTGTGTATTCAACTCACAGAGTTGAACCTTGCTTTAGAGAGAGCAGATTTGAAACACTCTTGCTGTGGAATTTTCAGGTGGAGATTTCAAGTGATTTGAGGACAATTGCACGAAAGGAAATATCTTCGTAGAAAAACAAGACAGAATCATAATCAGAAACTGCTTTGTGATGTGTGCTTTCAACTCACAGTGTTTAACCTTTCTTTTCATAGAGCTATTCGGAAACACTCTATTTGTAATGTCTACAAGAGTATATTTGCACTTCTTACAGGTCTTCGTTGGAAACGGTTTTTCTTCATTCAGTGCTAGACAGAAGAATTCTCAGTAACTTCTTTGTGTTATGTGGATTCAACTCACAGAGTTCAACCTTCGTTTTGACAGAGCAGATTTGAAACACTCTTTTTGTGGAATTTGAAATTGGAGAATTCAAGCGATTTGTTGCCAACAGTAGAAAAGGAAATATCTTCGAATAAAAACTAGACAGAATTATCCTCAGAAACTAGTTTGTGATGTGTGCGTTCAACTTACATTGTTTAACCTTTCTTTTATAGAGCAGTTTGGAAACACTCTGTTTGTAATGTCCGCAAGAGGATATTTGGACCTCTTGGAGGATTTCGTTGGAAACGGGATTGCTTCATATAATGCAAGACGGAAGAATTTTCAGTTACTTGTTTGTGTTGTGTGTATTCAACTCACAGAGTGGAACGTCCCTTAAAACAGAGCAGATTTGAAACACTCTTTTTGCGGAATTGGCTAGTGGAGATTTCAAGCGATTTGGTGCCAACGGTAGAAAACGAAATATCTTCAAATAAAAACTAGACAGAATAATTAACAGAAACCACTTTGTGATGTGTGCATTCAACTCACAGAGTTTAACCTTTCTTTTCATAGAGCAGTTTGGAAACACACTGTTTGTAAAGTCTGCAAGTGGATATTTGTACCTCTTTGAGACCTTCCCTGGAAACGGGATTTTTTCATATAATGCTACACGGAAGGATTCTCAGTAAATTCTTTGTGTTGTGTGCATTCAACTGACAGAGTGGAACGTCCCTTTAGACAGAGCAGATTTGAAACACTCTTTTTGCGGAATTTGCAAGTGGAGATTTCAAGCGATTTTATTCCAACAGTAGAAAGGGAAATATCTTCAAATAAAAACTAGACAGAATTATTCTCAGAAACTACTTTGTGATGTGTGCGTTCAACTCACATTGTTTAACCTTTCTTTTCATAGAGCAGTTTGGAAACACTCTGTTTGTAATGTCCGCAAGAGGATATTTGGACCTCTTGGAGGATTTCGTTGGAAACGGGATTGCTTCATATAATGCAAGACGGAAGAATTTTCAGTTACTTGTTTGTGTTGTGTGTATTCAACTCACAGAGTGGAACGTCCCTTAAAACAGAGCAGATTTGAAACACTCTTTTTGCGGAATTGGCTAGTGGAGATTTCAAGCGATTTGGTGCCAATGGTAGAAAACGAAATATCTTCAAATAAAAACTAGACAGAATAATTAACAGAAACCACTTTGTGATGTGTGCATTCAACTCACAGAGTTTAACCTTTCTTTTCATAGAGCAGTTTGGAAACACACTGTTTGTAAAGTCTGCAAGTGGATATTTGTACCTCTTTGAGACCTTCCCTGGAAACGGGATTTTTTCATATAATGCTACACGGAAGGATTCTCAGTAAATTCTTTGTGTTGTGTGCATTCAACTGACAGAGTGGAACGTCCCTTTAGACAGAGCAGATTTGAAACACTCTTTTTGCGGAATTTGCAAGTGGAGACTTCAAGCGATTTTATTCCAACAGTAGAAAGGGAAATATCTTCAAATAAAAACTAGACAGAATTATTCTCAGAAACTACTTTGTGATGTGTGCGTTCAACTCACATTGTTTAACCTTTCTTTTCATAGAGCAGTTTGGAAACACTCTGTTTGTAATGTCTGCAAGTGGATATTTGGACCTCTTGGAGGATATCGTTGGAAACGGGATTGCTTCATATAATGCAAGACGGAAGAATTTTCAGTTGCTTGTTTGTGTTGTGTGTATTCAACTCACAGAGTGGAACGTCCCTTAAAGCAGAGCAGATTTGAAACACTCTTTTTGTGGAATTGGCTAGTGGAGATTTCAAGCGATTTGTTGCTAACGGTGGAAAACGAAATATCTGGAAATAATAACTAGACAGAGTAATTAACAGAAACCACTTTGTGAGGTATGCATTCAACTCACAGAGTTTAACTTTTCTTAGAGCAGTTTAGAAACACTCTGCTTGTAATGTCTGCAAGTGGATATTTGGACCTCTTTGAGGCCTTCGTTGCAAACGGGATTTCTTTATTTAATGCTAGACAGAAGAGTTCTCAGTAACTTATTTGTGTTGTGTGTATTCAACTCACAGAATTGAACCTTGCTTTAGAGAGAGCAGATTTGAAACACTCTTGCTGTGGAATTTTCAGTTGGAGATTTCAAGGGATTTGAGGACAATTGCAGAAAAGGAAATATCTTCGTATGAAAACCAGACAGAATCATACTCAGAAAGTGCTTTGTGATGTGTGCGTTCAACTCACAGAGTTTAACCTTTCTACTCATAGAGCAGTTTGGAAACACACTCTTTGTAAATCCTGCAAGTGGATATTTGCACTTCTTACAGGTATTCGTTGGAAACGGGATTTCTTCATTGAGTTCTAGACAGAAGAATTCTCAGTAACTTCTTTTTGTTATGTGGATTCAACTCACAGAGTTGAACCTTCGTTTTGACAGAGCAGATTTGAAACACTCTTGCTGTGGAATTTTGAGGTGGAGATTTCAAGCGATTTGAGGACAATTCCGGAAAAGGAAATATCTTCGTATAAAAACCAGACAGAATCATACTCAGAAAGTGCTTTGTGATGTGTGCGTTCAACTCACGGAGTTTAACCTTTCTTTTTATAGAGCAGTTTGGAAATACTCTGTTTGTAAAGTCTGCAAGTGGATACTTGGACCTTTTTGAGGCCTTCGTTGGAAACGGGATTTTGTCATATAATGCTAGACGGAAGAATTCTCAGTAAATTCTTTGTGTTGTGTGCATTGAACTCACAGAGTGGAACGTCCCTTTAGACTGAGCAGATTTGAAACACTCTTTTTGTGGAATTTGCAAGTGGAGATTTCAAGCGATTTGATGCCAACAGTAGAAAAGGAAATATCTTCAAATAAAAACTAGACAGAATCATTCTCAGAAAATTCTTTGTGATGTGTGCATTCAACTCACATCCTTTAACCTTTCTTTTCATAAAGCAGTTTGGAAACACTCTGTTTGTAAATTCTGCAAGTGGATATATGGACCGCTTTGAGGCCTTCTTTGGAAAAGGGATTTCTTCATTTAATGCTAGACAGAAGAATTCTCATTAACTTCTTTCTGTTGTGTGTATTCAACTCACAGAGTGAAACGTCCCTTTAGACAGAGCAGATTTGAAACACTCTTTTTGTGGAATTTGCAAGTGGATTTTTCAAGCAATTTGATGCCAACAGTAGAAAAGGAAATATCTTCAAATAAAAACTAGACAGAATCATTCTCAGAAACTACTTTGTGATGTGTGCCTTCAACTCACAGAGCTTAACCTTTCTTTTCTCAGAGCAGTTTAGAAACATTCTGCTTGAAATGTCTGCAAGTGGATATTTGGACCTCTTTGAGGCCTTCGTTGCAAACGGTATTTCTTCATTTATGCTAGACAGAAGAGTTCTTAGTAACTTGTTTGTGTTGTGTGTATTCAGCTCACAGAGTTGAACCTTGCTTTACAGACAGCAGATTTCAGACTCTCTTGCTGTGGAATTTTCAGGTGGATATTTCAAGCGATTTGAGGGCAATTGCAGAAAAGGAAATATCTTAGTGTAAAAACCAGACAGAATCATTCTCAGAAAGTGCTTTGTGATGTGTGCGTTCAACTCACAGAGTTTAACCTTTCTTTTGAGAGAGGAGTTTTGAAACACTCTGTTTGTAATATCTGCAAGTGGATATTTGAACCTCTTTGAATCCTTCGTTGGAAACGGGATTTCTTCATGTAAATCTAGACAGAAGAATTCTGAGAAACTTCTTTCTGATGTTTTCATTCAACTCACAGGGTTGAACATTCCCTTCGATAGAGCAGTTTTGAAACACTCTTTTTGTAGAATTTCCAAGGGCATATTTAGAGTGCTTTCAGGCCTGTGGTAGAAAACAAAATATCTTCATATAAAACCTATATAAGATCATTCTCAGAAACCTCTTTGTGATATGTGGGTTCAAGTCACAGAGTTTGACCTTTCTTTTGACAGAGCAATTTTGTAACACTCTTTTTGAAGAATATGCAAGTGGATATTTTAAGCGCTTTGAGTCCAATAGTTGAAAAGGAAATATCTTCATATAAAAACTAGGCAGTATCATTCTCAGAAACTACTTTGTGATGTATGCGTTGGCCTCACCGAGTTTAACCTTTCTTTTGATAGAGCAGTTTTGGAACACTCTGTTTGTAACGGCTGCAAGTGAATATTTGGAACTATTGAGGCCTTCGTTGGAAACGGGATTTCTTCATATAAAGCTAGACATAAGAATTCTCAGAAACTCCTTTGTGATGTGGGTATTCAACTCACAGAGTTGAACATTCCTTTTGATATATCAGTTTTAAAACACTCTTTTTGTAGAATATGCAAGTTGATATTTAAAGCGCTTTGAAGCCTATAGTAGAAAAGGAAATATCTTAATACAAAACTAGACGGAACCATTATCAGACACTACTTTGTGATGTTTGGGTTCAAATCACAGAGTTTAACTTTTCTTTTTATAGAGCAGTTTTGAAACACTTTGTGAATTCTGCAGGTGGATATTAGGACCTCTTTGAGGCCTTCGTTGGAAGCGGGACTTCTTCATATAAAACTAGACAGAAGAATTCTCAGAAACTTCTTTGGAATGTGTGCATTCAACCCACAGAGATGAACCTTCCTTTGGATAGAACAGTTTGGAAACACTCTTTTTGTAGAATTTCCAAGAGCATATTTAGAGTGCTTTGAAGCCTTTGGTAGAAAACGAAATATCTGCATACAAAAACTAGACACAATCAATCTGAGAAACCACTCTGTGATGTGTGCATTCAGCACACAGAGTTTAACCTTTCCTTTGATAGAGCAGTTTGGAAACGCTCTTTTTGTAGAATTTGGAAGTGTGTATTTAGAGGGCTTTGGGGCCTATGGTAGAGAAGAAAATATCTTCACATGAAATCTAGACAGAAGCATTCTCAGAAACTTCTTTGTGGCGTTTGCATTCAAGTCACAGAGTTCAACATTCCTTTTGATAGAGCAGTTTTGAAACACTCTTTTTGTAGAATCTGCAAGTGGATATTTGGACCTCTTTGTGCCCTTCGTTGGAAACGGGATTAGTTCATACAAAACTAGACAGAAGAATTCTCAGAAACTCCTTTGTGATGTGTGCATTCAGCTCACAGAGTTGAAATTTCCTTTTGACAGAGCAGTTTTGAAACACTCTTTTTGTAGGATTTGCAAGTGGATATTTCAAGTGCTTTGAGGCCTATGGTAGAAAAGGATATATCTTCATATAAAAACTGGACAGAATCATTCTCAGAAACTACTTTGTGATGAGTGCATTGGCCTCACAGAGTTTAAGCTTTCTTTTGATAGAGCAGTTTTGAAAAACTCTGTATGTCATGTCTGCAAGTGGATATTTTGACCTCTTTAAGGCCTTCGTTGGAAATGGGATTTCTTCATTTAACTCTAGACAGAAGAGTTCTGAGAAACTCCTTTGTGATTTGGGCATTCATCTCACAGTGTTGAACCTTCCTTTTGATAGAGCAGTTCTGAAACACTCTTTTTGTAGAATTTCCAAGGGCATATTTAGAGTGTTTTGAAGCCTATGTTAGAAAAAGAAATATCTTCATATAAAAACTAGACACAATCATTCACAGAAAACTCTTTGTGATGTGTGGGTTCAACTCACAGAGTTTAACGTTTCTTGTGACCGAGCAGTTTTGTAACAGTCTTTTTGTAGAATATGCAAGTGGATATTTAAAGCGCTTTGAGGCCTCAGTAGAAAAAGAAATATCTTCATATAAAAACTAGGCAAAATCGTTCTCAGAAACTACTTGTGATGTGGGCATTCAACTCACAGAGTTTAACCTTTCTTTTGATAGAGCAGTTTTGAAACACTCTGTTTGTAAAGTCTGCAAGTGGATATTTGGACCTCTTTGAGGCCTTCGTTGGAAACGGGATTTCTTCATATAAAACTAGAAGGAAGAATTCTCAGAAACTACTTTGTGATGTGTGTATTCAACTCACAGAGTTGAACATTCCTTTCGATAGGTCAGTTTTGAAACACTCTCTTTGTAGAATATGCAAGTTGATATTTAAAGCACTTTGAGGCCTATAGGAGAAATGGAAATATCTTCATATAAAAACTAGACAGACCCATTCTCAGAAACTACTTTGTGATGTGTGCGTTCAACTCACAGAGATTAACTTTTCTTTTTATAGAGCAGTTTTGAAACACTCTGTTTGTTAATTCTGCAAGTGGATATTAGGACCTCTTTGAGGTCTTCTTTGGTAATGGGACTTCTTCATATAAAAGTAGACAGAAGAATTCTGAGAAACGTCTTTGGGATGTGTGCATTCAACTCGCAGAGTTGAACATTCTTTTCGATAGAACAGTTTGGAAACACCCTTTTGTAGAATTTCCAAGAGCATATTTAGAGTGTTTTGAAGACTTTGGTAGAAAACGAAATATCTTCATATAAAAACTAGACACAATCATTCTCAGAAACAAGTTTGTGATGTGTGCGTTCAATACACAGAGTTTTATCTTTCCTTATATAGAGCAGTTTGGAAACGCTCTTTTTGTAGAATTTGGAAGTGTGTATTTAGAGGGCTTTGGGGCCTATGGTAGAAAAGGAAATATCTTCACATGAAATCTAGACAGAAGCATTCTCAGAAACTTCTTTGTGGCGTTTGCATTCAAGTCACAGAGTTCAACATTCCTTTTGATAGAGCAGTTTTGAAACACTCTTTTTGTAGAATCTGCAAGTGGATATTTGGACCTCTTTGAGCCCTTCGTTGGAAACGGGATTTCTTCATTCAAAACTAGACAGAAGAATTCTCAGAAACTCCTTTGTGATGTGTGCATTCAGCCCACAGAGTTGAAAGTTCCTTTTGACAGAGCAGTTTTGAAACACTCTTTTTGTAGGATTTGCAAGTGAATATTTCAAGCGCTTTGAGGTTTATTGTAGAAAAGGAAATATCTTCGTATAAAAACTAGACAGAATCATTCTCAGAATCTACATTGTGATGTGTGCGTTTTCCTCACAGAGTTTAAGCTTTCTTTTGATAGAGCAGTTTTGAACCACTCTTTTTGTAGAATCTGCAAGTGGATATTTAGACCTCTTTGAGGCCTTCGTTGGAAACGGGATTTCTTCATATAAAACTAGACAGAAGAATTCTCAGAAACTCCTTTGTGATGTGTGCATTCAGCTCAGAGAGTTGAAACTTCCTTTTGTCAGAGCAGTTTTGAACCAGTCTTTTTGTAGGATTTGCAAGTGGATAGTTAAAGCGCTTTGAGGCCTATGGTCGAAAAAGATAAATCTTCCCATAAAAACTAGACGGAATCATTATCAGAAACTACTTTGTGATGTGTGCTTTGAATTCACAGAGTTTAAACTTTCTTTTGATAGAGCAGTTTGGAAACACTCTGTTTTTAATGTTTGCAAGTGGATATTTTGACCTCTTTAAGGCCTTCGTTGGAAACGGGCTTTCTTCATATAAATCTAGACAGAAGAATTCACAGAAACTTCTTTGTGATGTGAGCATTCAACTCACAGAGTTGAACCTTCCTTTCGATAGCTCAGTTTTGAAACACTCTTTTTGGAGAATTTCCAAGGACATATTTGGAGTGCTTTTAGGCCTATGGTAGAAAACGAAATATCTTCATTTAAAAACTAGGCAGAATCATTCTCAGAAACTACTTTATGATGTGTGCATTCAACTCGCAGAGTTTAACCTTTCTTTTGATAGAGCAGTTTTGAAACACTCTGTGTGTAATGTCTGCAAGGGGATATTTGGACCTCTTTGAGGCCTTAGTTGGAAACGGGATTTCTTCATATAAAACTAAACAGAAGAATTCTGAGAAACTTCTTTGTGATGAGTACGTTCAACTCACAGTGTTGAACCTTCCTTTTGATAGAGCAGTTTTGAATCACTCTTTTTGTAGAATTTCCAAGTGCATATTTAGAATGCTTTGAAGCCTATAGTAGAAAACCAAATATCTTCATATAAAAACTAGACAGAATCATTCTCAGAAACCAGTTTGTGTTGTGGGCATTCAACTCTCAGAGTTTAACCTTTCTTTTAATAGAGCAGTTTTGAAACACTCGTTTTCTAGAATATGCAAGTGGATATTTAAAGCGCTTTGAGGCCTACAGTAGAAAAGGAAATACCTTCATATACAAACTAGGCAGAATGATTCTCAGAAACTAATTTGTGATATGTGCGTTCAGCTCACAGAGTTTAACCTTTCTTTTGACAGAAGAGTTTTGAAACACTCTTTTTGTAGAATTTGCAAGTGTGTATTTAGAGGGCTTTGTGGCCTATGGTAGCAAAGGAAATATCTTCACTTAAAAACTAGACAGAAGCATTCTCAGAAACTTCTTTGTGATGTTTGGATTCATGTCGCAGGTTTCAACATTCCTTTTGATAGAGCAGTTTTGAAACACTCTTTTGGTAGAATCTGCAAGTGGATATTTGGACCTCTTTGAAGCCTTCATTGGAAATGGGAGTTCTACATATAAAACTAGACAGAAGAATTCTCAGAAACTTCTTTGTGATGTGTGCATTCATCTCACAGTGTTGAAACTTCCTTTCAATAGAGCAGTTTTGAAACACTCTTTTTGTGGGATTTGCAAGTGGATATTTAAAGCGCTTTGAGTCCTATGGTAGAAAAGTGTATATCTTCTTATAAAAACTAGACAGAATCCTTCTCAGAAACTAGTTTGTGATGTGTGCGTTCACCTCACAGAGTTTAACCTTTCTTTTGATAGAGCAGTTTTGAAACACTCTGTTTGTAATGTCTGCAAGGGGATATTTAGACCTCTTTGAAGCCTTCATTGGAAACGGGATTTCTTCATGTAAATCTACACAGAATAATTCTGAGAAACTTCTTTCTGATGTGTTCATTCAACTCACAGGGTTGAACATTCCCTTCAATAGAGCAGTTTTGAAACACTCTTTTTGTAGAATTTCCAAGGGCATATTTAGAGTGCTTTCAGACCTGTGGTAGAAAACGAAATATCTTCATATAAAAACTACACAGGATCATTCTCAGAAACCTCTTTGTGATATGTGGGTTGGAGTCACAGAGTTTAACCTTTCTTTTGACAGAGCAGTTTTGAAACACTCTTTTTGTAGTATATGCAAGTGGACATTTTAAGCGCTTTGAGGCCTATAGTTGAAAAGGAAATATCTTCATATAAAAACTAGGCAGTATCATTCTCAGAAACTACTTTGTGATGTATGCGTTGGCCTCACAGAGTTTAACCTTTCTTTTGATAGAGCAGTTTTGAAACACTCTGTTTGTAAAGTCTGCAAGTGGATAGTTGGATCTCTTTGAGGCCTTCGTTGGAAACGGGATTTCTTCATATAAAGCTAGACTGAAGAATTCTGAGAAACTCCTTTGTGATGTGGGTATTCAACTCACAGAGTTGAACATTCCTTTCGATAGACCAGTTTTAAAACACTCTTTTTGTAGAATATGCCTGTCGATATTTAAAGCACTTTGAGGCCTATGTTCAAAAAGAATAAATCTTCGTATAAATACTAGACAGAATCATTCTCAGAAACTACTTTGTGATGTGTGCGTTCAATTCACAGAGTTTACGCTTTCTTTTGATGGAGCAGTTTTGAAACACTCTGTTTGTTGATTCTGCAAGTGGATATTTTGACCTCTTCAAGGCCTTCGTTGGAAACGGGCATTTTTTGTATAAACCTAGACAGAAGAATTCTCAGAAATTTCTTTGTGATGTGAACATTCAACTCACAGAGTTGCACCTTCCTCTCGATAGAACAGTTTTGAAACACTCTTTTTGTAGAATTTCCAAGAGCATATTTAGAGTGCTTTGAAGCCTTTGGTAGAAAACGAAGTATCTTCATATAAAATCTATACAGAATCATTCTAAGAAAGCACTTTGTGATGTGTGCATTCAGCACACAGAGTTTAACATTTCC
The DNA here is from genome assembly GCF_000001405.40 of Homo sapiens. Lineage (NCBI taxonomy): Eukaryota > Metazoa > Chordata > Mammalia > Primates > Hominidae > Homo > Homo sapiens. The sequence continues at coordinate 62,522,976 of NC_000007.14, forward strand.
TTTGATAGAGCAGTTTTGTGACGCTCTTTTTGCAGAGTTTGGAAGTGTGTATTTAGAGGGCTTTGGGGCCTTTGGTAGAAAAGGAAATATCTTCACATGAAATCTAGACAAAAGCATTCTCAGAAACTTCTTTGTGGCGTTTGCATTCAAGTCACAGAGTTCAACATTCCTTTTGATAGAGCAGTTTTGCAACACTCTTTTTGTAGAATCTGCAAGTGGATATTTGGACTTCTTTGAGCCCTTCGTTGGAAACGGGATTTCCTCATACAAAAACAGACAGAAGAATTCTCAGAAACTCCTGTGTGATGTGTGTATTCAGCTCACAGAGTTGAAAGTTCCTTTTGACAGAGCAGTTTTGAAACACTCTTTTTGTTGGATTTGCAAGTGGATATTTCAAGTGCTTTGAGGCCTATGGTAGAAAAGGATATATCTTTGTATAAAAACTAGACATAATCATTCTCAGAAACTACTGTGTGATGTGTGCGTTGGCCTCACAGAGTTTAAGCTTTCTTATGATAGAGCAGTTTTGAAACACTCTGTTTGTCATGTCTGCAAGTGGATATTTTGACCTCTTTAAGACCTTCGCTGGAAACGGGATTTCTTCATTTAACTCTAGGCAGAAGAGTTCTGAGAAACTCCTTTGTGATGTGTGCATTCATCCCACAGAGCTGAACCTTCCTTTCAATAGAGCAGTTTTGAAACACTCTTTTTGTAGAATTTCCAAGGGCATATTTATAGTGTTTGGAAGCCTATTGTAGAAAATGAAATATCTTCATATAAAAACTAGACACAATCATTCTCAGAAACCTCTTTGTGATGTGTGGGTTCTACTCACAGAGTTTAACGTTTCTTGTGACTGAGCATTTTTGAAACAGTCTTTGTGTAGAATATGCGAGTGATATCTAAAGCGCTTAGAGGCCTCTAGTAGAAAAAGGAATATCTTCATATAAAACTAGGCACAATCGTTCTCAGAAACTGCTTGTTATGTGGGTATTCAACTCAGAGTTTAACATTTCTTTTGATAGAGCAGTTTTGAAACACTCAGTTTGTATAGTGTGCTAGTGGATATTTGGACCTCTAAGAGTCCTTCATTGGAAACGGGATTTCTTCATATAAATCTAGACAGAAGAATTATGAGAAACTTCTTTGTGATGTGTGCATTCAACTCACAGAGTTGAACCTTCCTTTCAATAGAGCAGTTTTGAAACACTTTTTTTGTAGAATTTCCAAGTGCATATTTAGAGTGGTTTGAAGCCTATGGTAGAAAATGAAATATATTCATATAAAAACTTGACAGAATAATTCTCAGAAACCACTTTGTGATGTGTGGGTTCAACTCACAGAGTTTATCCTTTCTTTTGACAGAGCAGTGTTGAAAAACTCTTTTTGTAGTATATGCAAGTGGAAATTTAAAGCGCTTTGAGGCCTACAGTAGAAAAGGAAATATCTTCATATAAAAACTGGGCAGAAATATTCTCAGAAACTACTTTGTGATGTGTGCATTCAACTCACAGTGTTTAACCTCTCTTTTGATACAGCAGTTTTGTTACACTCTGTTTGTGAAGACTGCAAGTAGATATTTGGACCTCTTTGAGGCCTTCGTTGGAAACGGGAATATCTTAGCATACAAACTGGATAGAAGAATTCTCAGAATCTTTTTGCAATGGGTATATTCAACTCACAGAGTTGAGCCTTCCTTTTGATAGAGCGCTTTTGAAACACTCTGCTTATGGAATTTCCAAGTGGAGAATTAGTGCGCTTTGAACCCTATGATACAAAAGGAAATATCTTCACATAAAAACTGGACAGAATCATTCTTAGAAACTACTTTATGATGTGTACGTTCAACTCACAGGGTTTAACCTGTCTTCTGATAGAGCAGTTCTGAAACACTTTTGTGTAGAATTTACAAGTGTGTATTTGGAGGCCTTTGGGGCCTATGGTAGAAAAGGAAATATCTTCATATAAAAGCTAGACAGAAGCATTCTCAGAAACTTCTTTGTGATATTTGCGTTCAACTCACAGAGTTGAACATTTCCCTTGATAGAGCAGATTTGAAACACTCTTTTTGTAGAATCTGCAAGTGGATATTTGGACCTCTTTGAGGCCGTCGTTGGAAACCGGATTTCTTCATATAAAACTAGACAGAAGAATTCTGAAAAACTTCTTTTTGAAGTGTGTATTCAACTCACAGAGTTGAACCTTCCTTTCAATTGAGCAGTTTTGATACACTCTTTATGCAGTGTGTCCAAGTTAATATTGACAGGGCTTGGAGGCCTACATTAGAAAAGGAAATCTCTTCATATAAAAACTAAACAGAATCATTCTCAGAAACTAGTTTGTGATGTGTGCGTTCATCTCACAGATTTTAACCTTTCTTTTGATAGAGCAGTTTTGAAACACTCTGTTTGTAAATCTGCAAGTGAATATTTGGAGTGCTTTGAGGCCTTCTTTGGAAACTTTAATATCTTCACATAAAAAGTAGACAGAAGTATTCTCAGAAACTTCTTTATGACGTCTGCACTCAACTCACAGAATTGAACCTTCCTTTTGATAGAGCAGTTTTGAAACACTGTTTTTGTAGATTTTGCAAGTGTGTATTCAGTGGGCTTAGAGGACTACGGTAGAAAATGAAGTATCTTCACAAAAAAAGTAGACAGAAACGTTCTCAGAAACTTCTTTGTGATGTTTGCATTTAACTCGCAGATTTCAACATTCCCTTTGATAGAGCAGTTTTGAAACACTGTTTTTGTAGTATATGCAAGTGGATATTTGGACCTGTTTGTGGCCTTCGTTGGAAACGGGATTTCTTCATGTAAAACTAGACAAAAGAATTCTCAGAAACTTCTTTGTGATGTTTGTATTCAAGTCACAGAGTTGAACCTTCCTTTAGACAGAGCAGTTTTGAAACACTCTTCTTGTAGAATTTCCAAGTGGATATTTAAGGCGCTTTGAAGCCTATGGTACAAAAGGAAATATCTTTATATAAAAACTAGACAGAATAATTCTCGGAAACTACTTTCTGATGTGTGCATTCAACTCACAGAGTTTAACCTTTCTTTTGATAGAGCGCTTTTGAAACACTCTGTTTGTAAAGTCTGCAAGTGGATATTTGTAGTGCTTTGAGGCCTTCTTTGGAAACGTTAATATCTTCACATAAAAAGTAGACAGAAGTATTCTCAGAAACTTCTTTATGATGTCTGCACTCAACTCACAGAGTTGAACCTTCTTTTGATAGAGCAGTTTTGAAACACTCTTTTTGTAGATTTTGCAAGTGTGTATTCAGTGGGCTTAGAGGCTTACGGTAGAAAACGAAATATCTTCACAAAAAAACTTGACAGAAGGGTTCTCAGAAACTTCTTCGTGACGTATGCATTTAACTCACAGAGTTCAACATTGCCGTTGATACAGCAGTTTTGAAACACTGTTTTTGTAGAATCTGCAAGTGGATATGTCGACCTGTTTGTGGCCTTCGTTGGAAATGGGAGTTCTTCATATAAAACTAGACAGAAGAATTCTCAGAAACTTCTTTGTGATGTGTGTCTTCAACTCACAGAGTTGAAACTTACTTTTGACAGAGCAGTTTTGAAACACTCTTTTTGTAGAATTTCCAAGTGGATATTTAAGGCGCTTTGAAGCCTATGGTTCAAAAGGAAATATCTTTATATAAAAACTAGACAGAATCATTCTCAGAAACTACTTTCCAATGTGTGCATTCAACTCACAGAGTTGAACCTTTCTTTTCATAGAGCACTTTTGAAACACTCTTTTTGTAGAATATACATGTGTTCATTTGGAGTGCTTTGAGGCCGTATGTGGAAAAGGAAATATCTACAAATAAAAACTAGACAGAAGCATTCTCAGAAACTTCCTTGTGATGTGTGCATTCAAATCTCAGAGTTGAACCTTCATTTTGAGAGAGCAGTTTTGAAACTGTCTTTCTGCAGAATCTGCAAGTGGATATTTGCAGCGATTTGAGACCTAAGTGAAAAAGAATATATCTTCACCTAAAAACTTGACAGAAGCATGCTCAGAAACTTTTTTGTTATGTGTACATTCAAGTAACAGAGTTGAACCTTTCTTTTGTTAGCGCAGTTTTGAAACACTCCTTTTGTGGAATCTGCTTATAATTATTTGGAGCTCTTTGAGGCCTTCTTTGGAAATGGTATATCTTCACATAAAAACTAGACAGAAGCATTCGCAGAAACAGCTTTGTGATGTGTGCATTCAACTCACAGAATTGAACCTTTCTGCTCATAGAGCAGTTTTGAAACACTCTTTTTGTAGAAACTGCAAGTGGATATTTGGAGGACTTTGAGGCCTATGGTGGAAAAGGAAATATCTTCACATAAAAACTTGAGAAAAGCATTCTCAGAAACTTCTTTGTGAGGTGTGCATTCAACTCATAGAGTGGAACATTCCTTTTGATAGAGCAGTTTTGAAAGACTCCTTTTGTAGAGTCTGCTAGTGGATATTTGGAAAGTTGTGAGGCCTTTGTTGGAAATGGGAATATCTTCACATAAAAATTGTCAGAAGCATTCTCAGAAACTGCTTTGTGATGTGTGCATTAAACTCGCAGAGTTGAACTTATCTTTTGATAGAAGAGTTTTGAAACACTCTTTTTGTAGAAACTACAAATGTTCATTCAGTGGGCTTTGAGGTCTACGGTGGAAATCGAAATATATTCACATACAAACTAGACAGAAGCATTCTCAGAAACTTCTTTGTGATGTGTGCCTTCAACTCAGAGAGTTGAACCTTCCTTTTGACAGAGCAGTTTTGAAACTGTTTTTGTAGGATCTGCAAGTGGATATTTGGAGCGATTTGCAGCCTATGGTGGAAAAGAAAATATCTTCACTTAAAAACTAGACAGAAACATTTTCAGAAACTTCTTTGTGATGTGTGCCTTCAACTCAAAGAGTTGAACCTTTCTGTTGATAGAGGAGTTTTGAAACATTCTTTTTGTAAAATCTCTAAGTGTTCATTTGGAGCCCTTTGAGTCCTACGGTTGAAAAGGAAATATCTTCACATAAAAACTAGACAGAAGCATTCTCAGAAACTTCCTTGTGATGTGTGCACTCAACGCTCACAGCTGAACCTTCATTTTGAGAGAGCAGTTTTGATACAGTCTGTTTGTGGAATCTGCAAGTGGATATTTGGAATGATTTGAGACCTATGGTGGAAAAGGAAATATCTTCACATAAAAACTAGACAGAAGCATTCTCCGAACCTGCTTTTTGATATGTGCATTCAACTCACAGAGTTGAACCTTTCTTTTCATAGAGCAGTTTTGAAACACTCTTTTTGTAGAATCTGCAAGTGTTCCCTTGGATCTCTTTGAGGCCTATAGTGGAAAAAAAATATTTTCACATAAAAACTACACAGAACCATTCTCAGAAACTTCTTTGTGAGGTGTGCCTTCAACTCACAGAGTTGAACCTTCCTTTTGATAGAGCAGTTTTGAAAGACTCCTTTTGTAGGATCTGTTAGTGGATATTTGGAGACTGTTGGACTTCTTCATTGGAAACAGGAATATCTTCACATAAAAATTAGTCAGAAGCATTCTCAGAAACTTCTTTGTGATGTGTGCATTAAACTCGCAGAGTTGAACTTTTCTTTTGATAGAGGAGTTTTGAAACACTCTTTTTGTAGAAAGTGCAAGTGTTCATTTACTGCGATTTGAGGCCTATTGTGGAAAAGGAAATATCTGCACATAAAAACTAGACAGAAGCATTCTCAGAAACTTCTTTTTGATGTGTGCCTTCAGCTCACAGTTGAACCTTCCTTTTGACAGAGCAGTTTTGAAACAGTCTTTTTGTAGAAACTGCAAGTGGATATTTGTAGCCCTTTGAGGCCTGTGGTGGAAAAGGAAATATCTTCACATAAAAACTAGACAGAAGCATTCTCAGAAACTGCTTTGTGATGTGTGCCTTCAACTCAAAGAGTTGAACCTTTCTTTTGATAGAGCAGTATTGAAATTCTCCTTTTGTAGAATCTGCTTGTGGATATTTGGAGCTATTTGCAGCCTTCATTGGAAATGGGATATTTACAAATAAAAACTAGACGGAAGCATTCTCAGAAACTGCTTTGTGAGGTGGACATTCGACTCACAGTGTTGAAACTTTCTTTTGATAGAGCAGTTTTTAAACACTCTTGTAGAATCCAAAAGTGTTCGTTTGGTGCACTTTGAGGCCTTAGGTTGAAAAGGAAATATCTTCACATAAAAACCAGACAGAAGCATTCTCAGAAACTTCCTTGCGACCTGTGCACTCAACTCTCAGATGTGAACCTTCCTTTTGAGAGAGCAGTTTTGAAACAGTGTTTTTGTAGAATCTGCAAGTGGATATTTGGAGTGATTTGAAACCTATGGTGGAAAAGGAAATATCTTCACATAAAAACTTGACAGAGGCATTCTCAGAAACTTCTTGGTGATGTGTGCATTGAAGTAACAGAGTTGAACCTTTCTTTTGATAGAGCAGTTTTGAAACACTCCTGTCATGTAATCTGCTTGTAATTATTTGGAGCTCTTTGAGGCCTGCCTAGGAAAAGGGATATCTTCACATAAAAACTAGACAGAAGCATTCTCAGAAAATGCTTTGTGATGTGTGCATTCAACTCACAGAGTTGAACCTTCCTTTTGATGGAGGTTTTTTGAAACAGTCTTTTTGTAGAATCCGCAAGTGGATATTTGGAGCAATTTGAGGCCTAGGGTGGAAAAGAAAATATCTTCACATAAAAACTAGACAAAAACATTCTCAGAAACTTCTGGTGTTGTCTGCATTCAACTCACAGAGTTGAATCTTTCTTTTGATAGAGCAGTTTTGAAACACTCTTTGTGTAGAATCTGCAAGTGTTCATTTGGAGCGCTTTCAGGCCTATGGTGGAAAAGGAAATATCTTCACATAAAAACAAGACAGAAGCATTCTCAGAAACTTCTTTGTGAGGTGTGCATTCAACCCACAGAGTTGTACCTTCCTTTTCATAGAGCCGTTTTGAAAGACTCCTTTTGTAGAATCTGCTAGTGGATATTTGGAGATTTTGGAGAGTTTCGTTTTAAAAGGCAATATCTTCACATAAAAACTGGTCAGAAGCATTCTCAGAAACTGCTTTGTGATGTGTGCATTAAACTCGCAGAGTTGAACTTTTCTTTTGATAGAGGAGATTTGAAACACTCTTTTTTTAGAAACTGCAAGTGTTCATTATTGCACTTTGAGGCCTATGGTAGAAAAGGAAATATCTTCACATAAAAACTAGACAGAAGCATTCTCAGAAACTTGTTTGTGACGTGTGCCGTCAACTCACAGAGTTGAACCTTCCTTTTGACAGAGCAGTTTTGAAACAGTCTTTTTGTAGAATCTGCAAGTGGAGAGTTGGAGCGATTTGAGGCCTATGGTGGAAAAGAAAATATCTTCACATAAAAACTAGACAGAAGCATTCTCAGAAACTTCTTTGTGATGTTTGCATTCAACTCACAGAGCTTAACCTTTCTTTTGATAGAGCAGTTTTGAAACCCTCTGTTTGTAAAGTCTGCAAGTGGATATTTTAAACTCTTTGAGGCCTTCGTTGGAAACGGGATTTCTTCATATAAAACTGGACTGAAGAATTCTGAGAAACTTCCTTGTGATGTTTGCATTCAACTCACAGAGTTGAACTTTTCTATTAATAGAGCAGTTTTGAAACACTCTTTTTGTAGAATCTGCAAGTGCTTATTTGGAGCGCTTTGAGGCCTATGGTGGAAAACGAAATATGTTCACATAAAAAGTAGACAGAAGGATTCTCAGAAATTTCTTTGTGATGTGTGCATTCAACTCACAGATTTGAACATTTCTTTTGATACAGCAGTATTGAAACTCTCCTTTTGCAGAATCTGCTCGAGAATATTTGGAGCCCTTTGAGGCCTTCGTTGGAAATGGGATATCTTCAAATGAAAACTAGACGGAAGCATTCTCAGAAACTACTTCTGAGGTGTGCATTCAAATCACAGAGTTGAACCTTTCTTTTCATAGAGCTGTTTTGAAACACTCTTTTTGTAGAGTCTGCAAGTGTTCATTTGGACCGCTTTGAGGCCTATGGTGGAAAAGGAAATATCTTCAGATAAAAACTAGACAGAAGCATTATCAGAAACTTCTTTGTGAGTTTTGCATTCAACTAATAGAGTTGAACCTTCCTTTTGATAAAGAAGTTTTGAAAGACTCCTTTTGTAGATTATGCTAGTGGATATTTGGAGATTTTGGAGGACTTCGTTGGACATGGGAATATCTTCAAATAAAAACTAGTCAGAAGCATTCTCAGAAACTGCTTTGTGATGTGTGCATTCAACTCACAGAGTTGAAATTTTCTTTTGATAGAACTGCTTTGAAACACTCTTTTTTGTAGAAACTGCATGTATTCATTTAGTGCGGTTTGAGGTCTTAGTTGGAAAAGGGAAAATCTTCACATATAAAATAGACAGAAGCATTCTCAGAAACTTCCTTGTGATGTGTGCATTGAACTCTCAGAGATGAACTTTCCTTTTGAGAGAGCAGTTTTGCAACAGTCTTTTTGCAGTTTCTGCAAGTGGACATTTGGAGCGATTTGAGATCTATGGTTGAAAAGGATATATCTTCACATAAAAACTTGACAGAAGCATTCTCAACAACTTCTTTGTGATGTGTGCCTTCAACTCACAGAGTTGAACATTCCTTATGACAGAGCAGGTTTGAAACAGTGTTCTTGTAGAATCTGCAAGTGGATATTTGGAGCGATTTTTGGCCTATGGTGGAAAAGAAAATATCTTCACATAAAAACTAGACAGAAGCATTCTCATAAACCTTGTAATGTTTGCATTCAACTCACACAGCTGAACATTCCTTTTGATAGAGCAGTTTTGAAACACTCTTTTGTAGAATCTGCAAGTGAATATTTGGAGCGCTTTGAGGCCTTTGTTGGAAATGGGAATATCTTCACATAAAAACTAGATAGAAGCATTCTCAGAATCTTCTGTGTCATGTGTCCATTCAACTTACAGAATTGAACCTTTCTTTTCATAGGATAGTTTTGATACACTCTTTTTGTAGAATCTGTAATTGGACATTTGGAGTTCTTTAAGTCCTGTGGTGGATAAGGAAATAATTTCACATAAAAACTAGACAGAAGCATTCTCAGAAACTTCTATGTGATGTGTGCATTCAACTCACAGAGTTGAACCTTCCTTTTGACAGAGCAGTTTGGAAACACTCTTTTTGTAGGATCTGCAAGTGGATATTAGGAGCCCTTTTTGGCCTATGGTATAAACGGAAATATCTTCACATTAAAAGTAGACAGAAGCATTCTCCGAAACTACTTTGTGACTTGTGCATTAAACCCAGAGAGTTTAACCTTCCTTTTTATGGTGCAGTTTTGAAACACTCTTTCTGTAGGATCTGCAAGTGGATATTCAGAGCGCTTTCAGGCCTATAGTAGAAAAGGAACTATCTTCATATAAAAACTAGACAGAAGCATTCCCAGAAACTACTTTGTGATGTTTGCATTCAAGTCACAGGGTTGAACATTCTTTTTGATAAAGCAGTTTTGAAACACTCTTTTTGTAAAATCTGGAAGTGCATATTTGGACGGCTTTGAGGCCTTTGTTGGAAATGGGAATATCTTCACATAAAAATTAGACAGAAGCATTCTCACAAAATTCTGTGATGTGTGCATTCAACTCACAGAGTTGAAACTTTCTTTTGATAGAACTGTTCTCAAAGGCTCTTTTTGTAGAATATGCAGGTGGACATTTTGAGCTCTTTTAGGACTGTGGTGGAAATGGAAATATCTTCACATACAAACTAGACAGAAGCCTTCTCAGAGACTTCTTTGTGATGTGCACATTCAACCCAAAGAGTTGAATCTTCCCTTTGATAGAGCAGTTTCAAAACACTCTTTTTGTAGAATCTGCAAGGGGATATGTGGAGTGCTTTGAGGCCTACGGTGGAAACGGGAATATCTTCACATACAAACTAGACAGAAGCATTCTCATAAACTTCTTTGTGATGTGTGCATTCAACTCAGGGAGTTGAAACTTCCTATTGATACAGCAGTTTTGAAAATCTCTTTTTGTAGAAACTTCAAGTGGATACTTGGAGCAATTTGAGCCCTTCATTGGAAATGGGAATATCTTCACATAAAAACTAGACAGAAGTCTTCTCAGAAACTTCTTTGTGATGTGTGCATTCAACTCACAGAGTTGAACTTTGCTTTTCATAGAGCAGTTTTGAAACACTCTTTTTGTAGAATCTGCAAGTGGATATTTGGACTGATTTGAGGCCCTCGTTGGAAACCGGATTATCTTCACATAAAAACTAGACAGAAGCATTCTCAGAAACTCCGTTGTGATGTGTGCATTGAACTCACAGAATTGAACCTTTCTTCTGATAGAGAAGTTTTGAAACACTCTTTTTGTAGAATCTGCAAGTGGACATTTGGAGTGCTTTGAGGCCTCTGGTGGAAAAGGAAATAACTTCGCATAAAAACTAGACAGAAGCATTCTCAGAAACTATTTTGTGAAGTGTGCATTCTACTCAGAGAATAGAACCTTTTTTTTTTTGATAGAGCAGTTCTGAAACACTCTTTCTGTAGTATCTGCAAGTGGATATTTGGAGCACTTTGTGGCCTATGGTAGAAAAGGAAATATCGTCATATAAAACCTAGACAGAACCATTCTCAGAAACTACATAGTGATGTTTGCATTCAACTCACAGAGTTCAACATTCCTTTTGATAGAGCAGTTTTGGAACACTTTTTTGGTAGTATATGCCAGTGGATATTTGGGGTGCTTAGAGGCCTTTGTCAGAAACGGAAATATCTTCACTAAAGCTAGACAAAAGCATTCTCAGAAACTTCTCTGTGATGTGTGCATTCAACTCACAGAGTTGAACATTTCTTTTGAAAGACCAGTATTGAATCACACTTTTTGTAGAACCTGCCAGTGGACATTTGTAGCTCTTAGAGGATTGTGATGGAAAAGGAAATATCTTCACATAAAAAGTAGACAGAAGCATTCTCAGAGACTTCTTTGTGATGTGTGCATTCAACACACAGAGTTCAACATTCTCTTTGATAGAGCACTTTTGAAACACTCTTTTTGTAGAATCTGCAAGGGGATATTTGGAGTGCTTTGAGGCCTACGGTGGAAGCGGGAATATCTTCACATAAAAACTAGACAGAAGCATTCTCAGAGACTTTTTGGTTATGTGTGCATTCAACTCACAGAATTGAACCTTTCTTCTGATAGAGCACTTTTGAACAACTCTTTTTGTAGAATCTGCAAGTGGACATTTGGGGCGTTTAGGGGCCTGTGGTGGAAAAGGAAACAACTTCACATAAATACTAGACAGAAGCATCCTTAGAAACTTCTTAGTGATGTGTGCATTCAACTCACAGAGTTGAACCTTCCTTTTGATAGAGTAGTTTTGAAATACTCTTTTTGTTGAATCGGCAACTGGATATATGCTTTGCTTAGAGGCCAATGGGGGAAAGGGGAATATCTTTACATAAAAACTAGACAGAAGCATTCACATAACTTTCTTTGTCATGTGTGCATTCAACTCAGAGAGTTGAAACATCCTATTGTTAGAGCAGTTTTGAAACACTCTTTTTGTAGAATCTGCAAGTGGATATTTGGAGTGCTTTGAAGCCTATGGTAGAAAAGGAAATATCTTCCTATAAAAAGTAGACAGAAGCATTCTCAGAAACTACTTTGTTATGTTTGCATTCAAATCACACAGTTGAACATTCCTTTTGATAGAGCAGTTTTGAAACGCTCTTTTTGTAGAATCTGCAAGTGGATATTTGGACGGCTTCGAGGCCTTCGTTGTAAACGGGAATATCTTCACATAAAAACTAGACAGAAGCATTCTCAGAATTTTCTTTTTGACGTGTGCATTAAACTCAAAGAATTGAACATTTCTTTTTATAGAACACTTTTGAAACACTCTTTTTGAAGAATCTGCAAGTGGACATTTGGAGTTCTTTGAGGACTGTGGTGGAAATGGAAATATCTTCACATAAAATCTAGACAGAAGCATTCTCAGAGACTTCTTTGTGATGTGTGCATTCAACTCACAGAGTTGAACCTTCCCTTTGATGGAGCAGTTTTGAAACACTCTTTTTGTACATTCTGAAAGGGGATATTTGGAGTGTTTGAGGCCTATGGTGGAATCGGTAATATTTTCACATAAAAATTAGACAGAAGCATTCTCAAACCTCTTTGTGATGTGTGCATTCAACTCACAGAGTTGAAACTTCCTAACGATACAGCAGTTTTGAAAAACTGTTTTTGTAGAATTTTCAAGTGGATATTTGGAGCACTTTGAGCCCTTCATTGGAAACGGGAATATCTTCACATAAAAAATAGACAGGAGCATTATCAGAAACTTCTTTGTGATGTGTGCATTCAACTCACAGAATTTAACCTTATTTTTCATAGAGCAGTTTTGAAACACTTTTTGTATAATCTGCAAGTGGATATATGGAGAGTTTTGAGGCCTGTGGTTGAAATGGAAATATCTTCACAGAAAAACTAGACAGAAGCATTCTCAGAGACTTCTTTGTGATGTGTGCATTCAACTCACAGAGTTGAACCTTCCCTTTGATAGAGCAGTTTTGAGACACTCTTTTTGTAGAATCTGCAAGGGGATATTTGGAGTGCTTTGAGATCCATGGTGGAAATGGGGATATCTTCACATAAAAATTAGACAGAAGCATTCTCATAAGCTTCTTTGTGATGTGTGTATTCACCTCAGAGAGTTGAAACTTCCTATTGATACAGCTCTTTTGAAAAACTCTTTTTGTAGAATCTTCAATTAGATAATTGGAGCGCTTTGAGCCCTTCATTGGAAACAGAAATATCTTCACATAAAAACTGGACAGAAGCATTCTGAGAAACTTCTTTGTGATGTGTGACATCAACTCACAGAATTGAACCTTACTTTTCGTAGAGCAGTTTTGAAACACTGTTTTTCTAGAATCTGCAAGTGGATATTTGGACCGCTTTGAGGACTTCATTGTAAACAGGAATATCTTCCCATAAAAACTGGACAGAAGCTTTCTCCTAAACTTCTTTGTGATGTGTTCATTCAACTCACAGAATTCAACCATTGTTTTCATGCAGCACTTTTGAAACACTCTTTTTGTAGAATCTGCAAGTGGACATTTAGAGTGCTTTGAGGCCTTCTTTGGAAAGGGGTATATCTTCACATAAAAACTAGACAGAATTGCTCTCAGAAACTTCTTCCTGATGTGTGCATTCAAGTCACAGAATTGAAGATTTCTTTTGATAGAGAAGTTTTGTAACACTCTTTTTGTAGTATCTGCAAGTGGACATTTGGAGCGCTTTGAGGCCTTCTTTGGAAAGGGGTATATCTTCACATAAAAACTAGACAGAATTGCTCTCAGAAACTTCTTCCTGATGTGTGCATTCAAGTCACAGAATTGAAGATTTCTTTTGATAGAGAAGTTTTGTAACACTCTTTTTGTAGAATCTGCTAGTGGATATTCAGAGTGCTTGGAGACCTATGGTGGAAAAGGAAATATGTTCATGTAAAAACTAGACAGAAGCATTCTCAGAAACTTCTTTGTGACGTGTGCGTTCCATTCACAGAGTTGAACCTTTCCTTTGATAGAGCAGTTTTGAAACACTATTTTTGTAGAATATGCGAGTAGATATTTGGATCGCTTTGAGGCCTATGTTGGAAAAGGAAATATCTTCACATAAAAATTACACAGAAGAATTCTCAGAAACTACTTTTAGATGTGCACATTCAACTTGCAGAGTTGAACATTTCTTTTGATAGAGCAGTTTTTAAACACTCTGTTTGTAGTATCTGTAAGTGGATATTTTGTTCCTTTTGAGGACTATGGTGAAAAATGAAATATCTTCACATAAAAACTAGACACAAGCATTCTCCCAAATTTCTCGGTGCTGTGTGCATTCAACCCACAGTATGGAACCTTTCTTTTGATAGAGCAGTTTTGAAACACTCTTTTTGTAGAATCTGCAATTGGATATTTAGTTTCCTTTGAGGACTGTGTTGGAAAATGAAATATCTTCACATAAAAACTAGACAGAAGAATTCTCCGAAACTTCTTCATGATGTATGCATTCAACTCACAGAGTTGAACCTTACTTTTGATAGAGCAGTTTTGAAACACTCCTTTGTGGAATCTTAAAGTGGATATTTAGATTCCTTTGAGGCCTGTGGTGGAAAACGAAATACGTTTACATAAAAACTAGACAGAAGCATTCTCAGGAACTTCTCTGTGATGAGTGCATTCAACTCACAGAGTTGAAACTTTCTTTTTACAGAGCAGTTTTGAAACACACTTTTTGTAGAATCTGCAATTGGATATTTGGTTCCCTTTGATGACTATAGTGAAAAAGGAATTATCTTCACATAAAAACTAGAAAGAAGAATTCTCCAAAACTTCTTTGTGATGTGTGTATTCACCTCACATAGTTGAACCTTTCTTTTGATAGAGCAGTTTTCAAACACTCTTTTTGTAGAATCTGCAAGTGGATATTTGGTTTCCTTTGAGGCCTCTGTTCGAAAACGAAATATCTTCACATAAAAACCAGACAGAAGCATTCTCAGAAACTTCTTTGCAATGTGTGCATTCAACTCACAGAGGTGAACCTTTATTTTAATAGAGCAGTTTTGAAACACGCTTTTTGTAGAATCTGCAAGTGGATATTGGGAGTGATTTGTGGCCTATGGCGGAAAAAGAAATATCTTCACATAAAAACAAGAGAGAAGCTTGCTCAGAAACTTCATTGTGAAGTGTGAATTCAACTCCCAGAGTTGAATCTTTCTTTGGTTAGAGCAGTTTTCAATCAATCTTTTTGTAGAATCTGCAAGTGGATATTTGGTTCCCTTTGAGGTCTATGGTGAAAAAGGAAATATCTTCACATATAAACTACACACAAGTATTCTCTGAAACTACCTTGTGATGTGTACATTCAACCCATAGATTGGAACCCTTCTTTTGATAGAGCAGTTTTGAAGCACTCTTTTTGTATAAATTGCAAGTGGATATTTGGAGCGCTTGGAGGCATATGGTGGAAAAGAAAATATTTTCACATAAAAACTAGACATAAGCATTCTCCGAAACTTCTTTGTGATATGTGCATTCAACTCACAGAGTTGAATCTGTCTTTTGATAGAGCAGTTTGGAAACACTGTTTTTGTAGAATCTGCCAGTGGATATTTGGAGCACTTGGAGGCCTATGGTGGAAAAGAAAATATCTTCACATAAAAACAAGACACAAGCATTCTCCGAAACTTCCTTGTGATGTGTGCATTCAACTCACAGAGTTGAACACTTCTTTTCGTAGAGTAGTTTTGAACCACTCTTTTTGTAGAATCTGCAAGTGAATATTTGGAGTGCATTGAGGCCTATCGTGGAAAAGGAATTATCTTCACATAAAAACTAGACAAAAGCATTGTCAGAAACTTCTTTGTGATGTGTGCATTCAAAGCACAGAGTTGAACCTTTGTTTTAAAAGAGCAATTTTGAAACACTCTTTTTGTAGGATCTGAAAGTGGATATTTTGTTCCCTTTGAAGCCTATGGTGAAAAAGGAAATATATTCACATAAAAATTAGGCACAAGCATTATCAAAAACTTCGTTGTGGTGTGTGAATTCAACTCTCAGAGTTGAACATTTCTTTTAAAGGAGCAGTTTTGAAACACTCTTTTTGTATAATCTGCAAGTGGATATTTGTATCGCTTTGAGGCCTATGGTGGAAAAGGAAATATTTTCACAGAAAAACTAGACAGAAGAATTCTCAGAAATATATTTGTGATGTGTGCATTCAACTCACACAGTTGAACCTTTCTTTTGGTAGAGCAGTTTTGAAACAATCTTTTTGTAGTATCTGCAAGTGGATATTTGGAGCACTTGGAGGCCTATGGTGGAAAAGAAAATATCTTCACATAAAAACAAGACACAAGCATTCTCCGAAACTTCCTTGTGATGTGTGCATTCAACTCACAGAGTTGAACACTTCTTTTCATAGAGTAGTTTTGAACCACTCTTTTTGTAGAATCTGCAAGTGAATATTTGGAGCGCATTGAGGCCTATTGTGGAAAAGGAAATATCTTCACATAAAAACTAGACAAAAGCATTGTCAGAAACTTCTTTGTGATGTGTGCATTCAAAGCACAGAGTTGAACCTTTGTTTTAATAGAGCAATTTTGAAACACTCTTTTTGTAGGATCTGAAAGTGGATATTTTGTTCCCTTTGTGGCCTATGGTGAAAAAGGAAATATATTCACATAAAAATTAGGCACAATCATTATCAAAAACTTCTTTGTGATGTGTGAATTCAACTCTCAGAGTTGAACATTTCTTTTAAAGGAGCAGTTTTGAAACACTCTTTTTGTATAATCTGCAAGTGGATATTTGTATCGCTTTGAGGCCTATGGTGGAAAAGGAAATATTTTCACAGAAACACTAGACAGAAGAATTCTCAGAAATATATTTGTGATGTGTGCCTTCAACTCACACAGTTGAACCTTTCTTTTGGTAGAGCAGTTTTGAAACAATCTTTTTGTAGTATCTGCAAGTGGATATTTGGAGCACTTGGAGGCCTATGGTGGAAAAGAAAATATCTTCACATAAAAACTAGACACAAGAATTCTCGTAAACTTCTTTGGATGTGTACATTCAACTCACAGAGTTGAACCTTTCTTTTGATAGAGCAGCTTTGAAACACTCTTTTTGGACAATCTGCAAGTGGATATTTGGTGCACTTTGAGGCCTAAGGTTTAAAAGGAAATATCTTCACATAAAAAACTAGACAGAAGCATTCTCCGAAACTTCTTTGTGATGTATGCATTCAACTCACAGAGTTGAACCTTTCTTTCGATAGAGCAGTTTTCAAACACTCTTTTGGTAGAATCTGCAACTGTATATTTGGAGCACTTTGAGGCCTCTGGTGGAAAAGGAAATATCTTCACATTAAAACTAGACAGAAGCATTCTCAGAAACTTCTTTGTGATGTGTGCATTGAACTCACAGAGTTGAACATTTCTTTTGATAGTGCAGTTTTGAAACACCCTTTTTGTAGAATCTGCAAGTGGATATTTGGTTTCCTTTGAGGCTTATGTTGGAAAATGAAATATCTTCACATGAAAAATAGACAAAAGCATTCTCAGAAACTCCTTTGTGATGTGTGCATTCAACAAACAGAGTTGAACCTTCCTTTTTGTAGAGCAGTTTTAAACACTCTTTTTGTAGAATCTACAAGGGGATATTAAGAGTGCTTTGAGGTCTACGGTGTAAACGGGAATATCTTCACATAAAAACTAGACGGAAGCATTCTCAGAAACTTCTTTGTGATGTGTGCATTCAACTCACAGAGTTGAACATTTCTTTTGATAGAGCAGTTTTGAAACACTCTTTTTGTGGAATCTGTAAGTGGACATTTGGAGCGCTTTGAGGCCTTCACTGGAAATAGAAATATCTTCACATAAAAACCAGACAGAATCATTCTCAGAAACTTCTTTGTGATGTGTGCATTCAACTCACAGAGTTGAACTTTTCTTTTGATAGAGCAGTTTTGAAACACTCTTTTTGTATAATCCGCACCTGGGCATTTGGAGGGCTTTGAGGTCTGTGGAGGAAAAGGAAATAACTTCACCTGAAAACGAGACAAAAGCATTCTCTGAAACTTCTTTGTGATGTGTACATTAAACTCACAGAGTTAAACCTTCCTTTTCTTAGAGCAGTTTTGAAACACTCTTTTTGTAGAATCTGCAAGTGGATATTGGGAGTGATTTGTGGCCTATGGGGCAAACGGGAATATCTTCACATAAAAATTAGAAAGAAGCACTCTCAGAAACTACTTTGTGAAGTGTGCTTTCAACTCAGAGAGTTGAAACTTCCTATTGATAGAGAAGTTTTGAAACACTCCTTCTGTAGAATCTGCAAGAGGACATTTGAGCACTTTGAGGCCTGTGGTGGAAAAAGAAATAACGTCACAAAAAATTTGACAGAAGCATTCTCAGAAACTTCTTTGTGATATGTGCATTCAACTCACAGAGTTGAAACTTCCCTTTGATAGAGGAGTTTTGAAACACTCTTTTTCTAGAATCTGCAAGGGGATATTTGGAGTGCTTTGAGTCCTACGGTGGAAACTGGAATACCTCCACATAAAAACTAGACTGAAGCACTTTCAGAAACTTCTTTCTGATGTGTGCATTCAACTCACAGAGTTGAAACTTCCTATTGATAGAGCAGTTGCAGAACACTCTTTTTGTAGGATCTGCAAGTGGATATTTGGAGCGCTTTGAGGCCTGTGGAAAGAAAGGGAATATCTTCATATAAAACTAGACAGAAGCATTCTCAGAAACTACTTTGTAATGTTGGCATTCAACTCACAGAGTTGAACCTTCCTTCTGACAGAGCAGTTTCAAAAAACTCTTTTTGAGGAATCTTCAACTGGATATTTTGTTCCCTTTGAGGCATATGTTGGAAAACGAAATATCTTCACATAAAAACCAGACAGAAGCATTCTCAAAAACTTTTTTATGATGTGTGCATTCAACAAACAGAGTTGAACCTTTCTTTTGATAGAGTAGTTTTGAAACAGTCTTTTTGTAGAATCTGCAAGTGGATATTTAGAACAATTTAAGGCCAATGGTGGAAAAGGAAATATCTTCACATAAATACTAGACAGAAGCATTCTCTGAAATCTCTTTGTGATGTGTGCATTCAACTCACAGAGTTGAAATTTTCTTTTGATAGAGCAGTTTTGAAACACTCTTTTTGTAGAATCTGCAAGTGGGTATTTCTTTCCCTTTGACGCCTATGGTGAAAAAGGAAATGTCTTCACATAAAAGCTAGACACAAGTATTCTCCGAAACTTATTAGTGATGTGTGCATTCAATCCACAGTGTGGAAATTTTCTTTTGATAGAACAGTTTTGAAACACTCTTTATGTAGAATCTGTAAGTGAATATTTGTTTCTCTTTGAGGCCTATGTTGGAAAAAGAAATACATTCACATAAAAACTAGTCTGAAGCATTCTCAGAAGCGTCTTTGTGATGTGTGCATTCTACTCACAGAGTGGAAACTTTCTTTTGATAGAGCAGTTTTGAAACACTCTTTTTGTAGAACCTGCAAGTGAATATTTGGAGTGCTTTGAGGCTTACAGTGGAAAAGGAAATATCTTCACATAAACACTAGACAGAAGCATTCTCTGAAACTTCTTTGTGATGTGTGCATTCCACACACAGAGTTGAAACTTTCTTTTGGTAGAGCAGTTTTGAAACACTCTTTTTGTAGTATCTGTAAGTGGATATTTTGTTCCTTTTGAGGCCTATGGTGAAAAAGGAAATATCTTCACATAAAAATTAGGCACAAGCATTCTGCGAAACTTCTTTGTGATGTGTGCATTCAAATCACAGAGTTGAACTTTTCTTTTGATAGAGCAGTTTGGAAACACTCTTTTTGTCGAATCTGCAAGTGGATATTTGGAGCGCTTTGAGGCCTGTGGTGGAAAAGTAAATATTTTCACATAAAAACTAGAGGGAAGCATTCTCAGAAATATCTTTCTGATGTGTGCATTCACCTCACTCAGTTGAACCTTTCTTTTGATAGAGCAGTTTTGAAACAATCTTTTTGTAGTAACTGCAAGTGGACATTTTGAGCGCTGGGAGGCCTATGGTGGAAAAGGAAATATCTTCACAGAAAAACTAGACACAAGAATTCTCAGAAACTTCCTTGTGATGTGTGCATTCAACTCACAGAGTTGAACTTTTCTTTTGATAGAGCAGTTTTGGAACACTCTTTTTGTAGAATCTACAAGTGGATATTTGGAGCACTTGGAGGCCTATGGTTTAAAAGGAAATATCTTCACATAAAAAACTAGACAGAAGCATTCTCTGAAACTTCTTTGTGATGTGTGCATTCAACTCACAGACTTGAACCTCTCTTTTGATGGAGCAGTTTTGAAACACTCTTTTTGTAGAATCTGCAAGTGGATATTTGGTTTCCTTTGAGGCCTACGGTGAAAAAGGAAATATCTTCACATAAAAACTAGACACAAGCATTCTCTGAAACCTCTTTGTATTGTGTGCATCCAACTGACGGGTTTGAACATTTCTTTTGATAGAGCAGTTTAGATGCACTCTTTTTGTAGAATCTGCAAATGGATATTTGGTTTCCTTTGAGGCCTACATTGGAAAATGAAATATCTTCACATAAAAACTAGATAGAAGAATTCTCAGAATCTTCTTTGTGATGTGTGTATTCAACTCACATAATTGAACATTTGTTTTGATAGAGGAGTTTTGAAACACTCTTTTTGTTGAATCTGCAGGTTGATATTTTTAGGGCTTGCGTGCCTATGGTGGAAAAGCAAATATCTTCACATAAAAACTAGACAAAAGCATTATCTGAAACTTCTTGGTGATGTGTGCATTCAAGTCTCTGAGTTGAAGCTTTGATTTGATAGAGAAGTTTGGAACACTCTTTTTGTAGAATCTGAAAGTGGATATTTTATTTCCTTTGAGGCCTATGTTGTAAAAGGAAACATCTTCACATAAAAACTAGACAGAACCATTCTCAGGAACTTCTTTGCAATGTGTGCATTCAACTCACAGAGTTGAATGTTTCTTTTGCTAGAGCAGTTTTAAACACTGTTTTTGTAGGATCTACAAGGGAATATTTGGTTTTTCTTGAGACCTATGTTGGAAAGTGAAATATCTTCACATAAATACTAGACAGAAGCATTCTCAGAAACGTCTTTGTGAAGTGTGCATTCAACTCACAGAGTTGAAAGTTTCCTTTGATAGAGCAGTTTGGAAACACTCTTTTTGTACTCTTTTTGTACAATATACAAGTGGATATTTGGATCGCTTTTAGCCCTGTGGTGGGAAAGGAAATATCTTCAAATAAAAGCTAGACAGAAGCATTCTCTGAAACTTCTTTGTGATGTGCGAATTCAACTCACAGAGTTGAACCTTTCTTTTGATAAAGCAGTTTTGAAACACTCTTTTTCGAAAATCTGCAAGTGGATATTTGGAGCGCTTTGAGGCCTATGGTGGAAAAAGAAATATCTTCACATAAAAACTAGATAGAAACATTCTCAGAAACTTCTTTGTGATGTGTGCATTCAACTCACAGAGTGGAACCTTTCTTTTGATAGAGCAGTTTTGAAGCACTCTTTTTGTAGAATCTGCAAGAGGATATTTGGTTCCCTTTGAGGCCTAGGGTGAAAATGGAAATATCTTCACATAATAACTAGACATAAGCATTCTGCTAAACTTCTTTGTGATGTGTGCATTCAACTCACATAGTTGAAATTTTCTTTTGATAGAACAGTTTTGAAACACTCTTTTTGTAGAATCAGCAAGTGGATATTTGGTTTCTTTTGAGGCATTTGTTGGAAAACAAAATATCTTCACATAAAAACTACCCAAAAGCATTCTCAGAAACTTCATTGTGATGTCTGCATTCAACTCGGAGAGTTGAACCTTTCTTTTGATAGAGCAGTTTTGAAACACTCTTTTTGTGGAATCTGCAATTGGATATTTGGAGCACTTTGAGGACTATGGTGGAAAAGGAAATATCTTCACATAAAAACTAGACAGAAGCATTCTTTGAAACTTCTTTGTGATGTGTGCCTTCAATTCACAGTATTGAACCTTTCTTTTGATAGACCAGTTTGGAAACACTCTTTTTGTAGAATCTGCAAGAGGATATTTAATTCCCTTTGAGGCCTATTGTGTAAAAGGAAATATCTTCACATAAAAACTGGACACAAGGATTCTCCGAAACTTCTTTGTAATGTGTGCATTCAACTCACAGAGCTGAAAATTTCTTTTGATAGAGCAGTGTTGAAAAATTCTTTTTGTAGAATCTGCAAGTGGATATTTTGTTCCCTTGAGGCTGATGTTGGAAAACGGAATATCATCAAATAAAAACTAGACCGAAGCATTCTGAGAAACCTCTTCATGATGTGTGCATTCACCTCACAATGTTGAACTTTTCTTTTGATAGAGCAGTTTTGAAACACTCTTTTGTAGCATCTGCAATGGGATATTTAGTTCCCTTTGAGGCCTATGGTGAAAAAGGAAATGTCTTCACATAAAAAGTAGACATAAGCATTCTCGGAAACAACTTTTTGATGTGTGCATTCATCCCATGGAGTGGTACCTTTCTTTTGATAGAGCAGTTTTGAAACACTCTTTTTATAGAAACTGCAAGTGAATATTTCGATCCCTTTGAGGCATGTGTGGAAAACGAAATATCTTCACGTAAAAACTAGACAGAATCATTCTCAGAAACTACTTTGTGATGTGTGCCTTCTTCTCACAGAGTTGAACCTTTCTTTTGATAAAGCAGTTTTGAAAAACTCTTTTTCTAGAATCCGTAAGTGCATATTTGGAGTGCTTTGAGGCCTATGGTGGAAAAGGAAATATCTTCACATAAAAACTAGACAGAAACATTCTCAGAAAATTCTTTGTGATGTGTGCACTCAACTCACAGATATGAACGCTTTTTTGATAGAGCAGTTTTGAAACACTGTTTTTCTAGAATCTGCAAGTGGATATTTTGTTCCCTTTGAGGCCTGTGGTGAAAAAGGGAATATCTTCACGTAAAAACTAGAAACAAGCATTCTCCGAAACTTCTTTGTGATGTGTGTATTCAACTCACAGAGTTGAACCTTTCTTTTGATAGAGCAATTTTGAAACACTCTTTTTGTAGAATCTGCAAGTGGATGATTGGTTTCCTTTGAGGCGTATGTTGGAAAACGAAATATCATCACATAAAAACTAGACAGAAAGCTTCTTGAAAACTTCTTTGTGAAATGTGCATTAAACTCAGAGTTGAACCTTTCTTTTGATAGAGCAGTTTTGAAACACTCTTTTTGCAGAATCTGCAAGTGGATATTTTGTTCCCTTTGTGGTCTATGGTGAAAAGGAAATATATTCACATAAAAACTAGACAGAAGCATTCTCAGAAACTTCTTTGTGATGTGTGCATTCAACTCACAGAGTTGAACTTTTCTTTTGAAAGAGCAGTTTTAAAAGTCTCTTTTTGTAGAATCTGCAAGTGTATATTTGCAGCGCTTGGAGGCCTAAGGTGGAAAAGGAAATATCTTCACATAAAAACTAGACAGAAGCATTCTCAGGAACTTCTTTGTGATGTGTGCCTTCAAGTCACAGAGTTGAACCTTCCTTTTGATAGAGCAGTTTTGAAACTCTCTTTTTCTACTATCTGAGGGTGGATATTTGGAGTGCTTTGAGGCCTATGGTCGAAAAAGTAGTATCTTCACATAAAAACTAGACAGAAGGATTCTCAGAAACTTCCTTGGGATGTATGCATTCAACTCAAAGAGATGAACCTTTCTTTTGATAGAGCAGTTTTGAAACTCTCTTTTTGTACAATGTGCAAGTGGATATTTGGAGCATTTTGAGGCCTGTGGTGGAAAAGAGATTTAAGGCCTGTGGTGGAAAAGAGGCCTGTGGTGAAGAGATTTCCTTTTAAACCATATGCCTGAATATCCACTTGCAGATTCCATAAAAATAGTATTTCAAACTGCTCTATCAAAAGAATGATTCAACTCTGTCAGTTTAATGCACACATCACAAAGAAGTTTCCGAGAATGCTTCTCTCTACTTTTTATGTGAAGATATGTCCTTTTACTCCATAGGTCTCAAAGCACTCCAAATATCCACTTGCAGCATCTGCAAAAAGAGTGTTTCAAAACTGCTCTACTAAAAGAAATGTTCAACTCTGTGAGTTGAATGGACATGTCACAAAGTAGTTTCTGAGAATGCTTCTGTCTCGTCCATATGTGAAGACATTTTATTTTCCAACATAGGCCTGTAAGCCCTCCAAATATCCACTTGCAGTTTCTACAAAAAGAGAGTTTCAATATTGCTCTATCAAAAGAAAGTTTCAACCCTGTGAGTTGAATGCAGACATCACAAAGAAGTTTCTGAGAATGCTTTTGTCTACTTTTTGTGTGAAGATATTTCCTTTTCCTACATAGGGCACAAAGCACTCCAAATATCCAATTGCAGATTCTAAAAAAAAGAGTGTTTCAAAACTGCTCTATCAAAAGAAAGGTTCAACCCTATGAGTCAAATGTACACACCACAATGAAGTTTCTGAGAATGCCTCTGTGTAGTTTTTATGTGAAGATATTTCCTTTTCCACCATAGGCCTCAAAGAGAACAAAATATCCACTTGCACATTCTACAAAAACAGGATTTAAAAACAGGATTTAAAAAAGAAAGGTTTAACTCTGTGAGTTGAATGCACACATCACAAAGGAGATTCAGAAAATGCTTCTGTCTAGTTTTTATGTGAAGATATATCCTTTTCCCTCATAGGCCTCAAAGCGCTCCCCATATGAACTTGCATATTCCACAAAAAGAGTGCTTCAAAACTGCTCTATCAAAAGAAAAGTTCAACACTGTGAGTTGAATGCACACATCAGAAAGAAGTTTCTGAGAATGCTTATGTCTAGTTTTTATGTGAAGTTATTTCATTTTCCAACATAGGCCTCAAAGTGAACCAAATATCCACTTGCAGATTCTACTAAAAGAGTGTTTCAAAATTGCTTTTTCAAAAGAAAGTTTCAACTCTGTGTGTTGAATGCACACAGCACAAAGCAGTTTCTGAGAATGCTTCTGTGTACTTTTTATGTGAATATATTTCCTTTTCCACCATAGGCCTCAAAGTGCTGCGAATATCCAATTGCAGATTCTACAAAAAGAGAGTTTCAAAACTGCTCTATCAAAAGAACAGTTCAACTCTGTGAGTTGAATGCCCACATCCTAAAGACGTTTCTGAGAATGCTTCTGTGTAGTTTTTATGTGAACATGTTTCCTTTTCCACCATAGGCCTCAAAGCGCTTGAAATATCCACTTGCAGATTGTACAAAAAGAGTGTTTCAAAACTGCTCTATCTAAAGAAAGGTTGAACTCTGTGTGTTGAATGCACACATCACAAAGAAGTTTCGGAGAATGTTTCTGTCTAGCTTTTATATGAATTTATTTCCTTTTGCACCATAGGCCTCAAAGCGCTCAAAATATCCACTTGCATTTTCTTCAAAGGAGAGTTTCAAAACTGCTCCATCAAAAGAATGGTTCAACTCTGTGATTTGAATGCACACATCAAAAAGAAGTTTCTTAGAATGCTTCTGTCTACTCTTTATGTGAAGATATTTCCTTTTCCACTATAAGCCTCAAAGCACTCCAAACATCCACCTGCAGATTCTACAAAAATGGTATTTCAAAACTACTCTATCAAAAGAAAGTTTCAACTCTGTGAGTGGAATGTACACATCCAAAGAAGTTTCTAAGAATACTTCTGTCTAGTTTTAATGTGAAGATATTTCGTATTCCAACATAGGCCCCAAAGGGAACCAAATATCCACTTGCAGATTCTACAAAAATTATTTTTCAAAACTACTCTATCAAAAGAAAGGTTCAACTCTGTGAGTTGAATGTACACATCTGAAAGAACTTTCAGAGAATGCTTCCATCTAGTTTTTATGTGGAGATATTTCCTTTTCCACCGTAGGCTTAACAGCATTCAAAATGTCCACTTGCAGATTCTATAAAAAGAGTGTTTGAAAACCGCTCTATCAAAAGAAAGTTTCAGCTCTGTAATTTCAATGCACACATCACAAAAAAGATTCTGAGAATGCTTCTGTCTAGTTTTTATGTGAAGATATTTCGTATTCCAACATAAGCCTCAAAGGGAACCAAGTATCCACTTGCAGATACTACAAAAAGAGTGATTCAAAACTACTCTATGAAAAGAAAGGTTCAACTCTGTGAGTTGAATGCACACATCAGAGAGAAGTTTTGGAGAATGCTTCCGTGTAGTTTTTATTTAAAGACATTTTGTTTTCCAACATAGGCCTCAAACGCAACCAAATATCTCCTTGCAGTTTCTACAAAAGGAGTGATTCAGAACTGCTCTATCAAAAGACATATTCAACTCTGTGAGTTGAATGCACACATCACAAATTAGTTTTGGAGAATGCTACTGTCTAGTTTTTATGTGAAGGTATTTCCTTTTCCACCATAGGACACAAAGCGCTCCATATCCAATTGCAGATTTTTACAAAACGAGTGTTTCCAAACTGCTCTATCAAAAGAAAGTTTCATCAGTTTGAGTTGAATGCACACATCACAAAGAAGTTTCTGAGAATGCTTCTGTCTAATTTTTATGTGAAGATATTTCCTTTTCCAATATAGGCCCCAAAGCGCTCCAAATATCCACTTGCAGATCCTCCAAAAAGAGAGTTTCAAAACTTCTCTATCAAAAGAATAGTTCAACTCTGTGAGTTGAATGCACACATCACAAAGAAGTTTCTGAGAATGCTTCTGTCTAGTTTTAATGTGAAGTTATTTCCTTTTCTACCGTAGGCCTCAAAGGGAACGAAATATCCACTTGCAGATTCCACAGAAAGAGGGTTTCAAAACTGCTCTATCAAAAGAAAAGTTCAACTCTGTGAGTTGAATGCACACGTCACAAAGAAGTTTCAGAGAATGCTTCTGTCTAGTTTTCATGTGAAGATATTTCCTTTTCCACCATAGGTCTCAAAGCTCTCCATGTATCCACCTGCAGATTCTACAAAAAGAGTGTTCCAAAATGGCTCTATCAAAAGAAATTCTCTGCATCTATTGAGATAATCATGTGGTTTTTGTCTTTGGTTCTGTTTATACGCTGCATTACATTTATTGACTTGCATATATTGAACCAGCCTTGCATCCCAGGGACAAAGCCCACTTCATCGTGGTGGATAAACTTTTTGATATGCTGCTGGATTCGGTTTGCCAGTATTTTATTGAGAACTTTTGCATCAATTTTCATCAAGGATATTGCTCTAGAATTCTCTTTTTTGGTTGTGCCTCTGCCTGACTTTGGTATAAGGATGGTGCTGGCCTCATAGAATGACTTAGGGAGGATTCCCTCTTTTTCTATTGATTGGAATAGTTTCAGATGGAATGGTACCAGTTCCCCCTTGTACCCCTGGTAGAATTAGGCTGTGAATCTGTCTGGTCCTGGACTCTCTTTCGTTTGTAAGCTATTGATTATTGCCACAATTTCAGCTCCTGTTATTGGTCTATTCAGAGATTCAACTTCTTCCTGGTTTAGTCTTGGAAGAGTGTATGTGTCGAGGAATTTATCCATTTCTTCCAGATTTTCCAGTTTATTTCAAAAGAGGTGTTTGTAGTATTCCATGATGGTAGTTTGTATTTCTGTGGGATTGGTGATGATATCCCCTTTATCATTTTTTATTGCATCTATTTGATTCTTCTCTCTTTTTTTCTTTATTAATCTTGCTAGCGGTCTATCAATTTTGTTGATCCTTTCAAAAAAACCAGCTCCTGGATTCATTAATTTTTAAGGGTTTTTTTGTGTCTCTATTTTCTTCAGTTCTGCTCTGATTTTAGTTATTTCTTGCCTTCTGCTAGCTTTTGAATGCTCTTGCTTTTCTAGTTCTTTTAATTGTGATGTTAGGGTGTCAATTTTGGATCTTTCCTGATTTCTCTTGTGGGCATTTAGTGCTATCAATTTCCCTCTACACACTGCTTTGAATGCGTCCCAGAGATTCTGGTATGTTGTGTCTTTGTTCTCGTTGGTTTCAAAGAACATCTTTATCTCTGCCTTCATTTCGTTATGTACCCAGTAGTCATTCAGGAGCATGTTGTTCAGTTTCCATGTAGTTGAGTGGTTTTGAGTGAGATTCTTAATCCTGAGTTCTAGTTTGATTGCACTGTGGTCTGAGAGATAGTTTGTTATAATTTCTGTTCTTTTACATTTGCTGAGGAGAGCTTTACTTCCAACTATGTGGTCAATTTTGGAATAGGTGTGGTGTGGTGCTGAAAAAAATGTATATTCTGTTGATTTGGGGTGGAGAGTTCTGTAGATGTCTATTAGGTCCACTTGGTGCAGAGCTGAGTTCAATTCCTGGGTATCCTTGTTGACATTCTGTCTCGTTGATCTGTCTAATGTTGACAGTGGGGTGTTAAAGTCTCCCATTATTAATGTGTGGGAGTCTAAATCTCTTTGTAGGTCATTCGGGACTTGCTTTATGAATCTGGGTGCTCCTGCATTGGGTGCATATATATTTAGGATAGTTAGTTCTTCTTGTTGAATTGTCTTTGTCTCTTTTGATCTTTGTTGGTTTAAAGTCTGTTTTATCAGAGACTAGGATTGCAACCCCTGCCTTTTTTTGGTTTCCATTTGCTTGGTAGATCTTCCTCCATCCTTTTATTTTGAGCCTATGTGTGTCTCTGCACGTGAGATGGGCTTGCTGAATACAGCACACTGATGGGTCTTGACTCTTTATCCAATTTGCCAGTCTGTGTCTTTTAATTGGAGCATTGAGTCCATTTACATTTAAAGTTAATATTGTTATGTGTGAATTTGATCCTGTCATTCAGATGCTAGCTGGTTATTTTGCTCGTTAGTTGATGGAGTTTCTTCCTAGTCTCGATGGTCTTTACATTTTGGCATGATTTTGCAGGGGCTGGTACCGGTTGTTCCTTTCCATGTTTAGTGCTTCCTTTAGGAGCTCTTTTAGGGCAGGCCTGGTGGTGACAAAATCTCTCAGCATTTGCTTGTCTGTAAAGTATTTTATTCTCCTTCACTTACGAAGATTAGTTTGGCTGGATATGAAATTCTGGGTTGAAAATTCTTTTCTTTAAGAATGTTGAATATTGGCCCCCACTCTCTTCTGGCTTGTAGAGTTTCTGCTGATAGATCCACTGTTAGTCTGATGGGCTTCCCTTTGAGGGTAACCGGACTTTTCTCTCTGGCTGCCCTTAATATTTTTTTCCTTCATTTCAACTTTGGTGATAAAATTCAACAACGCTTCATGCTAAAAACTCTAAATTAGGTATTGATGGGATGTATCTCAAAATAGTAAGAGCTATCTGTGACAAACCCACAGCCAATATCATACTGAATGGGCAAAAATTGGAAGCATTCCATTTGAAAACTGGCACAAGACAGGGATGCCCTCTCTCACCACTCCTATTCAACATAGTGTTGGAAGTTCTGGCCAGGGCAATTAGGCAGGAGAAGGAAATAAAGGGTATTCAATTAGGAAAAGAGGAAGTCAAATTGTCCCTCTTTGCAGATGACATGATTGTATATCTAGAAAACCCCATTGTCTCAGCCCAAAATCTCCTTAAGCTGATAAGCAACTTCAGCAAAATCTCAGTATACAAAATTTATGTACAAAAATTACAAGCATTCTTATCCACCAACAACAGACAAACAGCCAAATCATGAGTGAACTCCCATTCACAATTGCTCCAAAGAGAATAAAACACCTAGGAATCCAACTTACAAGTGATATGAAGGACCTCTTCAAGGAGAACTACAAACCACTGCTCAAGGAAATAAAAGAGGATACAAACAAATGGAAGAACATTCCATGCTCATGGGTAGGAATAATCAATATCATGAAAATGGCCATACTGCCCAAGGTAATTTACAGATTCAATGCCATCCCCATTAAGCTACCAATGACTTTCTTCACAGAATTGGAAAAAACTACTTTAAAGTTCATATGGAACCAAAAAAGAGCCTGCATCACCAAGTCAATCCTAAGCCAAAAGAACAAAGCTGGAGGCATCACACTACCTGACTTCAAACTTTACTACAAGGCTACAGTAACCAAAACAGCATGGTACTGGTACCAAAACAGATATATAGATCAGTGAAACAGAACAGAACCCTCAGAAATAATGCCACATATCTACAACCATCTGATATTTGACAAACCTGAGAAAAACAAACAATGGGGAAAGGATTCCCTATTTAATAAATGGTGCTGGGAAAACTGGCTGGCCATATGTAGAAAGCTGAAACTGGATCCCTTCCTTACACCTTATACAAAAATCAATTCAAGATGAATTAAAGACTTAAACGTTAGACTTAATACCATCAACACCCTAGAAGAAAAGCTAGGCATTACCACTCAGGACATACGCATGGGCAAAGACTTCGCCTAAAACACCAAAAACAATGGCAACAAAAGCCAAAATTGACAAATGGGATCTATCTAAACTAAAGAGCTTCTGTACAGCAAAAGAAACTACCATCAGAGTGAATGGGCAACCTACAAAATGGGAGAAAATTTTCATAACCTACTCACCTGACAAAGGGCTAATATCCAGAATCTACAATGAACTCAAACAAATTTACCAGAAAAAAAATCCCATCAAAAAGTGGGCGAGGAACATGAACAGGCAATTCTCAAAAGAAGACATTTATGCAGCCAAAAAACACATGAAAAAATGCTCATCATCACTGGCCATCAGAGAAATGCTAATCAAAAAAACAGTGAGATACCATCTCACACCAGCTAGAATGGCAATCAATAAAAAGTCAGGAAACCACAGGTGCTGGAGAGGATGTGGAGAAATAGGAACACTTTTACACTGTTGGTGGGACTGTAAACTAGTTCAACCATTGTGGAAGTCAGTGTGGCGATTCCTCAGGGATCTAGAACAAGAAATACCATTTGACCCAGCCATCCCATTAATGGGTATATACCCAAAGGACTATAAATCATGCTGCTATAAAGACACATGCACACATATGTTTATTGTGGCAGTATTCACAATAGCAAAGACTTGGAGCCAACCCAAATATCCAACAACGATAGACTGGATTAAGAAAATGTAGCACATATACACCATGGAATACTATGCAGCCATCGAAAATGATGAGTGCATGTCCTTTGTAGGGACCTGGATGAAATTGGAAATCATCATTCTCAGTAAACTATCGCAAGAACAAAAAACCCAACACCACATATTCTCACTCAAAGGTGGGAATCGAACAATGAGATCACATGGACACAGGAAGGGGAACATCACACTCTGGGGACTGTTGCGGGTTGCGGGGAGGGGGAAGGGATAGCATTGGGAGATATACCTAATGCTAGATGATGAGTTAGTGGTTGCAGCCCACCAGGATGGCACATGTATACATATGTAACTAACCTGCACTTTGTGCACATGTACCCTAAAACTTAAAGTAAAATGATAATTAAAAAAAAGAAACATTCGACTCTGTGAGGTGAATGCACACATCAAAACGAAATTTCTGAGAATGCTTCTGTCTAGTTTTTATATGAAGATATTTTGTATTCCAACATAGGCCTCAAAGGGAGCCAAACATCCACTTGCAGATTCTACAAAGAGAGTGTTTCAAAACTACTCTATCAAAAGAAAAGTTCAACTCTCTGAGTTG
The DNA here is from genome assembly GCF_000001405.40 of Homo sapiens. Lineage (NCBI taxonomy): Eukaryota > Metazoa > Chordata > Mammalia > Primates > Hominidae > Homo > Homo sapiens. The sequence goes on from NC_000007.14 coordinate 62,554,239, forward strand.
AATGCACACAACACAAAGCAGTTTCAGAGAATGGTTCTGTCTATTTTTTATGTGAAGATATTTTCTTTTGCACCATAGGCCTCAAACTGCTCCAGATATTGGCTAGCAGATTCCACAAAAAGAGCGTTTCAAACTGGTCTATCAAAAGAAACGTTCAACTCTCTGAGTTGAATGAACACATCACAAAGAAGTTTCTTACAATGCTTTGTCTAGTTTCTATGTGAATATATTTCCTTTTCCAACATAGATTTCAAAGCGCTCAAAATATACACTTGCAGATTCCACAAAAAGAGAGAAACAAAACTGCTCTATCAAAGAAAAGGTTCAACTCTGTCAGTTGAATGCACACTTCATAAAGAAGTTTCTGAGAATGCCTCTGTCTAGTTTTTATAAGAAGATATTCCCTTTTCCACCACAGAACATAAAAGGGCTCCAAATATCCATTTGCAGATGCTACAAAAAGAGAGTTTCAAATATGTTCTATGAAAAGAAAGGTTCAACTCTGTGATTTGAATGCACACATCACAAAGAAGTTTCTGAGAATGCTTCTGTCTACTTTGTATGGGAAGATATTTCCTTTTCCAACATAGGCCTCAAAGGGAACCAAATATCCACTTGCAGATTCTACAAAAAGACTGTTTCAAAACTGCTCTATCCAAAGAAAGGTTCAACTCTGTGAGTTGAAAGCACACATCACAAAGAAGTTTCTGAGAATGCTTCTGCCTAGGTTTCATGTGAAGATATTTCGTTTTCCAACATAGGCCTCAAAGGGAAACAAAAATCAACTTGCAGATTCTACAAAAAGGGTGTTTCCAAATTGCTCCATAAGAAGAAAGTTCAACTCTGTATGTTGAATGTACACAGCGCAGAGAAGTTTCAGAGAATGATTCTGTCTAGTTTTTCTGTGAAGATACTTCCTTTTCCACCATAGGCCTCAAAGAGCTCCAAATATCAACTTGCAGATTCTACAAAAAGAGTGTTCCAAAACTGCTCTATCAAAAGAAAAGTTCAACACTATGAGTTGAAAGCACACATCACAGTGAAGTTTCTGGGAATACTTCTTTCTGGTTTTTATGTGAAGATATTTCCTTTTCCCCCATAGTGCTCAAAGCACTCCATATATCCACTTAGAGATTCTACAAAAAGAGAGTTTCAAAACTGCTCAAACAAAAGAAATGTTCAACTCTGTGAATTAAATACACAACAACACAAAGAAGTTTCGGAGAATGCTTCTGTCTAGTTTTTATGTGAAGATATTTCCTTTTCCCCTATAGGCCTCACAGCGCTCCAAATATGCGTTGGCATTTTCTTCAAAGGAGAGTTTCAAAACTGCTTCATCAAAAGAATGGTTCAACTCTGTGACTTGAATGCACACATCAAAAAGAAGTTTCGGAGATTGCTTCTCTCTAGTTTTTATGTGAAGATATTCCCTTTTCCACCGTAGGCGTCAAATCGCTCCAAATATCCTTTTGTAGATTCCACAAAAAAAGTGTTTCAAACTGGTCTATCAAAAGAAACATTCAACCCTGGGAGTTGAATTAACACATCACAACGAAGATTCTTAGAATGCTTTTGTCTAGTTTCTATGTGAAGATATTTCCTTTTCCACCATAAGCCTCACAGCACTCCAAACATCCATTTGCAGATTCTACAAAAAGAGAGTTTCAAAACTGCTCTATCAAAGGAAAGGTACAATTCTGTGAGTTGAATGCACACATCACAAAGAAGTTTCGGGGAATGCTTCTGTCTAGTTTTTATGTGAAGATATTTCCTTTTCCACAGTAGGCCTGTAAGCACTCCAAATATCCACTTGCAGATTCTACAAAAAGAGAGTTTCAAAACTGTTCTATCAAAAGAAAGTTTCAATTCTCTGATTTGAATGCACACATCTCAAAGAAGTTTCTGAGAATGCTTCTGTCTAGTTATTATGTGAAGATATTTCCTTTTCCACCATAGGCCTCAAAGGGAAACAAATATCCACTTGCAGATTCTACAGAAAGAGTGTTTCAAAACTGCTCTATCAAAAGAAAGGTTCAACTAGGTGAGTTGAATGAACACATCAAAAAGAAGTTTCGGGGAATGCTTCTGTCTAGTTTTTAAGTGAAGATATTTCCTTTTGCACCACAGGCCTCAAAGCACTCCAAATATGCACTTGCAGATTCTACAAAAAGAGTGTTTCAAAACTGCTTTATCAAAAGAAATGTTCAACTCGTGAGTTGAATGCACACATCACAAAGAAGTTTCAGAGAATGCTTCTTTCTAGTTTTTATGTGAAGATATTTCCTCTTCCACCATAGGCCTCAAAGCGCTCCAAATATCCACTTGCATTTTCTACAAAGGAGAGTCAAAAGCTCTCAATCAAAAGAATCGTTCAACTCTGTGAGTTCAATGCACACCTTAAAAATAAGTTTCTGAGAATGCTTCTTTCTAGTTTCTATGTGAAGATATTTTCTTTTCCACCATAGGCCTCAAAGTGCTCCAAATATCCACTTGCAGATTCCACAAAAAGAGTGTTTTAAAACTGCTGTGTCAAAAGAAGTGTTCAACTCTGTGAGTTGAATGCCCCCATCACAAAGAAGTTTCTGAGAATACTTCTGTAAATTTTTTTTGTGAAGATATTTCCTTTTCCACCGTAGGCGTCAAAGCGCTCCAAATATCCACTTGCAGATTCTACAAAAAGACTATTTCAAAACTACTCTATCAAAAGAAAGGTTCAACTCTGTGAGTTGAATGCAGACATCACAAAAAAGTTTCTGAGAATGCTGTTGTCTAGTTTTTATGTGAAGATATTTCCTTTTCCACCATAGGACTCATAGCGCTCCATATATCCACTTGAAGATTCTGCAAAAATAGTGTTTCAAAACTGCTCTATCAATCAAAAGGAAGGTTCAACATTGTGAGTTGAGTGCACATATCACTAAGAAGTTCCCGAGAATACTTCTGTCTAGTTTTTATATGTAGATATTTCCTTTTCCACCATAGGCCTCCAAGTGATCCAAATATCCACTTGCATTTTCTACAGAAAGAGAGTTTCAAAACTGCTCTATAAAAGAATGGTTCAACTCTGTGAGTTGAATGCACACATCACAAAGATGCTTGTGAGAATGCTTCTGTCTAGTTTTTATGTGAAGTTATTTCCTTTTCCACTGTGTTCCTCAAACCACTCGAAATATCCACCTGCAGATTCTACAAAAAGAGAGTTTCAAAACTGCTCTGTCAGAGAATTGTTCAACTCTGTGAGTTGAATGCACACATCACAAAGCAGTTTCTCAGAATTTTTCTGTCTAGTTTTTATGTGAAGATATTTCCTTTTCCACCATAGGCCTCAAAGCACTCCAAATATCCAATTGCTGATTCTACAAAATGAGAGTTTCAAAACTGCTCTATCAAAAGGAAAGTTAAACTCTGTGAGTTGAAGGCACACGTGGCAAAGAAGTTTCTGAGAATGCTTCTGTCTAGTTTTTATGTGAAGGTATTTCCTTTTCCACCATAGGCCTCAAAGGGCTCCTAATATCCACTTGTAGATTTATAAAAAGAGTGTTTCAAAACTGCTCCATCAAAAGAAAGGTTCAACTCTGTGAGATGAATGCACACGTCTCTAAGTAGTTTCCGAGAATGCTTCTGTCTAGTTTTTATGTGAAGATATTTCCTTTTCCACCGTAGCCCTCAAAGCACTCCAAATATAAACTTGGAGATTCTACAAAAAGAGAGATTCAAAAATGCCCTATCAAAAGAATGTTTCAACTTTGTGAGTTGAATGCACACTTTACAAACATGTCTCTGAGAGTGCTTCTGTCTAGATTTCATGTCAAGATATTTCCTTTTCCACCATAGGCCCCAAGGCGCTCCAAATATCCACTTGCAGATTCTTGAAAAAGAGTGTTTCAAAACTGATATATCAAAAGATTGGTTCAACTCTGTGACTTGAATGCACACATCACAAAGAAGTTTCTGAGAATGCTTTTGTCTAGTTTTTATGTGAAGATATTTCCATTTCCACCATAGGCCTCAAAGCACTCCAAATATCCCCTTGCAGATTCTGCAAAAAGAGTGTTTTAAAACTGCTCTATAAAAAGGAATGTTCAACTCAGTGAGTTGAATGCACCCATTACAAAGAAATTTCTAAGAATGCTTCTGTCTAGTTTTTATGTGAAGATATTTCCTTTTCCACCATAGGCCTGAAGGCTCTCCAAATATTGTACTGCAAATTCTACAAAAAGAATGTTTCAAAACTGCTCTATCATCAAAAGAAAAGTTCAACTCTGTGAGTTGAGTGCACACATCCAAAGAAGTTTCTGAGAATGCTTCTGTCTAGTTCTTAGGTGAAGATATTTCCTTGTCCACCATTAGCCTCAAAGCTCTCCAAAAACGCACTTGCAGATTCTACAAAAAGAGTGTTAGAAAACTGCTCTATCAAAAGAAAGATTTAACTCCGTGAGTTGAATGCACACATCACAAAGAAGTTTCTGAGAATGCTTCTGTCTAGATTTTATGTGAAGTTATTTCCTTTTCCAACATAGCTGTCAAGGCGCTCCAAATATCCACTTGCAGATCCTACAAAAAGAATGTTTCAAAACTGCTCTATCAAAAGAAATGTTCAACACTGTGAATTGAATGCACGCATCACATAGAAGTTTCTGAGAATGCCTCTGTCTAGTTTTTATGTGAAGATATTTCCTTTTACACCATAGGCCTCAAAGTGCTCCAAATATCCTCTTGCAGATTCTACAAAAAGAGAGTTTCCAAACTACTCTATCAAAAGAATGGTTCAACTCTGTGAGTTGAATGCGCACATCACAAAGACGTTTCTGAGAATTCTTCTACCTAATTATTACGTAAAGATATTTCCTTTTCCACCTTTGGCCTCAAAGCGCACCACGTATCCACTTACAGATTCCACAATAAGTGTGTTTCAGAACTGCTCTATCAAAAGATCGGTTCAACTCTGTGAGTTGAATGCACACATCACAAAGAAGTTTCTGAGAATTCTTGTGTCTAGTTTTTATGTGAAGATATTTCCTTTTCCACCATAGGCCTCAAAGTGCTCCAAATATCCACTTGCATGTTCTACAAAATGAGTGTTTCAATACTGCTCTCTCAAAACAAATGTCGAACTCTGTGAGTTGAATGCACACATCACAAAGAAGTTTTTGAGAATGCTTCTGTCTAATTTTTATGTGAAGATATTTCCTTTTCCACTATATTCCTCAAAGCGCTCGAAATATCAACTTGCACATTCTACAAAAAGAGAGTTTCAAAACTGCTCCATCAAAAGAATGGTTCAACTCTGTGAGTTGAATGCACACATCACAAAGAAGTTTGTGAGAATGTTTCTGTCTAGCTTTTATGTGAATATATTTCCTTTTCCACCATAGGCCACACACAGCTGCAAATATCCACTTGCAGTTTCTACAAATAGAGTTTCAAAGCTGCTCTATCCAAAGAATTCTTCAACTCTGTGAGTGGAATACAAATATCACAAAGAAGTTTCGGAGAATGCTTCTCTCCAGTTTTTATATGAAGATATTTCCTTTTTCACAACCGGCTTCAAAGTGCTTCAAATATCCACTTGCAGATTCTACAAAAAGAGTTTCAAAACTGCTCTATGGAGAGAAAATTTCAACTCTGTGAGTTGCAAGCACACATCATAAAGAAGTTTCTGAGAATGTTTCTGTCTAGTTTTTATATGAAGATGTTTCCTTTTAAACCATTGACCTCAAATCGCTCCAACTACAAACTTGCAGGTCCAACAAAAAGAGTGTTTCAAAACTGCTCTACCAAAAGAAAGGTTCAGCTCTGTGAGTGGAAAGAACAAATTACAAAGTAGTTTCTGAAAACGTTTCTGTCTAGTTTTTATGTGAAGATATTTCCCTTTCCACCATAGGCCTCCAAGAGCTCCAACTATCCACTTTCAGATTGCACATAAAGTGGGTTTCAAAACTGCTCTATCAAAAGAAAGTTTCACTCTGGGAGCTGAAAGGACACATTACAAAGAATTCTCTGAGAATACTTCTATCTAGTTTTTCTGTGAAGATATTTCCTTTTCCAACATAGGCCTCAAAGTGCTCCAAATATCCCCTTATAGATTGTACAAAAGAAGTGTTTCAAAACTGATCTATCAAAAGAAAGGTTCAAACCTGTGAGTTCAGTGCACACATCATAAGAAGTTTCTGAGCATGCTTCTGTACAATTTTTCTGTGAAGATATTTCCTTTTCCACCATAGGCCTCAAAGGGCCCAAATATCCACTTGCAGATTCTACACAAAGAGAGTTTCAATACTGCTCTATCAAAAGAAATTTCAACTCTGTGAGTTGAATGCACACATCACAAAGAAGTTTCTGAGAATGCTTCTCTCTAACTTTTATGGGAAGACATTTACTCTTCTACCATTGGCCTAAAAGGGATCCAAATATACACTCACAGATTCTACAGAAAGATTGTTTCAAAACAACTCTATCAAAAGAAAATTCAATTCTGTCAGTTGAATGCACGCATCACAGAGAAGTTTCTGAGAATGCTACTGTCTAGTTTGTATGTCAACATATTTCCTTTGCCACTATAGGCCTTAAAGCTCCCAAAATATCAAATTGCATTTTCCACAATAAGATAGTTCAAAACTGCTCTATCAAAAGGACGGTTCAACTCTGTGAGTTGAGGGCACCCACCACAAAGAAGTTTCAGAGAATGCTTCTCCCTAATTTTTATATGAAGTTATTTCCTTTTCCAACATAGGTGTCAAGGCGTTCCAAATATCCACTTGCAGGTCCTACAAAAAGAATGTTTCAAAACTGATCTTTCAAAAGAAAGGTTCAACTCTGTGAGTTGAATGCACACTTCACAAAGAAGTTTCTGAGAATGCTTCTGTCTAGTTTTTATGTGAAGACATTTCCTTTTCAACCATAGGTCTCAAAGCGCAAAAATATCCACTTTCAGTTTCTACAAAAAGAGTGTTTCAAAACTCCTCTACCAAAAGAAAGGTTCAACTCTATGAGGTGAATGCACACATCACAAAGAAGTTTCTTGGAATGCTTCTGTCTATTTTTTATGTGAAGACATTTCCTTTTCCACTACAGGCATCAAAGAGCTACAAATATCCACTTTCAGATTCTACAGAAAGAGTGTTTCAAAACTGCTCATTCAAAAGAAAGTTTCAACTCAGTGAACTGAATGCACGCATCACAAAAAAGTTTCTGAGAATGCTTCTGTCCAGTTTTTATGGGAAGATATTTCCTTTTCCACCACAGGCGTCAAAGTGCTCCAACTATCCACTTCCAGATACTACAAAAAGAGTATTTCAAAACTGCTCTGGCAAAAGAAAGTTTCAACTCAGTGAGATGAATGCACACATCACAAGGAAGTTTCTGAGAAGGCTTCTGTCTAGTTTTTATGTGAAGATATTTCCCTTTGCACCATAGGCCTCTAAGTGCTCCAAATATCCATTTGCAGATTCTACAAAAAGAGAGTTAGAAAGCTGCTCTATCAGAAGAAAGGTTCAACTCTGTGAGTTGAATGCACACATCACAAAGCAGTTTATGAGAATACTTCTGTCTACTTTTCATGTAGAGCTGCTTCCTTTTCCAATGTAGGCCTCAAAGTGCTCCAACTATCCACTTGCAGATTGTACAAAAAGAGAGTTTCAAAACTACTCTATCAAAAGAAAGGTTCAACTCAGTGATTTGAATGCACACATCACAAAGTAGTTTCTGAGAATACTTCTGTCTAGTTTTTATGTGAAGATATTTCCTTTTCCATGACAGGCTGCAAAATGCTTCAAATATCCACTTACAGATTCTCCAAAAAGAGTGTTTCAAAACTGCTCAATCAAAAGAAAGGCTCGACTTGGCCAGTTGAATGCACACATCACAAAGAAGTGTCTTAGAATGCTTCTGCTAGTTTTTATGTGACGATATTTCCTTTTCCACCATAGGCCCCAATGGTCTCCAAATATCCACTTGCAGATTCTGCAAAAAGAGTGTTTCAAAACTGCTCTATCAAAAGAAAGGTTCAACACTGTGAGTTGAATGCACACATCACAAAGAAGTTTCTGAAAATGCTTCTGTCTAGTTTTTATGTGAAGATATTTACTTTTCCACCATAGGCCTCAAAACACTGCAACTATCCACTTGCAGATTCTACAAAAAGAGTGTTTCAAAACTGTTCTGTCAAAGGAAACGTTCAACTCTTTGAGTTGAGTGCACACATCATAAAAAAGTTTCTGAGAATGCTTCTCTCCAATTTTTATGTGAAGCTATTTCCATTTCCACCATAGGCCTCAAAGAGCTCCAAATATCCACTTGCAGATTCTACAAAAAGAGTTTTTCAAAACTGCTCTATGAAAAGAAAGATTCAACTCTGTGAGTTGAATGCACACATCAGAAAGAAGTTTCTGAGACTGCTTCAAATCTGTGTGTTGAATGCACACGTCTCAAAGAAGTATCTGAGAATGCTTCTGTCTAGTTTTTCTGTGAAGATATTTCCTTTTCCAACATAGGCCTCAAAGCGCCCCAAATATCCACTTGCAGACTCTGCCACGAGAGAGTTTCAAAACTGCTTCATCAAAACAAAGGTTCAACTCAGTGAGCTGAATGCACACATCACAAAGAAGTTTCTGAGAATGCTTCTGTCTAATTTTTATGTGAAGATATTATCTTTTCACCATAGGCCTCCAAGCGCTCCAAATATCCACTTCGAGATCTTACAAAAAGAATGTTTCAAAACTTATCTATGAAAAGAAAGGTTCAACTCTGTGAGTTGAATGCACACATCAGAGAGAACTTTCTGAGAATGCTTCTGTCTACTTTTTTGTACACATATTTCGTTTTCCAACATAGGCCTCAAAGGGCTGAAAATATCAACTTGCAAGTTCTATAAAAAAAACTGTTTCAAAACTGCTCTATGAAAAGAAATGTTCAACAATGTGAGTTGAATGCACACCTCACAAAGAAGTTTGTGAGAATGCTTCTGTCTAGTTTTTATGTGAAGATATTTCCTTTTCCACCATAGGCCTCACAGCGCTTCAAATATTCACTTGCAGATTCCACTAAAAGTGTGTTTCAAAACTGCTCGATCAAAAGAAAAGTTCAACTCTGTGTGTTGAGTGCACACATCACAAAGAAGTTTCTGAGAATGCTTCTGTCTAGTTTTTATGTGAAGATATTTCCTTTTCCACCATAGGCTTCAAAGTGCTCCAAATATCCACTTACAGATTCTACAAAAAGTGTGTTTCAAAACTGCTCTATCAAAAGAAAGATTTAACAATGTGAGTTGAATGCACACATCACCAAGGAATTTCTGAGAATGCTTCAGTCTAGTTTTTATGTGAAGAAATGTCCCTTTCCACCACATGCCTCAAAGCACTCCAAATATCCACTTGCTGATTCCACAAAAAGATTTTTTCAAAACTGCTAAATCAAAAGAAAGGCTCAACTCTGTCAATTGAATGCACACATCACAAAGTAGTTTCTGAGAATGCCTCTTTCTAGTATTTAAGGCAAGATATTTCCTTTTCCACCATAGGCCTCAAAACCTTCCAAATATCCACTTGCAGTTTCTACAAAAAGAGTGTTTTAAAACTGCTCTATCAAAAGAAACGTTGAGCTCTGTGAGTTGAAAGCACACATCCCATAGATGTTTCTGAGAATGCTTCTGTCTAGTCTTTACGTGAAGATATTTCCTTTTTCACCATAGGCCCCAAAGCGCTCTAAATATCCACTTGCACATTGTACAAGAAGAGTGTTTAAAAGCTGCTCTACCAAAATAAAAGTTCAACTCTGTGAGTTGAATGCACACATCACAAAGTAGTTTCTGAGAATGCTTCTGACTAGTTTTTACATGAAGATATTTCCTTTTCCACGAATGGCTTCAAAATGCTCCAAATATCCACTTGCAGATACTACAAAAGGAGTCTTTCAAAACTGCTCAATCAAAGGAAAGGTTCATCTCTATGAGTTGAATGCACACATCAGCAAGAAGCTTCTGAGAATGCTTCTGTCTAGTTTTTATGTGAAGATATTTCCTTTTCCTCCATAGGCCACAAAGCATTCCAAATATCCACTGGCAGATTCTACAAACGGACTTTTAGAAATGTTCTCAATCAATGGAAAGGTTCAAGTCTGTGAGCTGAATGCACACATCACAAAGTAGTTTCTGAGAATTCTTCTGTCTAGTTTTTATTGTGAAGATATTTCCTTTTCCACCATAGACTTCAAAACGCTCCAAATATCTACTTGCAGATTTTACAAAAAGAGTGTTTCAAAACTGCTCTATCAAATGAAAGGTTCAACTCTCCGAATTGAATGCACACATCACAAAGAAGCTCCTGAGAATGCTTCTGTCTTGTTTTTATGTGATGATATTTCCTTTTTCATCATATGCCTCAAAGTGCTCCAAATATCCACTTGCAAATTCTACAAAAAGAGTACTTCACAACTACTCAATCAAAAGAAAACTTCAACTCTGTGAGTTGAATGCACACCTAACAAAGAAGTTTCTGAGAATGCTTCTGTCTAGTTTTTATGTGAAGATATTTCCTTTTCCACCATAGGCCTCAAAGAACTCCAAAATCCACTGCAGATTCCACAAAAAGAGTGTCTAAAAACTGCTCTATCAAAAGAAAGCTTCAACTCTGTAAATTGAATGCACACATCACAAAGAAGTTTCTGAGAATGCTTCTGTCTAGTTTTTATGTGAAGATATTTCCTTTTCCACAATTGGCCTAAATGCACTCCAAATATCCACTTGCAGATTCCACAAAAAGAGTTTTTCAAAATTCGTCATTCCAAAGAAAAGTTCAACTCTGTGAGTTGAATGCACACATCACAAAGAAGCTTCTGAGAATGCTTCTGTCTAGTTTTTATTTGAAGATATTTCCTTTTCCACTATAGGGCTCAAAGTGCTCCAAATATCCTCTTGCAGATTCTACAAAAACAGTGTTTCAAACTGCTCAACGAAAGGAAAGGTTCAACTCTGTGAGTTGAATGCACACATCACAAAGAGGTTTCTCAGAATGCTTCTGTCTAGTTTTTACGTGATGATATTTCCTTTTCCACAATAGGCCTCAAAGCGCTCCAAATATCCACTTGCAGATTGTACAAAAAGAATGTTTCAAAACTGCTCAATCAAAAGAAAAGTTCAACTCTGTGAATTGAATGCACACATCACAAAGAAATTTCTCAGAAAGCATCTGTGTAGTTTTTATGGAAAAATATTTCCTTTTCCACCATTGGCCACAAAGGGCTCTAAATATCCACTTGCAGATTCTATGAAAAGGGATTTTGAAAACTGCCCTATCAAAAGATAGATTCAACACTGCGAGTTTAATGCTCACCTCAGAAAATGTTTCTCAGAATGCCTCTGTGTAGTTTTCATGGGAAGAAATTTTTTTTTCCCACCATCTGCCACAAGAGAGTTTGGAAACTCCTCTATCAAAGGACAGGTTCAACTCTGCGAGTTGAATGCAAGCATCATAAAGCAGTTTCTCAGAATGCTTCTGTGTAGTTTTTATGCAAAGATATTTCCTTTTCCACCATTGGCCTCATAGCGCTCCAAATGTCCTCTTGAGGATTCTTCAAAAAGAGTCTATCAAAACTGCTCTATCAAAAGAAACGTACAACCCTTTGAGATGAATGCACACATCACAAAGCAGTTTCTGAGAATGCTTCTGTGTGGTTTATATGTGAAGATATTTCCTGTTCCACCAAGGGCAAAAAGCCTTCCAAATATCCAATTACAAATTCTACAAAAAGAGTGTTTCCAAAAAGCTCAATCAAAAGAAAAGTTCAACTCTGTGAGATGAATGGGCACATCACAAAGAAGTTTCTCAGAGTGCTTCTGTGTAGTTTTTAAGTGAAAGTATTTCCTTTTCCACAGTAGGCCTCCAAGTGCTCCAAATATCTGCTTGAAGATTCCACAAAAAGAGTGCTTCAAAACTGCTCCCTCAAATGACAGGTTCAACTCTTCTTTGACATGAATTCACACATCACAAAAAGTTTCTCAGAATCCTTCTGTGTAGTTTTTATGAGAGGATATTCACTTTTCCTCCATTGGCCACAAAAGGCTCCAAATGTCCACTTGCAGATTCTACAAAAGGGATTTTGAAATCTGCTCTATCAAAAGATAGGTTCACCTATGTGAATTGAATGCACACAACACAAGGAAGTTTCTCAGAATGCTTCAGTGTAGTTTTTATGTGAAGATATTTTTTTTCCACCATAGGCCTCAAAGCGCTCCATATATCCACTTGCAGATTCTTCAAAAAGAGTGTTTCCAAACTGCTCAATCAAAAAAGAGGTTCAACGCTGTGAGATCAATGCACACATCACAAAGAATTTTCTCAGAATGCTTCTGTGAAGTTTTTATATGAAGATATTTCCTTTTCCACCATAGGCTGCAAAGGGCTCCAAATATCCATGGCAGATTCTACGAAAAGAAAGTTTCAAAACTGCTCTATCAAAAGATAGATTCAACGCTGTGAGTTGAATGCACAAATTAGAAAGAAGTTTCTCAAAATGCTTCTGTGTAAATTTTGATGTGAAGATATTTCCTTTTCCACCACAGTCCTCAGAGCACTCCAAATATCCATTAGCAGAGAATACAAATCGACTGTTTCCAAACTGCTAAATCAATAGAAACGTTAAACTCCATGAGTTGAAGGCACACATCACAAAGAAGTTTCTCAGAATGCTTCCATCTCTTTTTTTTCTGAAGATATTGTCTTTTCCACCATAAGCCTCAGAGTGCTTCATATATCCACTTGCAGATTCTACAAAAGGAGTGTTTCAAAACTTCTCAATGAAAAGAATGGTTCAACTCTGTGAGATGAATGCACACATCACAGAGAAGTTTCTGAGAATGCTTCTGTCTAGTTTTTATGTGAAGATATTTCCTTTTCCACTATTGGCCTCAAAGCGCTTCAAATATCCACTAGCAGATAGTACAAAAGGACTGTTTCTGAACTGCTCAATCAATAGAAAGGTTCAACTCTCTGAGTTGAAAGCACACATCATAAAGACGTTTCTCGGAATGCTTCTGTCTAGTTTTTTGTGTAGATATGACCTTTGGCACCATAGGCCACAAAGCGTTCCAAATATCCACTTGCAGATTTGACAAAAAGAGTGTTTCAAAACTGCTCAATCAAAAGAATGGTTCAACTCTGTGAGATGAATGCACAAATCACAAAGAAGTTTCTCAGAATGCTTCTGTCTAGTTTTTATGTGAAGATATTTCCTTTTCCATGAAAGGGCGCTAAGTGCTCCAAATATCCACTTGCAGATTCTACAAAAAGAGTGTTTCAAAACTGCTCAATAAAAAGAAAGTTTCAACTCTGTGAGATGAATGCACACATCATAAAGAAATTTCTCAGAATGTTTATGTCTAGTTTTTATGGGAAGATATTTCCTTTTCCACTCTAGGCTGCAAACCACTCCAAATATCCACTTGCAGATGCTACAAAAAGAGTGTTTCAAAACTGCTCAATCAAAAGAAAGGTTCAACACTCTGAGATGAATGCACACATCACTAGAAAGTTTCTCAGAATGCTTCTGTCTAGTTTTTATATCATGATATTTCCTTTTCCACTATAGGCCTCACTGTGCTCCACATATGCATTAACAGATAGTACAAAAAGACTGTTTCCAAACTGCTCAATCAATAGACAGTTTCAACTCTGTGAGATGAATGCACCCATCACAAAGTAGTTTCTCAGAATGCTTCTGTCTAGTTTTTATGTGAAGATATTTCCTTTTCCACCATAGGCCTCAGAGAGTTCCAAATATCCAACTGCAGATCCTACAAAAAGAGTGTTTCAAAGCTGCTCAATCAAAAGTTACGTCCAACTCTGTGAGATGAATGCACACATCAGAAAGAAGTTTCTCAGAATGCTTCTGTCTAGTTTTTATGTGAAGATATTTCCTTTTCCACTATAGGCGGCCATGTGCTCCAATTATCCACTTGCAGATTCTACAAAAAGAGTGTTTCAAACTGCTGAATCAAAAGAAAGGTTCAACTCTGTGAGATGAATGCACACATCAAAAAGAAGTTTCTCAGCATGCTTCTGTCTAGTTTTCAAGTGAAGATATTTCCTTTTCTGCTATAGGCATCAAACTACTCCGAATATCCATCAGCAAATATTACAAAAGACTGTTTCCCAACTACTCAATAATTAGAAAGTTTCAACTCTGTGAGTTGAATGCACACATCACAAAGAGGTTTCTGATAATGCTTCTGTCTGGTTTTTATGTAAAGACATTTTTCTTTTCCACCATACTCCTCAGAGCACTCAAATTATCCACTTGCAGATTCCACAAAAAGAGTGTTTCAAAACTGCTCAAACAAAAGAAAGTTTCAACTCCGTGAGATGAATGCACACATCACAAAGAAGTTTCTCAGAATGCTTCTGTCTAGTTTTATGTGAAGATATTTTGGTTGCCACTAAAGGCCATAAAGCGCTCCAAATATCCACTTCCAGATTCTACAAAAAGAGTGTTTCAACACAGCTCAATCAAAAGAAAGGTTAAACTCTGTCAGATGAAGACACACATCACAAAGAAGTTTCTCAGAATGCTTCTGTCTAGTTTTTATGTGAAGATATTTCGCTTTCCACCATAGGCGTCAGAGCACTCAAAATATCCACTTGCAGATTTTACAAAAAGAATGTTTCAAAACTGCTCAATCAAAAGAAAGTTTCAACTCTGTGAGATGAATGCACACACCAGAAATAAGTTTCTCATAATGCTTCTGTCTAGTTTTTATGTGGAGATATTTCCTTTTCCACTATAGGCCTCAAAGCGCTCCAAATATCCATTAGCAGATAATACAAAAAGACTGTTTCCAAACTGCTCATTTAATGGAAAAGTTCAACTCTGTGATCTGATTGCACACATCACAAGGTAGTTTCTCAGAATGCTTCTCTCTAGTTTTTTTGTGAAGATATTTCAGTTGCTACTATAGGCCACAAAGTGCTCCAAATATCCACTTGCAGATTCTACAAAAAGAGTGTTTCAAAACTGCTCAATCAAAAGAAAGGTTCAACTCTGTGAGACGAATGCACATATCACAAAGAAGTTTCTGAGAATGCTTCTTTCTACTTTTTATGTGAAGATATTTCCTTTTCCAATGTAGGCCACAAAGCACTCCAAATATCCACTTGCAGATTCTACAAAAAGAGTGTTTCAAAACTGCTCAATCAAAAGAAAGGTTCAACTCTGTGAGATGAATGCACACATCACAAAGAAGTTTCTCAGATGTCTTCTGTCTAGTTTTTATGGGAAGGTATTTCGTTTTCCACTACAGGCCTCAAAGCACTCCAAATATCTATTAGCAGATAATTAAAAAGACTGTTTCCAAACTGCTCAATCAATAGAAAATTTCAGCTCTGTGAGTTGAATGCACACTTCACGAAGTAGTTTCTCAGAATACTTCTGTCTAGTTTTATTTTATTTATTTTTTAAGCATTGATTTACACACCTTTATTATGAGTGAAGTCAAGATGAGACTCAGGCAGACTGATCCCATGGAACTGATTTCCTGGCAGCAAAATTTTCCCTGTATCAGCAGCTCATTTTTGCTTTTTTCCTTTATTCTTTTTTTATTTGAGATGATTTCAAGTGAGATAAAGTTCTGAGATCTAATTTTTCTTAAGGTTAAATGTTCAGTTTAAGATTAAATTTTAAGTGAAAAATTCTGAAACCTGTTACATTCCCCTGCAAATCTATTTTTCAGAAAACCTAATTATTGAAGTCTCAGTCATAGCAGAGATAACATAGAATAATCTGATGGATAGTCATCTTCATAGCAAAAAATTGGTACTTATTCTTAAGTAATGTTGAAAGGTTCATTTATAATAACATTTTTGTTTTTTGAGATTATTTTTTCATCTACTAATTTGTATGACTCTGTTAAAATAAGTTTGTCTTAGAATCAAAAGCAAAAATGTAAAAGTAATATATACATATACACAAGGTAAGGAATACATTTTAAAATAATTTTCATACATGATATGTTAATGTCAAACTTCACAGATGACACTCATTAATGAAATTTCAGAAAAATAGAACACGCTAGACAATACATCAGAGAAAATATATTTGCCTTATTTCCATTTCGGAATAATCTGAATAATACAATACTCAAAATGACTTTTTTCCCCCCACAGTTTAGGAATGCTTTTCTGTGAAGAATGTCATTGGGATTTTGATAGGGATTTTATTGTATCTGCAGATTGCTTAGATAGTATATACATTTTAACAATACTAATTCTTCTAATCCATGAGCACAGGATATCTTTACATTTACTAATATTTTCTTCCATTTCCTTTACCAATGTTCCATAGTTTTCATTATAGAGATACTTCATTTCTTTGGCTAAATTTATTTCAGGGTATTTTATTTTATTGTAGCTATAGTAAATGTGATTTCTTTTTCATATATTTTGTTGCTGTATATTGAAATACAACTGATTTTTCTATGATTTTGTATTCTGCAACCATGCTGAATTTGTTCATTATTTTTCTTTCTTTTTTCATTTTATTTTATTATTATTATACTTTAAGTTCTGTCTAGTTTTTATGTGAAGATATTTCCTTTTCCACCATATGCTTCAGACAGCTCCACTTATCCACTTGCAGATTCTACAAAAAGAGTGTTTCAAAACTGCTCAATGAAAAGAAAGGTTCAATTCTGTGAGATGAATGCACACATCACAAAGAAGTTTCTCAGAATGCTTCTGTCTAGTTTTTATGTGAAGATATTTCCTTTTCCACAACAGGCTGCAAAGAGCCACAAATATCAATTAGCAGATAATACAAAAAGTCTGTTTCCAAACTGCTCAATTAATAGAAAGATTCAACTCTGTGAGTTGAATGCACACATCACAAAGAAGTTTTGGAGAATGCTTCTGTCTAGTTTTTATGTGAAGATATTTCCTTTTCCACCATAGGCCAGAGCGCTCCAAATATCCACTTGCAGATTCTACAAAAAGAGCATTTCAAAACTGCTCAATCAAAAGAAAGGTTCAACTCCATGATATGAATGCACACATCACAAAAAAGTTTCTCAGAATGCATCTGTCTAGTTTTTAAGTGAAGATATGTCCTTTTCCACTACAGGCCTCAAAGCGCTCCAAATATCCATTAGCAGATAATACAAAAAGACTGTTTAAACACTGCTCAACCAATAGAAATGTTCAGCTTGGTGAGTTGAATGTCCACATCGCAAAGAAGTTTCTCTGAATATTTCTGTTTTTATGTGAAGATGATATTTCCCTTTTCACTATATTCTGCAAAGCACTACAGGTATCCAATTGCAGATTCCACAAAAAGAGTGTTTTAAAATTGCTCAATCAAAAGAAAGCTTCAACTCTGAGAGATGAATGCACACATTGCAAAGAACTGCCTTACAATGCTTCTGTCTAGTTTTAAGTGAAGATATTTCCTTTTCTATTATGGGCCTCAAAACGCTCCAAATATCCATTAGCATATAATACAAAAAGAGAGTTTCCAAATGCCAAATAAAAAGAAAAGTTCAAATCTGTGAGTTGAATGCACACATCACAAAGAATTTTCTCAGAATGCTTCTGTCTAGTTTTTATGTGAAGATATTTCCTTTTCCAACATAGGCCTCAGAGCGCTCCAAATATCCACTTGAAGATTCCACAAAAACATTGTTTAAAAGCTGTTCAATCAAAAGAAAGGTTCAACACTGTGAGATGAATGCACTTATCACAAAGAAGTTTCTCAAAATGCTTCTTTCTAGTTTTTATGTGAAGATATTTCCTTTTTGACTATGGGACACAAAGCGCTTGAAATATCCACTTGCAGATACTGCAAAAAGAGTGTTTCAAAACTGCTCAATCAAAAGAACGTTCAAATCTGTGAGATGAATGCAGACATCACAAATAATTTTCTAAGAATGCTTCTGTCTAATTTTTATGTGAAGATATTTCACTTTATATTATTGGCCTCAAAGCACTCAAATATCCTTTAGCACATAATACAAAAAGATGGTTTACAAACTGCTCAATGAATAGAAATGTTCAACTCTGTGAGTTGAATGCACACACCAGCAAGAAGTTTCTCAGAATGCTTCTGTCTAGTTTTCATGTGAAGATATTTCCTTTGCCACCATAAGCCTCAAAGCACTCCAAATATACACTAGCAGATTCTTCAAAAAGAGTGTTTCAAAACTGCTCAATCAAAAGAAAGGTTCATCTCTGTGAGATCAATGCACATATCACAAAGAAGTTCCTCAGAATGCTTCTCTCTGGTTTTTATGTAAGGATATTTCCTTCTCCAGAATAAGCCACAAAGTGCTCCAAATACCCTCTTGCAGATTCTACAAAAAGAGTATTTCAAAACTGCTCTCTCAAAAGAAAGGTTCAACTCTGTGAGTTGAATGCACACATCACAAAGAAGTTTCGGAGAATGCTTCTGTCTAGTTTTTACGTGAAGAAATTTCCTTTTCCACCATAGGCCTCCAAGCACTCCAAATATCCACTTGCAGATTCTACAAATAGAGTGTTTCAAAACTGCTCTATCAAAAGAAAGGTTCAATGCTGTGAGTTGAATGCACACAACCCAAAGAAGTTTCTAAGGATTCTTCTGTCTAGTTTTTATGTGAACATATTTCCTTTTCCACCATAGACCTCAAAGCGCTCCAAATATGCACTTGCAGATTCCACAAAAAGAGTGTTTCAAAACTGCTCTATCAAAAGAAAAGTTCAACTCTGTGAGTTGAATGCACACATCACAAAGAAGTTTCGGTGAATGCTTCTGTCTAGTTTTTATGTGAAGAATATTTCCTTTTCCACTATAGTTCTCAAAGCGCTCCAAATATCCATTAGCAGTAACACAAAAAGACTGCTTCCAAACAGCTCAATCAATAGAAAGTTTCAACTCTGTGAGTTGAATGCACACATTATAAGGAAGTTTCTCAGAATGCTTCTTCCTAGTTTTTAAGTGAAGATATTTCTTTTTTCACCATAGGCCTCAGAGTGCTCCAAATATCCACTTGCAGATTCAACAAAAAGAGTGTTTCAAAACTGCTCAATAAAAGGAATAATTGAACTCGGTGAGATAAATAAACACATCAGAAAGAATTCTCTCAGAATGCTTCTGTCTAATTTTTATGTGAAGATATTTCCTTTTCTACTATTGCCCACAATGCACTCTAAATATCCACTTGCAGATTCTACAAAAAGAGGGTTTCAAAACTGCTCTATCAAAAGAAAGGTTCAATTTCGTTTTCCAACATAGGCCTCAAAGAAACCAAATATCCACTTGCAGATTTTACAAAAAGAGTGTTTCAAAACTGCTCTATCAAAAGAAAGGTTCCACTCTGTAGGTTGAATGCACACATCACAAAGAAGTTTCTCAGAATACTTGTGTCTAGTTTTTATGTGAAGATATTTCCTTTTTCACCATAGGCCTCAAAGGGAGCCAAATACCCATTTGCAGATTCTACAAAAAGAGTGTTTCAAAACTGTTCTATCAAAAGGAAGTTCAACTCTGTGAGTTGAATGCACATATCACAAAGAAGTTTTGGAGAATGCTTCTGTTTAGTTTTTATGTGAAGATATTTCCTTTTCCACCATAGGCCTCAAAGCGCTCCAACTATCCAATTGAAGTTTCTACAAAAAGAATGTTTCAAAACTGCTATATCAAAAGAAATGTTCAACTCCATGAGTTCAATGCACACATCACAAAAAAGTTTCTCAGACTGCTTCAGTCTAGTTTTTATGAGAAGATATCTCCCTTTCCAGTATAGGCTGCAAAGTGCTACAAATATCCACTTGCAGATTTTACAAAAAGAGTATTTCAGAAGTGCTCAATGAAAAGAAAGTTTCAACCCTGAGAGATGAATGCACACATCCCAAACGTGTTTCTCAGAAAGCTTATGTCTAGGTTTTGTGTGAAAATATTTCCTTCTCCACTATAGGCCTCAAAGCACTCCAAATATCCATTAGCAGTAACACAAAAAGACTGCTTCCAAACAGCTCAGTCAATAGAAAGTTTCAACTCTGTGAGTTGAATGCACACATCATAAGGAAGTTTTTCAGAATGCTTCTGTCTAGTTTTTATGTGAAGATAATTCCTTTCCCACCTTAGGCCTCAGAGTGCTCCAAATATCCATTTGCAGATTCCACAAAAAGATTGTTTCAAAACTGCTCAATCAAAAGAAAGGTTCAACACTGTGAGATGAATGCACACATCACAAAGAAGTTTCTCAGTTGGTTCTCTCTAGTTTTTATGTGAAGATATTTCCTTTTCCACTGTAGGCCTCAAAACACTCCAATATCCATTAGCATATAACACAAAAAGACCACTTCCAAACTGCTCAATCAATAGAAAGTTTCAACTCTGTGAGATGAATGCACACATCACAAAGAAGTTTCTCAGAATGCTTCTGTCTAGTTTTTATGTGAAGATATTTCCTTTTCCACCATAGGCCTCAGAGCTCTCTGAATATCCACTTGTAGATTCTACAAACAGAGTATTTCAAAACTCCTCAATTAAAAGAAAGGTTCAACTCTGTGAGATGAATGCACACATCACAAAGAAGTTTCTCATAATGGTTCTGTCTAGTTCTTATATGAAGATATTTGCTTTTCCACTATAGGCCTCAAAGCGCTCCAAATATCCATTAGAAGACAATACAAAAAGACTAATTTGAAACTGCTCCATCACCAGAAAGTTTCAACTCTGTGAGTTAAATGCACACATCACAAAGATGTTTCTCAGAATGCTTCTGTCTAGTTTTTATGTGAAGATATTTCCTTTTCCATGCTAGGCAGCTAAGCACTCTAAATATCTACTTGCAGATTCTACCAAAAGAGTGTTTGCAAACTGCTCAATCAAAAGAAAGGTTCAACTGTGTGAGATGAATGCATGCATCACAAAGAACTTTCTCAGAAAGCGCCTGTCTAGTTTTTATGTTAAGATATCTCCTTTTTCAGCATACGCTTGAAAGCTCCCTCAAATATCCCTTTGCTGATTCTACAAAAAGACTCTTTCCAAACTGCTCAATGAATAGAAAGTTTCAACGCTCTGAGATGAATTCCCACATCACAAGGAAGTTTCTACAAAAGCTTCTGTCTAGTTTTCATATGAAGGTATTATTTCCTTTTTCACCATAGACCTCAAACCGCTCAGAAATAACCCTGTGCAGATACTACAAAAATACTGTTTAAAAAATGCTCAACCAAAAGTAAGTTTCAACTCTGTGAGATGAATGCACACGTCAAAAAGAAGTTTCTCAGAAATATTCTGTCTGCTTTTTAGGTGAAGATATTTCCTTTTTCAGCATAGGCCTCAAGGGGCCCCCAAATATCCCTTTAAAGTTTCTTCAAAAAGACTGTTTCCAAACTGCTCAAGCAAAAGAAAGTTTCAACTCTGTGAGATGAAGGCACACATCAGAAAGAAGTTTCTCAGAAAGCTTCTGTCTAGTTTTTATATGGGAATATTTCCTTTTTTACCATAGGCCTCAAACAGCTCAGAAATATCTGTTTGCAGATTCTACGAAAAGACTGTTTCCAAACTTCTCAATCAAAAGAAAGATTCATCTCTGTGAGATAAATTCAGGCATCACAAATTTTCTCAGAAAGCTTCTGGCTAGTTTTTATGTGAAGATATTTCCTTTTTCACCGTAGGCCCCAAAGGGCTCCCAAACATCCCTTTGCAGATTCTATAAAAAGACAGTTTCCAAACTGCTCAATCAACAGAAAGTTTGAACTCTGTGAAATGAATGCACGCATCACAAAGAAGTTTCCCAGAAAGCTTCTGCCTAGTTTTTATGAGAAGATATTTTCTTTTTCACCATAGGCCTCAAAGGGCTCCAAAATATCCCTTTGCAGATTCTACAAAAAGACGGTCTCCAAACCGCTCAATCAAAAGAAAGGTTCAACTCTGTGAGATGAAGGCATCAGAAAGAAGTTTCTCAGAAAGCTTCTGTCTTCTTTTTGGTTGAACATATTTCATTTTTCACCATTGGCCTGAACCCCTCAGAAATATCTCTTTCCAGATTCTAGAAAATAACTGTTTCCAAAGTGCTCAATCAAAAGATAGGTTCAACTCCATGAGATGAATGCATACATCACAAAGTAGTTTCTCAGAAAGATTCTGTCTACTTTCAAGGTGAAGATGTTTCCTTTTTCAACATAGGACTCAACGGGCTCCCAAATATCCCTTTGCAGATTCTACAAAAAGACTGTTTTCAAACTGCTCAATCAAAGGAAACATTCAACTCTGTGAGATGAATGCACACATCACAAAAAGTTTCTCAGAAAGCTTCTGTCTAGTTTTTCTGTGAAGTTATTTCCTTTTTCACCATATGCTCAAAGGGATCCCAAATATCCCTTTGCAGATCCCACAAAAATACTGTTTCCAAACTGCTCATTCAAAAGAAGAGTTCAACTCTGTGAGTGGAATGCACACATCACAAGGAAGTTTCTCAGAATGCTTCTGCCTAGTTTTTATGTGAAGATATTTCGTTATTCACCGTAGGACTCAAAATGCTCAGGAATATCCCCTTGCGTATTCTAGGAAAAGACTGTTTCCAAATGCTCAATCAAAATAAAGTATGAACTCTGTGAGATGAATGGACACATCACAAAGAAGTTTCTCAGAAATATTTTGTCTAATTTTTATGTGAAGATGTTTACTTTTTCACCACATTCCTCAAACTGCTCAGAAATATCCCCTTGCAAATTCTACAAAAAGACTGTTTCCAAACTGCTCAATCAAAAGAAAGTTTCACCCTGTGAGATGAATGCACACAACACAAACAAGTTTCTCAGAAATCTTCTCTCTAGTTTTTATGTGAAGATATTTCCTTATTCACCATAGGCCTCAAAATGCTCAGAAATATCCCCTTGCAGATTCTAGAAAAAGACTTTTTCCAAACTTCTCAATCAAAAGAAAGGTTCAACTCTGTGAGATGAATGCACACATCACAAAGTAGATTCTCAGAAATATTCTGTCTACATTTTAGGTGAAGATATTTCCTTTTTCCATAGACCACAAGGGGCTCCCAAATATCCCTTTGCAGATTCTACAGAAAGACTGTTTCCAACTGCTGAATCCAAAGAAACTTTCAGCTCTGTGAGATGAATGCACACATCACAAAGAAGTTTCCCAGAAAGCTTCTGTCTAGTTTTTATGTGAAGATATTTCATTTTTCACCCTAGGCCTCAAAGGGATCCCAAATATCCCTTGGCAGATTCTACAAAAATAACTTTTCCAAACTGCTCATTGAAAAGAAAAGTTCAACTCTTTGAGTTGAATACAAACATCACAAGGAAGTTTCTCAGAATGCTTCTGTCTAGTTTTCATGTGAAGGTATTTCCTTTTTCACCATAGTCCTCAAAATGCTCAGAACTATCCCCGTGCAGATTCTAGAAAAAGAGTGTTTCCAAACTGCTAAATCAAATGAAAGATTCAAATCTGTGAGATTAATGCACACATCACAAAGAAGTTTCTCAGAAATCTTCTGTCTAGTTTTTATGTAAGGACATTTCCTCTTTCACCATAGGCCTCAAACCACTCAGAAATATCCCTTTGCAGATTCTAGAAAAAGATGGTTTCCAAACTGCTCAATCAAAAGAAAGATTCAAATCTGTGAGATGAATGCACACATCACAAAGGAGTTTCTCAGAAATATCCTGTCTACTTTTTAGGTGAAGATATTTCCTTTTTCACCATATGCCTAAAGGGGCTCCCACACATCCCTTTGCAGTTTTTACAAAAAGACTGCTTCCAAACTGCTCAATCTAAAGAAATGTGCAACTCTTTGAGATGAATGCAGGCATCACAAAGCAGTTTCTCAGAAAGCTTCCATCTAGTTTTTATGTGAAGACATTTCCTTTTTCACCATAGACCTCAAAGCGCACTCAAATATCCCTTTGCAGATACTACAAAAAAACTCTTTCCAAACTGTTCTATCAAAAGAATGGTTCAACACTGTGAGATGAATGCACACATAACAAAGAGGTTTCTCAGAAAGCTTCTGTCTAGTTTTTATGTGAAGATATTTCTTTTTCCACCATAGAACTCAAAGGGATCCCAAATACCACTTGGCAGATACTACAAAAATACTGTTCCCAAACTGCTCATTCAAAAGAACCGTTCAACTCTGTGAGTTGAATGCACATATTAGAAGGAAGTTTCTCAGAAAGCTTCTGTCTAGTTTTTATGTGACTATATTTCCTTATTCACCGTAGGCCTCAAAATGCCCAGAAATATCCTCTTGCAGATTCTATAAAAAACTGTTTCCAAACTGCTCACTCAAAAGAATGTTTCAACTCTCTGAGATGAATGCACGCATCACAAAGAGGTTTCTCTGAAAGTTTCTGTCTAGTTTTTACATCAAAATATTTCCTTTTTCAACATAGGCCTCAAACTGCTTAGAAATATCCATTGGAAATTTCTACAAAAAGACTGTTTCCAAACTGCTCAATCAAAAGAAAGATTCAACTCTGTGAGATGAATGCACTCATCACAAATAAGTTTCTCAGGAGGCTTCTGGCTACTGTTTATGTGACGATATTTCCTTTTTCTCCACAGTCTTCAAAGGGCTCCCAAACATCCCTTTGCAGATTCTACAAAAAGACTGTTTCCTAACTGCTCAATCAAAACAAAGATTCACCTCTGTGAGATAAATGCACGCATCACAAAGAAGTGTCTCAGAAATATTCTGTCTAATTTTTAGGTGAAGATATTTCCTTTTTCACCATAGGCCTCAATGGGCTCCCAAATATCCCTTTGAAGATTCTATAAAAAGACTGTTTAGTAATTGTTCAATCAAAATAAATGTTCAGCTCTGTTAGATGAATACACACATTCCAAAGAAGTATCTCAGAAAGCTTATGTCTACTTTTTATGTGATGATATTTCATTTTTCACCTTAGGCTTCAAAGGGATCCCAAATATCCCTATGCAGATCCTACAAAAATACTGTTTCCAAACTGCTCATTCAAAAGAAAACTTCAACTCCATGAGTTGAATGCACACATCACAAGGAAGCTTCTCAGAATGTTTCTGTCTAGTTTATATGTGAAGATATTTCCTTATTCACCGTAGGACACAAAATGCTCACAAATATCCCTTTGCAGATACTACAAAAGGACAGTTTCCAAACTGTTCAATCAAAAGAAAGTTTCAACTCTGTGAGATGAATGCACACATCACAAAGTAGTTCCTCAGAAATCTTCTGTCTAGTTTTTATGTGAATATATTTCCTTTTTCATGCTAGGCCTCAAACCGCTCAGAATTATCCCTTTGCATATTCTACAAAAAGACTGTTTCCAAACTGCTCATTCAAAAAAAAAGTTCAACTCTTTTATTTGAATGCACACATCACAAAAAGTTTCTCAGAAATCTTCTGTCTTGTTTTTATGTGAAGATATTTCCTTTTTCACCATAGGACTTAAACTGCTCACAAATATCCCTCTGTAGATACTACAAAAATACTGTTTCTAAACTGCTCCATTAAAAGAAGTGTTCAACTCTATGAGATGAATGCAAACATCACAAAGAAGTTTCTCAGAAAGCTTCTGTCTAGTTATTAGATGAGGATATTTCCTTTTTCACCATTGGCACAAAAACGCTCCAAATATCCATTTGCAGATTACACCAAAAGACTGTTTCCCAACTGCTCAATCAAAAGAAAGGTTCCTCTCTGTGACATGAAAGCACACATCACAAAGAAGTTTCTCAGAAAGCTTCTGTCTAGTTTTTATGTGAAGATATTTCCTATTTCACCATAGGCCATAAGGGGCTCAAAAATATCCCTTTGGAGATTCTACAAAAGGTCGCTTTCCAAACTGCTCTATCAAAAGAAAAGTTCAACTCTGTCAGATGAATGCACACTTCACAAGAGAGTTTCTCAGTATGCGTCTGTCTAGTTTTTATGTGAAGACATTTCCTTTTTCACCATAGGCCTCACAGTGCTCCAAATGTCCATTTGCAGATTCTACAAAAAGTCTGTTTCCAAACTGCTCAATCAAAAGAAACTTTCAACTCTGTGACATTAAATCACAAATCACTAAATAGTTTCTCAGAAAGCTTCCGTCTAGTTTTTATGTGAATATATTTCCTATTTCAGAATAGCACAAAAAGGGCTCACAAATATCCCTTTGCAGATTCTACAAAAAGACTGTTTCTAAAATGCTCAATCAAAAGAATGTTCAACTCTGTGCGATGAATAGACACATCATAAAGAAGTTTCTCCGAATGCTTCTGTCCAGTTTTTATGTGAAGATATTTCCTTTTCACCATAGGCCTCAATGGGTTTATAAATGTCCCTGTGCAGATTCTATAGAAAGACTGTTTCCAAACTGCTCAATCAAAAGAAACGTTCAACTCTGTGAGATGAATGCACCCACTACAAAGAAGTTTTTCAGAAATCTTCTGTCTAGTTTTTATGTGAAGATATTTCCTTTTTCACCATAGGTCTCAAACCGCTCAGAAATATCCCTTTGCAGATTCTACATAAAGAGTGTTTCCAAACTGCTCAATCAAAAGAAAGTTCAACTCTTTGAGATGAATGCAGGCATCACAAAAATTTTCTCAGAAAGCTTCTATCTAGTGTTTATGTGAAGATATTTCCTTTTTCATCATAGGCCTCAAAGTACCCTCAAATATACATTTGCAGATTCTAAAAAATGAACGTTTCCAAGCACCTCAATGAAAAGAAAATTTCAATTCTGTGAGATGAATGCACTCATTACAAAGTAGTTTCTCAGAAATATTCTGTGTAGTCTTTTTGTGAAGATATTTCCTGTTTCACCAAAGGCCTGAAACCACTCAGGAATATCCCTTTGCAGATTCTGCAAAAAGACAGTTTCCAAACTGCTCTATCAAAAGAAAGGTTCAACTCTGTGAGATGAATGCACATATCACAAAGAGGTTTCTCAAAAAGCTTCTATCTAGTTTCTATATGAAGATGTTTCCTGTTTCACCATAGGCCTCAAAGGGTTCCAAAATATCCTTTTGCAGATTCTACAAAAATACTGTTTCCAAACTGCTCACTCAAAAGAAAAGTTCAACTCTGTGATTTGAATGCACACATCACAAAAAGTTTCTCAGAAATCTTCTGTCTTGTTTTTATGTGAAGATATTTCCTTTTTCACCATAAGCCTTAAACCCCTCACAAATATCCTTCTGCAGATCGTACAAAAAGACTGTTTCCAAACTGCTCAATCAAAAGAAAGGTTCACCTCTATGAGATGAATGGACACATCACAAAGAAGTTTCTCAGAATGCTTCTGTCTAGTTTTCATGTGAAGATACTTCTTTTTCACCATAGGCCTCTAATGGCTCGGAAATCTCCCTTTGCAGATTGTACAAAAAGACTGTTTCCAAACTGCTCAATCAAAAGAAAGTTTCATCTCTGTGAGATGAATGCACGCATCACAAAGAAGTTTCTCACAATGCTTCTGTCTAGTTTTCATGTGAAGGTATTTGCTTTTTCACCATAGGCGTCAAAGCACTCGAAATATCCATTTGCAGATTTTACAAAAAGACTGTTTCAAAACTGCTCAATCAAAGGAAGGCTTCAACTCTGTGATATGAAATCATACATCACAAAGTAGCTTCTGAGAAAGCTTCTGTCTAGTTTTTATGTGAAGATATTTCCTACTTCACATTAGGCCATAAATGGCTCACAATTATCCCTTTGCAGACTCTACAAAAACACTGTTTCCAAACTGCTCAATCAAAAGAAAGGTTAAGCTCTGAGAGAAGAATTGACATATCACAAATAAGTTTCTAAGAATGCTTCTGTCCAGTTTTTGTGTGAAGATATATGTTTTTCACCATAGGCCTCAAACAGCTCAGAAATATCGTTTTGCAGATTGTACAAAAAGACTGTCTACAAACTGCTCAATCAAAAGAAAGCAACCTGTGAGATGAATACACACATCGCAAAGAATTTTCTGAGAATGCTTCTGTTTAGTTTTTATGTGAAGATATTTCCTTTTTCACCATTGGCCTTAAACCACTCATAAATATCCCTCTGCAGATACTACAAAAAGACTCTTTCCAAACTGCTCCATCAAAGGAAAGGTTACACTCTGTGAGATGAATGCACACATCACAAGGAAGTTTCTCAGAATGCTTCTGTCTAGTTTTTATGTGTATTTATTTCATTTTCACCATAGGCCTCAAACCACTCCAAATGTTGATTTGCAGATTCTACAAAAAGACTATTTCCAAACTGCTCAATCAAAAGAAAGGCTCAACTCTGGAGATGAAAGCACACATCACCAAGAAGTTTCTCAGAAAAATTCTGTCTAGCTTTTATTGAAGATATTTCCTGTTTCACCATAGGTCACAATGGGCTCACAAATATCCCTTTGCAGATTCTACAAAATGACGATTTCAAAACTGTTTAATCAGAGAAAGCTTCAACTCTGTGAGATTAATGCACACATCATGAAGAAGTTTCTCAGAATGCTTCTGTCTATTTTTTATGTGAAGACATTTCCTTTTTCACCACAGGCCTCAAAACGCTGCAAATATCCATCTGCAGATTCTACAAAAATACTGTTTCCAAACTGCTCAATAAAAAGAAAGGTTTGACCCTGTGAGATGAATGCACATAACACAAAGAATTTTCTCAGAATGCTTCTGACTAGTTTTTATGGGAAGATACTTCTTTTTCACCATAGACCTCCAACGGCTCAGAAATATCCCTTTCTACATTGTACAGAAAGACTGTTTCCAAACTGCTCAATCAAAGAAAGGTTCATCTCTGTGAGACGAATGCACTCATCAGAAATAAGTTTCCAGAATGGTTCTGTCCAGTTTTCATGTGAAGATATTTCCTTTTTCACCATAGGCCTCAAAGTGCTCCAAATATCCATTTGCAGTTTCTACAAAAAGACTGTTTCCAAAATGCTCAATCAAAAGAAAAGTTCAACCCTTTGAGATGAAAGCATACATCACAAAGGGGTTTCTCACAAAACTTCTGTCTAGTTTTTATGTGAGGATATTTCCTACTTCTCAATAGGCCATACAGGGCTCACAAATTTCCCTTTGCAGATTCTACAAAACGACTGTTTCAAAACTGCTCAATCAAAAGAAATGTTCAAATCTGTGAGATGAATGGACACATCACAAAGTTGTTTGTCAGAATGCTTCTATCTAGTTTTTATGGGAAGGTATATCTTTTTCACCATAGGCATCAAATGGGTAAGAAATATCCCTTTGCAGACTGTACACAAAGACTGTTTCCAAACTGCTTCATCAAAAGAAATGGTCAGCTCTGTGACATGAAAGCACACATCGCAAAGAATTTTCTCAGAAAACTTCTGTCTAGCTTTTATTTGAAGATATTTCCTATTTCACCATAGGCCTCAATGGCTCACAAATATCCCTTTGCAGATTTTACAAAAGGATGGTTTCCAAACTGTTCAACGTAAACAAAGGTTCAATTCTGTGAGATGAATTTAGACTTCACAAAGAAGTTTCTCAAAATGCTTCAGTCAAGTTTTTATGTGAAGACATTTTCTTTTTCACCATAGGCCTCAAAGTGCTCCAATTATCCATTTGCAGATCCTAAAAAACGACTGTTTCTAAACTGTTCAATCAAAACAAAGGTTCAACTCTGTGAGATGAATGGACACATCACAAAGAAGTTTCTCAGAATGCTTCCATCGATTTTTTGTTTGGAGATACTTCTTTTTCACCATAGGCCTCAAACGGATTGGAAATATCCCTTTGCAGATTGTACAAAAAGATGTTTCCTAACGGCTCAATCAAAAGAAAGGTTCATCTCTATGAGATGAATGCGCACATCACAAAGAAGCTTCTCAGAATGCTTCTGTCTAGTTTTAATGTGAAGATACTTCCTTTTTCACCACAGGCTTCAAACCACTCCAAATATCCATTTGCAGATTCTACAAAAGACTGTTTCCATACTGCTTCATCCAAAGAAAGGTTCAACTCTTTGAGATGAAAGCACACATCACAAAGAATTCTCTCAGAAAGCTTCTGTCTAGCTTTTATGTGAAGATATTCCCTACTTCACAACAGGCCATAAAGGGCTCACAAATATCCCTTTACAGATCTACGAAAAGACTGTTTCCAAACTGCTCAATCAAAAGAAAAGTGCAACTCTGTGAGAAGAATGGACACATCACAGAGAAGTTTCTCAGAATGCTTCTGTCTAGTTTTTATGTGGAGATATATCTTTTTCACCATAAACCTCAAAACGCTCCCAATATTCATTTGCAGATTCTTCAAGAGTACTGCTTTGAAACTGCTCAATCAAAAGAAAGGTTCAACTCTGTGAGATGAAAGCACACATCACAAAGTTTCTCAGAAAGCTCCTGTCTAGCTTTTATGTGAAGATATTACCTATTTCACCATAGGCCTCAATTGGCTCACAAATATCCCTTTGCAGATACTACAAAAGGACAGTTTCCAAACTGTTCAATCAAAAGAAAGTTTCAACTCTGTGAGATGAATGCACACATCACAAAGAAGTTTCTCCGAATGCTTCCGTCTAGTTTTTATGTGAAGATATTTCCTTTTTAACCATAGGCCTCAAAGTGCTCCAAATATCCATTTGCAGATTCTACAAAAAGACTGTTTCCAAACTGCTCAATAAAAAGAAAAGTTCAACAATGTGAGATGAATGCACCCATCACAAAGAAGTTTCTCAGAAAGCTTCTGTTTAGTTTTTGTGTGAAGATATTTACATTTTCATCATAAGCCTCAAAGTACTCCAAATATCCATTTGCAGATTATGCCAAAAGACTGTTTCCAAACTGCTCCAGCAAAAGAGGGGTTCAACTCTGTGAGATGAAAGCACACATCACAGAAGTTTCTCCGAATGCTTCTGTCTAGTTTTTATGCAAAGATATTTCCTATTTCACCATAAGCCATAAAGGGCTCAAAAATATCCCATTGCAGATTGTTCAAAAAGACTGTTTCCAAACTGCTCCATCAAAAGAAATGTTCAAATCTGTGAGAAGAATGGACACCTCACAACGGAGTTTCTCAGCATATTTCTGTCTAGTTTTTATATGAAGATCTTTCCTATTTCACCATAGGCCTCAAATCGCTCCAAATATTCATTTGCAGATGCTACAAAAACACTGTTTTCAAACTGCTCAATTAAAAGAAAGGTTCAACTCTGTGAGATGAAAGGACACATCACAAAGAAGTTTCTCAGAAAGTTTCTGTGTAGCTTTTATGTGAAGATATTTCCTATTTCACCATAGGCCTCAATGGGCTCACAAATATCCCTCTGCAGATTCTAAAAAAGGATAGTTCCCAAACTGTTCAATCAAAAGAAAGTTTCAACTCTGTGAGATGAATACACACATCAAAAGGAAGTTTCTCAGAAAGCCTCTGTCTAGTTTTTATGTGAAGATATTTCCTTTTTCACCATAGGCCTCAAAGGGCTCACAAATATCCCTTTGCAGATTGTACAAGAGCAGAGTTTCCAATCTGCACAATGTAAAGAAACATTCACACCTGCGAGATGAGTGCACACACCACAAAGCAGTTTCTCAGAAACCCTCTATCAAGTTTTTATGTGAAGATATTTCCTTTTTCACCAAAGGCCTCAAAGAGCTCCAAATATCCCTTGGTAGATTCTACAAAAAGACAGTTTCCATACTGCTCAATCAAAAGAAAGTTTCCTCTCTGTCAGATGAAAGCACACATCACAAAGAGGTTTCTCAGAAAGCTTCTGTCTAGTTTTTATGTGAGGATATATTCTTCATCACAATAGGACTCAAACCGCTCACAAATATCCCTTTGCAGATTCTACAAAAGACTGTTTCAAAACTGCTCAATAAAAAGAAAATTTCAACTCTGTAAAATGAATGCACAAATCACAAAATAATTTCTCAGAAACCTTCTGTCTAGTTTTTATGTGAAGATATTTCATTTTTCACCATAGGCTTCAAAGGGCTTACAACTATCCCTTTGCAGATACTACAAGAAGACAGTTTCCAAACTGCTCTATCAAAAGAAATGTTCAACTCTTTTAAATGAATGCACACATCACAAAGAAGTTTCTCAGAAACCTTCTGTGTAGTTTTTATGTGAAGATACTTCCTTTTTCACCATAGTCCTCAATGTGCTCCAAATATCCAATTTCATATTCTACAAGAACAGAATTTCCTATCTGCTCCATGTAAAGAAGTGTTTACATCTGTGAGACAAATGCACACATCACAAAGCAGTTTCTCTGAATGCTTCTGTCTAGTTTTTATGTGAAGATATTTCCTTTTTCACTATAGGCCTCAAAGTGCTCACAAATATCCCCTTGCAGATTCTACCAAAAGAATGTTTCCCAACTGCTCAATCAAAAGAAATGTTCAACTCTGTGAGATGAATACACGCATCCAAAGAAGTTTCACAGAAAGCTTCTGTCAAGTTTTCATCTGAAGATATTTCCCTTTTCTCCATATGACCCTAATGCTCACAGATATCCTTTTGCATATTCTTCAAGAACAGAGGTACCAATCTGCTCAATGAATAGAAACGTTCATCTGAGTGGTATGAATGCACACATCAAAAAGATATATCTCAGAATGCTTCCATCTAGTTTTGATGTGAAGATATTTCCTTTTTCACTGTAGTCCACAAACCGCTCACAAATATACCTTTGCACATTCTACAAAAGGACTATTTCCAACTTGCTCAATCAAAAGTAACACTCATCCCTGTGAGATGAATGCACACATCACAAAGAAGTTTCTCAGAAAGCTTCTTTCTACTTTTTATGTGAAGATATTTACTTTTACACCATTGGCTTCAAAGGGCTCACAAATATCCCTTTGCAGATTCTACAAAAAGATGGCTTCAAACAGGCTCAATCAAAAGTAATGTTCAACTCTGTGAGATGAATGCACATATCACAAGGAGGATTCTCAGAAAGCTTCTCTCTAGTTTTTATGTGAAGATATTTCCTTTTTCAACATGGGCCTCAAACCACTCACAAATATCCCTTTACAGATTCTGCAAAAAGACTGTTTCCAAACTGCCCCATGAAAGGAAGTTTCAAATCTGTGAGACAAATGTACACATCACAAAGAAGTTTCTCAGAAAGCTTCTGTCTAGTTTTTATGTGAAGATATTTCCTTTTTCACCATAGGCCTCAAAGTGCTCACAAATATCCCTTTGCAGATTCTACAAAAAGACTCTTTCCTAACTGCTCAATCAAAAGAAATGTTCAACTCTGTGAGATGAAAGCACACATCACAAGGAGTTTTCTCAGAAAGCTTCTGTCTTGTTTTTATGTGAAGATATTTCCTTTTTCACCATAGGCCTCAAAGGACTCACAAATATCCCTTTTGCAGCTTCTACAAAAAGACTGTTTCCAAACTTCTCAATCAAAAGAAAGGTTCACAGAACAGAGCCCTCAGAAATAACGCCACATATCTACAACTATCTGATCTTTGACAAACCTGAGAAAAACAAGCAATGGGGAAAGGATTCCCTATTTAATAAATGGTGCTGGGAAAACTGGCTAGCCATATGTAGAAAGCTGAAACTGGATCCCTTCCTTACACCTTCTACAAAAATCAATTCAAGATGGATTAAAGACTTAAACGTTAGACCTAAAACCATAAAAACCCTAGAAGAAAACCTAGGCATTACCATTCAGGACATAGGCATGGGCAAGGACTTCATGTCTAAAACACCAAAAGCAATGGCAACAAAAGACAAAATTGACAAATGGGATCTAATTAAACTAAAGAGCTTCTGCACAGCAAAAGAAACTACCACCAGAATGAACAGGCAACCTACAAAATGGGAGAAAATTTTCGCAACCTACTCATCTGACAAAGGGCTAATATCCAGAATCTACAATGAACTCAAACAAATTTACAAGAAAAAAACAAACAACCCCATCAAAAAGTGGGCGAAGGACATGAACAGACACTTCTCAAAAGAAGACATTTATGCAGCCAAAAAACACATGAAAAAATGCTCATCATCACTGGCCATCAGAGAAATGCAAATCAAAACCACAGTGAGATACCATCTCACACCAGTTAGAATGGCAATCATTAAAAAGTCAGGAAACAACAGGTGCTGGAGAAGATGTGGAGAAATAGGAACACTTTTACACTGTTGGTGGGACTGTAAACTAGTTCAACCATTGTGGAAGTCAGTGTGGCGATTCCTCAGGGATCTAGAACTAGAAATACCATTTGACCCAGCCATCCCATTACTGGGTATATACCCAAATGACTATAAATCATGCTGCTATAAAGACACATGCACACATATGTTTATTGCGGCATTATTCACAATAGCAAAGACTTGGAACCAACCCCAATGACCAACAATGATAGACTGGATTAAGAAAATGTGGCACATGTACACCATGGAATGCTATGCAGCCATAAAAAATGATGAGTTCATGTCCTTTGTAGGGACATGGATGAAATTGGAAATCATCATTCTCAGTAAACTATCGCAAGAGCAGAAAACCAAACACCACATATTCTCACTCATAGGTGGGAACTGAACAATGAGATCACATGGACATAGGGAGGGGAATATCACACTCTGGGGACTGTTGTGGGGTGGGGGGAGGGGGGAGGGATAGCATCGGGAGATTTACCTAATGCTAGATGACGAGTTAGTGGGTGCAGTGCACCAGCATGGCACATGTATACATATGTAACTAACCTGCACAATGTGCACATGTACCCTAAAACTTAAAGTATAATAATAAAAAAAAAGAAAGGTTCAACTCGGTGAGATGAATGCACACATCAGAAAGAAGTTTCTCAGAAAAGTTCTGCCTAGTTTTTATGTGAAGATATTTCCTTATTCACCACAGGCATCAAAGCACTCCAAGTATCTCCTAGCAGATTCTACAAAAACACTGTTTCCAAACTGCTCAATGAAAAGAAAGGTTCAAATCTACTTTATGAATGCACACATCACAAAGAGGTTTCTCACAAAGCTTCCATCCAGTTTTTATGTGAAAATATTTCCTATTTCACCATAAGCGTCAAAGTGCTCCAAATATACCTTGACAGATTTTGTGAAAAGACAGTTTCCTAACTGCTTAATCAAAAGAAATGTTCAACTCTGTGAGATGCATGCACACATCACAAAGAAGTTTCTCAAAAGCTTCTCTCTAGTTTTTATGTGAAGCTATTTCCTTTTTCCCCATAGGCCTCAAATTGCTCACAAATATCCCTTTGCAGATTCTGCAAAAAGACTGTTTCCAAACTGCTTAATCAACAGAAAGGTTCAAATCTGTGAGGTGAATGCCATCATCACATAGTAGTTTCTCAGAAAGCTTCTGTCTAGTTTTTATGTGAAGATATTTCCATTTTCACCATATGACTTAAACCACTCACAAATATCCCTTTGCAGATTCTACAAGAATTGAGTTTCCAAGCTGCTCAATGAAAAGGAACGTTTACCACTGTGAGGTGAATGCACACATCACAAAGGATTTTCTCAGAAACCTTCTCTTTTGTTTTTATGTGAAGATATTTCCTTTTTCACCATAGGTCTCAAAGTGGTTACAAATATCAATTTGCAGATTCTACAAAAAGACTGTTGCCAAACTGCTCTATCAAAAGAAAGGTTCAACTCTCTGAGATGAATGTGCACATCAGAAAGAAGTTCTCAGAAAGCTTCTGTGTAGTTTTTATGTGGAGATATTTCCTGTTTCACCATAGGCCTCATAACGCTCACACATATCCGTTTGCAGATTCTACAAAAAGACTGTTTCCAATCTGTTCAATCAAAAGAAATGTTCAACACTCTGTGTTGAATGCACACATCATGAAGAAGTTTCTCAGAAAGCTTTGTCTAGTTTGTATTTGAATATACTTCCTTTATCACCATAGGTCTCAAAGTGCTCACAAGTATCCCTTTGCAAATTCTACAAAAAGACTCTTTCCAAACTATTGCATCAAAGGAAAGTTTCAACCCTGTGAGATGAATGCACTCATCACAAAGAAGTTTCTCAGAAATATTCAGTCTAGTTTTAATGTGAAGATATTTCCTTTTTCACCGTATGCTCCAAAGCACTCACAAATATCCCTAAGCAGATTCTACAAGACCAGAGTTTCCAATGTGGTCAATGAAAAGAAACGTTAACCACTGGGAGATGAATGCACACATCACAAAACAGTTTTTCAGACACCTTCTGTCTAGTATTTTGTGAAGATATTCCTTTTTCACCATAGGACTCAAACGGCTCACAAATATTCCCTTGCAGATTCTACAAAACGACTCTTTCCAAAACACTTAATGAAAAGAAAGGATCAACTCTGTGAGATGAATGCACACATCACAAAGAAGTTCATCAGAATGCTCCTCTCTACTTTTTATGTTAAGATATTACCTTTTTCTCCATAGGCCTCAAAGGGCTCACAAATATTCCTTTGCAGATTCTACACTAACAGAGTTCCCAATGTGCTCAATGAAAAGAAAAGTTTACCTCTGTGAGATGAATGAACACATCACAAAGCAGTTTTTCAGAAACGTTCTGTCTAGTTTTTATGTGAAGTTATTTCCTTTTTCAACATAGTTCTCAAAGCACTCACAAATATTCCTTTGCAGGTTACTCAGAAAGACTGTTGTGACACTGCTCAATCAAAAGAAATGTTCAACACTGTGAGATGCATGCACACATCACAAAGAATTTTCTCAGAAATCTTCTACTTCGTTTTTAGTTGAAAGTATTTCTCAAATCTTCTGTCTAGTTTTCCTGTGAAGATGTTTCCTTTTTCAACATAGGCCTTGATGGGCTCACAAATATCCCTTTGGAGACTCTACAAAAAGACTGTTTCCAAACTGTGCAATCAAACGAGATGTTCCACTCTGTGAGATGAATGCACACATCACAAAGAAGTTTCTCAGAAAACTTCTGTCTAGGTTTTATGTGAAGATATTTCCTTTATCACCATAGGCCTCATACCACTCACAAATATCCCTTTGCATATTCTGT
Organism: Homo sapiens; assembly: GCF_000001405.40. Taxonomy (NCBI): domain Eukaryota; kingdom Metazoa; phylum Chordata; class Mammalia; order Primates; family Hominidae; genus Homo; species Homo sapiens. The sequence continues at coordinate 62,591,176 of NC_000007.14, forward strand.
AAAAAGACTGTTTCCAATCTGATGAATCAAAACAAAAATTCAACTCTTTGACAAGAATGCACAGCTCACAAAGAAGTTTCTCAGAAAGTTTCTGTCTAGGTTTTATGTGAAGATATTTCCTTTTTCACCATAGGCCTCAAAGCACTCCCAAATATCCATTTGCAGATTCTACAAAAATACTGTTTCAAAACTGCTCCATCAAAAGAGAGTTTCAACACTGTGAGATGAATGCACACGTTGCAAAGAATTTTCTCAGAAAGCTTCTGCTTCGTTTTTAGGTGAAAATATTTCATTTTTCAACATAGGCCTCAAAGCGCTCAGAAATATCCCTTTCCAGATTCTACAAGAACAGAGTTTCCAATATCCTCAATGAAAAAAGACGTTTACCTCTGTGAGATGAATGCACACATCAAAAAGAAGTTTCTCAGAAGGCTTCTGTCTAGTATATAGGTGAAGATAATTACTTTTTCACCATAGGATTCAAACCACTCAAAAATATCACTTTGCAGATACTAAAAAAAGTCTGTTTGCAAACTGCTCAATCAAAAGTAAGGTTCAACTTTGTGAGATGAATGTACACATCAAAATGAAGTTTATCAGAAAGCTTCTGTCTAGTTTCTATGTGAAGATATTAGCTTTTTCACCATAGTCCTCTAAGCTCTCAAAACTGTCACTTTGGGATTCTACCACAGGACTGTCTCCAAACTGCTCAGTGAAAATAAAGGTTCAACTCTGTGAGATGAATGCACACATCACAAAGAACATTCTCAAAAGCTTCTGTCTAGTTTTCCTGTGAATATATTTCCTTTTTCACCATAGGCCTCAATGGGCTCACTAATATCACTTTGGAGATTCTACAAAAAGACTGTTTCCAAGCTGCTCAATCAAAAGAAAGGTTCAACTCTGTGAGATGAATTCACACATCACAAAGAAGTTTCTCAGAAAAATTCTATCTAGTTTTTACGTGAAGATATTTCCTGTTTCATGATAGGCCTCAAAGCGGTCACTAATATCCTTTTGCAGATTCTACAAAAAGACTGTTTCCAAACTGCTCACAAAAGAATGGATCAACTCTGTGGGATGACTGCACACATCACAGAGAAGTTTCTCAGAAACTTCTGTCTAGCTTTCATGTGAAGATATTCCCTTGTTCACCATAAGCCTCAAACCACTAACAAATATCCCTTTGAAGATTCTACAAAAAGACTTTTTCCAAACTGCTCAATCAAAAGAAAAGTTCAACTCTGTGAGAATGAATGCACACATCACAAAGCAGTTTCTGAGAAAGTTTCTGTGTAGTTTTTATGTGAAGATATTTCCTTTCTCACCAGAGGCCTCAAAGTACTCAGAAATATCCCTTTGCAGATTCTACAAAAAGACTGTTTCCAAACTGCTCAATTTAAAGAAAATTTCAACTCTGTGAGACTAATACAAACATCACAAAGAAGTTTCTCAGAAACTTTCTGTCTAGTTTTTATGTGAAGATAATTCCTTTTTCACCATTGGCCCCAAAGTGCTCACAAATTCCCTTTAAAAATTCTACAAAAAGACTGTTTCCAAACTACTCAACCAAAAGAAATTCAGCTCCATGAGATGAATACACAAATCACAAAGTAGTGTCTCCAAAAGCTCCTGTCCAGTTTTTATGTGAATTTATTTCCTTTTTCCCCATAGGCCTCAAAGCACTCACAAATATCCCTTTGGAGATTCTACAAAAAGACTGTTTCCCAACTTCTCAATCAAAAGAAAGTTTCAACTTTGTGAGATGAATTCACACATCACAAAGACGATTCTCAGGAAGCTCCTGTCTTGTTTTTATGTGAAGATACATCCTTTTTCACCATAGGAATCTAAGCGCTCACAAATATCCCTTTGCAGATTCTACATAAAGACTGTTTCCCAACTGCTCAATCAAAAGAAAAGTTCAACTCTGTCAGATGAGTGCACACGTCAAAGAGAAGTTTCCCAGAATGCTTCTGTCTAGTTTTTATGTGAAGATATATCCTTTTTCACCATAGGCCTCAAAGCACTCACAAATATCCTTTTGCAGATTCTACAAAAAGACTGTCTCCAAACTGTTCAATCAAAAGGAAGGTTCAACTCTCTGAGATGAATTCCCACATCATGAAGAAGTTACTCAAAAGCTTCTGTCTGGTTTTTATGTGAAGATATTTCCTTTTTCACCTTAGGCCTCAAAGTGCTCACAAATACCCCTTTACAGATTCTACAAGAACAGATTTTCCAATCTCTTCAAAGAAAAGCATCATTTAGCTCTGAGAGATGAATGCACACATCACAAAGCAGTTCCACAGAAAACTTCCATCTGGTTTTTATGTGAAGATATTTCATTTTTCACCATTGGCTTCAAACTGCTCAAAAATATCACTTTGCATATTCTAAGAAAAGACTGTTTGCAAACTGCTCAATCAAAAGAAAGATTCAAATCTGTGAGATGAATGCTCACATCAAAAAGAAGTTTCTCAGAAAGCTTCTGTCTAGTTTTTAAGTGAAGTTATTCCCTTTTTCACCATAGGCTTCAAAGTGCTCATAAATATCACTTTGCAGATTCTACAGGAACAGAGTTTCCAATCTACTCAATGAAAAGAAACTTTTAACTCTCTCAGATGAATGCACACATCACAAAGCAGTTTCTCAGAAACCTTCTCTCTAGTTTTTACCTGAAGATATTTCCTTTTTCACCAGAGGCCTCAAAGCACTCAGAATTATCCCTTTACAGATCCTAGAAAAACCAAGTTTCCAATCTTCTCAATGAAAAGAAACAGTTTTTTCTTTTCTTTATTATTGTACTTTAAGTTTCAGGGAATATGTGCACAACCTGCAGGTTTCTTACATATGTATACATTTGCCATGTTCGTGTGCTGCACCCATTAACTCATCATTTATCATTAGGTATATCTCCTAATGTGATCCCTCCCTTCTCACTCAACCCCACAACAGTCCATGGCGTCTGATGTTCCCCTTCCTGTGTCCGTGTGTTCTCATTCTTCAATTCCCACCTATAAGTGAGAACATGCAGTGTTTGGTTTTTTGTCCTTGAGATAGTTTGCTGAGAGTGATGGTTTCCAGCTTCATCCATGTCCCTACAAAGGACATGAACTCATCTTTTTTTATGGTTATGTAGTATTCCATGGTGTATATGTGCCACATTTTCTTAATCCAGTCTATCATTTTTGGACATTTGTGTAGGTTCCAAGCTTTTGCTACTGTGAATAGTGCCACTATAAACATACGTGTGCATGTGTATTTATAGCAGCATGATTTATAATCCTTTGGGTATATACCCAGTAATGGGATGGCTGGGTCAAATGGTATTTCTAGTTCTAGATCCCAGAAGAATCACCACACTGACTTCCACAATGGTTGAACTAGTTTACAGTCCAACCAACAGTGTAAAAGTGTACTAATTTCTCCATATCCTCTCCAGCAACTATTGTTTCCTGACTTTTTAATGATCGACATTCTAACTGGTGTGAGATGGTATCTCATTGTGGTTTTGTTTTGCATTTCTCTGATGGCCATTGACAATGAGCATTTTTTCATGTGTTTTTTGGCTCCATAAATGTCTTCTTTTGAGAAGTGTCGTTTCTTATCCTTCACCCACTGTTTGATGTGGTTGTTTGCTTTTTTCATGTAAATTTGTTTGAGTTCATTGTAGACTCTGGATATTAGCCCTTTCTCAGATGAGTATGTTGCAAAAATTTTCTCCCATTCTGTAGGTTGCCTGTTCACTCTGATGGTAATTTCTTTTGCTGTGCAGAAGCTCTTTAGTTTAATTAGATCCCATTTGTCAATTTTTGCTTTTGTTGCCATTGTTTTTGGCGTTTTAGACATGAAGTCTTTACCCATGTCTATGTCCTGAATGCTATTGCCTAGGTTTTCTTCTACAGTTTTCATGGTTTTAGCTCTATCGTTTAAGTCCATAATCCATCTTGAATTAGTTCTTGTATAAGGTGTAAGGAAGGGATCCAGTTTCAGCTTTCTACATATGGCTAGCCAGTTTTTCCAGCTGCATTTATTAAATAGGCAATCCTTTCCCATTGCTTGTTTTTGTCAGGTTTGTGAAAGATCAGATAGTTGTATATATGTGACATTATTTCTGAAGGCTCTGTTCTGTTCCATTGGTCTATATCTCTGTTTTGGTACCACCACCATGCTGTTTTGATGACTGTAGCCTTGTAATATAGTTTGAAGTTAGGTAGCACGATGCCTGCAGCTTTGTTTTTATGGCTTAGGATTGACTTCCAAATGCAGGCTCTTTTTCGGATCCATATGAATTTCAATGGAAACAACTACTTTAAGGCTTCTGTCTAGTTTTTATGTGAAGATATTGCCTTTTTCACCATAGGCCTCAGAGCAATCAAAAATATCCCTTTGCAGATTCTAGAAGAACAGATTTTCCAAACTGCTCAATGAACAGAAATGATTACCTCTGTGAGGTGAATGCACACATCACAAAGCAGTTTCTCAGAAAGCTTCTTCCTACTTTTATGTGAAGATATTTCCTTTTTCTCAATAGGCCTCAAAGCACTCCCAAATATCCCTTTGCAGATTCCACAAAAAGAATGTTTCCAAACCCCTCAATCAAAAGAATGGTTTGACTCTGTGAGATGAATGCACACATCACAAAGAAATTTCACAGAAAGCTTCTGTCTAGTTTTTATATGAAGATATTTCCTTTTTCACCATAGGCCTCAAAGTACTCCAAAATACCCCATTGTGGATTCTACAAAAAGACTGTTTCCAAACTGCTCAATCAAAAGCCTGGTTCACCTCTGTGAGATGAATGCACACATCACAAACAAGTTTCTCAAAAAGCTTTTGCCTAGTTTTTATGTGAAGATATTTCCTTTTTCACCATGTGACTCAAAGTGCTCTCAAATATCCCTTGGCAGAATCTAGAAGAATAGAGTTTCCTAATTGCTCAATGAAAACAAACGTTTACCTCTGTGAGATGAATGCAAACATCAAAAAGCAGTTTATCAGACAGCTTCTTTCTAGTTTTTATGTGAAGATATTTGCTTTATCACCATAGGCCTCAAAGCCCTCCCAAATATCCCTTTGCAGTTACTACAGAAAGATGGTTTACAAACTGCTCAATCAAAAGAATGGTTCAAATCCAAGAGATGAATGCACACATCACAAAGAAGTTTCTCAGAAAGCTTCTGTCTAGCTTTTATGTGAAGATATTTCCTTTTCAACATAGGCCTCAAAGCACTCACAAATATCCCCTTGCAGTTTCTAGAAGAACAGAGTTTCCAAACTGCTCAATGAAAAGAAACATTTTACCTCTGTGAGTTGAATGCACACATCACATAGCAATTTCTCAGAAATCTTCTTTCTAGGTTTTATGTGAAGATATTTCCTTTATGACCATAGGCCTCAAAGATCTTCCAAATATCCCTTTCCAGATTCTACAAAAAGACTGTTTCCTAACTGCTTAATGAAAGTAATGGTTCAAAACTGTGAGATGAATGAACACATAAAAAAGAATTTTCTCGGAATGCTTCTGTCTACTTTTTATGTGAAGATATTTGCTTTTTCACCATTGGCCTCAAAGCTCTCCCAAATATACCTTTGCAGATTCTACTAAAAGATGGTTTCCAAACTGCTCCATCAAAAGGTTGTTTCAACTCTGAGAGATGAAGGCACACATCACAAAGAACTTTCTCAGAAAGCTTCTGTCTAGTTTTTATGTGAAGATATTTCCTTTTCACCATACATCTCAAAGTGCTCAAAAATATCCCTTTTCAGATTCTGCAAGAAGAGAGTTTCCAAACTGATCAATGAAAAGAAACGTTTACCTCTGTGAGATGGGTGCACAGATCAAAAAGCCGTTTCTCAGAAAGCTTCTTTCTAGTTTTTATGAGAAGATATTTCTTTTTTCACAATAAGCCTAAAAATACTCCCAAATATCACTTTGCAGATTCTACAAAATGCCTGCCTCCAAACTGCTCTATCAAAAGAGGGATTCAAATCTGTAAGATGAATGCACCCATCACAAAGAAGTTTCTCAGAAAGCTTCTGTCTAGTTTTTATGTGAAGACATTTCATTTTTCAGCATAGGCCTCAAAGCACTCACAAATATCTTACTACAGATTCCAGAAGAGCAGAGTTTCCAAACTGCTTGATGAGAAGAAACGTTTAACTCTCTTAGATGAATACACACATCACAAAGCAGTTTCTCAGAAATCTTCTTTCCAGTTTTAATGTGAAGATATTTCCTTCTTCACCATAGGTCTCAATGCACTTCCAAATATCCCTTTATAGATTATACAAAAAGACTGTTTCCAAACTGCTCAATCAAAACAATGGTTCAACTCTGAGAAACGTATGCACACATCAGAAAGAAGCTTGTCAGAAAGCTTCTGTCTAGTAATTATGTGAAGATATTTCCTTTTTCAAAATAAGCCCAAGAGCGCTCACAAATATCCCTTTGAAGATTCTAGAATAACAGATTTTCCACACTGCTCAATGAAAATAAACGTTTACCTGTGTGAGATGAATGCACAGATCACAACGGAGTTTCTCCAGAAGCTTCTGTCTACTTTTTATGTGAAGTTATTTCTTTTTTCACCATAGGTTCCAAGGCATTCCAAATATTGCTTTGCAGATTCTACAAAAAGACTCTTTCCAAACTGCTCAATCAGAAGAATCTTTCAACTATGTGAGATGAATGCATACATCAAATAGAAGTTCCTCAGAAAGCTACTGTCTAGTTTTTATGTGAAGATATTTCCTTTTCACCATAGGCCTTAAACCGCTAACAAATGTCCCTTTGCAGATTCTACAAAAAGACTATCCAAACTGCTCAATCAAAAGTATGGTTCAATTCCATGAAATGAATGCACACATCACAAAGAAGTTTCTAAGTAGCTGCCATCTAGTTTTTTGGTGAGGATATATCCTTGTTCACCATATTCCTCAAAGTGTTCCTAAATATCCCATTGCAGATTCTAGAAGAACAGAGATTCCAAACTGCTCATTGAAAGAAAACGTTTATGTCTGTGAGATGAATGCATACATAACAAGCGGTTTCTCAGAAAACTTCCTTCTACTTTTTATGTGAAGATATTTCTCTTTTTTCCATAGACCTCAAAGTGATCCCAAACGTCCCTTTGCAGATTTTACAAGAAGACTTTTTCCAAACTGCTCAATCAAAAGTGTGGTTCAATTCCGTGAGATGAATGCACACATCACAAAGCAGTTTTTCAGAAAGCTTTTGTCTAGTTTTTATGTGAAGATATTTCCTTTTATACTATGTGGCTCAAAGCACCCACTAATATCCCTTTGCACATTCTAGAAGAACAGAGTTTCCAAACTGCGCAATGAAAAGAAATGTTTACCTCCGTAACATGAATGCACACATCACAAAGCAGGTTGTCAGGTTTCTTTCTCGTTTTTATGTGAAGATATTTCGTTTTTTCACCATAGGTTTCACAGCACTCCCAAATATAACTTTGCATGTTCTACAAAAATTGTGTTTCTAAATTGCTCAATCAAAAGAATGGTTCAACTCAGTAAGATGAATACACATATCACAAAGATGTTTCTCATAAAGCTTCTGTCTAGTTTTTATGTGAAGATATTTCCTTTTTCACCATAGTCCCCAAAGCACTCAAAAATATCCCTTTGCTGATTATGCAGGAAGAGAGTTTCCAAATGCTCAATCAGAAGAATGGTTCAACTCTGTGAGATAAATGCAGACATTACAAAGCAGTTTCTCAGAAAGCTTCTTTCCAGTTTTTCTGTAAAGATATTGCCTTTTTTCTGCATAGTCCACAAAGCGTTCCAAATATCCCTTTGCAGATTCTAAAAAAAGATGGTTTCCAAACTGTTGAATCAATAGTATGGTTCACATCTGTGAGATGAAGGCACACATCAGAAAGAAGTTTCTCAGGAAGCTTCTGTCCAGTTTTTTTTTCTTTTTATTGATCATTCTTGGGTGTTTCTTGCAGAGGGGTATTTGGCAGGGTCATAGGACAATAGTGGAGGGAAGGTCAGCAGATAAACAAGTGAACAAAGGTCCCTGGTTTTCCTAGGCAGAGGACCCTGTGGCCTTCTGCAGTGTTTGTGTCCCTGGGTACTTGAGATTAGGGAGTGGTGATGACTCTTAACGAGCATGCTGCCTTCAAGCATCTGTTTAACAAAGCACGTCTTGCACCGCCCTTAATCCATTTAACCCTGAGTGGACACAGCACATGTTTCAGAGAGCACAGGGTTGGGGGTAAGGTCATAGATCAACAGGATCCCAAGGCAGAAGAATTTTTCTTAGTACAGAACAAAATGAAAAGTCTCCCATGTCTACTTCTTTCTACACAGACACAGCAACCATCCGATTTCTCAATCTTTTCCCCACCTTTCCCCCTTTTCTATTCCACAAAATCACCATTGTCATCATGGCCCGTTCTCAATGAGCTGTTGGGTACACCTCCCAGATGGGGTGGTGGCTGGGCAGAGGGGTTCCTCACTTCCCAGTAGGGACAGCCAGGCAGAGGTGCCCCTCACCTCCTGGACGGGGCAGCTGGCTGGGTGGGGGGCTGACCACCCACCTCCCTCCCAGATGGGGCGGCTGGGCTGGTGGGGGCTGACCCCCCAACTCCCTCCCGGATGGGGCGGCTGACCTGGCGGGGGCTGACCCCCACCTCCCTCCCAGATGGGGTGGCTGCCGGGTGGAGACGCTCCTCACTTCCCAGATGGGGCAGATGCTGGGCGGAGGGGCTCCTCCCTTCTCGGACAGGGCGGCTGCCGGGCGGAGGGTCTCCTCACTTCTCAGATGGGGCGGCCGGGCAGAGACGCTCCTCACCTCCCAGACGGGGTCGTGGCCAGGCAGAGGTGCTGCTCACATCCCAGACGGGGCAGTGGGGCAGAGATGCTCCTCACTTCCTAGATGGGATGGCGGCTGGGAAGAGGCGTTCCTCACTTCCTAGATGGGATGGCGGCCGGGCAGAGATGGTCCTCACTTTCCATAACGGGCAGCCAGGCAGAGGGGCTCCTCACATCCCAGATGATGGGCAGCCAGGCAGACAGGCTCCTCACTTCCCAGACGGGGTGGCGGCTGGGCAGAGGCTGCAATCTCGGCACTTTGGGAGGCCAAGGCAGGCGGCTGGGAGGTGGAGGTTGTAGTGAGCTGAGATCTCGCCACTGCACTCCAGCCTGGGCACCATTGAGCACTGGGTGAACGAGACTCCGTCTGCAATCCTGGCACCTCGGGAGGCTGAGGCTGGCGGATCACTCATGGTTAGGAGCTGGAGACCAGCCCGGCCAACACAGCAAAACCCCGTCACCACCAAAAAAATAGGAAAACCAGTCAGGTGTGGCGGCATGTGCCTGCAATCACAGGCACTCGGCAGGCTGAGGCAGGGGAATCAGGCAGGGAGGTTGCAGTGAGCCGAGATGGCAGCAGTACAGTCCAGCTTCAGCTCAGCATCAGAGGGAGACTGTGGAAAGAGAGGGAGAGGGAGACCGTGGGGAGAGGGAGAGGGAGGAGAGGGAGAGGGAGAGGGGGAGCGCTTCTGTCTAGTTTTTATGTGAAGATATTTCCTATTTCACCAAAGGCCCCAAAGGGCTCATATATATCCCTTTGCAGATTCCAGAAGAATGGCATTTCCAAACTGCTCAATGAAAAGTAACATTTACCTGCATGAGATGAATGCACACATCACAAAGAAGTTTATCAGAAAGCTTCTTTCCAGTTTTCCTGTGAAGATATTTCCTTTTTTCAGTCTAGGCCACAAAGCATTCTAAATATCCCTTTGCAGATTCTAAAAAAAGATGGTTTCCAAACTGTTGAATCAATAGAATGGTTCAAATCTGTGAGATGAATGCACACATCAGAAAGAAGTTTCTCTGGAAGCTTCTGTCTAGTTTTTATGTGAAGATATTTCCTATTTCACCAAAGGCCTCAAAGCATTCATATATATCCCTTTGAAGATTCCAGAAGAACAGTGTTTCCAAACTGCTCAATGAAAAGCAACATTTACCTGTGTGAGGTGAATGCACACATCACAAAGCCGTTTCTCAGAAAGCTTCTGTCTAGTTTTTATGTGAAGATATTTCCTTTTTTCACCATATTCCTCAAAGCGTTCCCAAATATTCCTTTGCAGATTCCGTGAAAAGACAGTTTCCAAACTGCTCAATCAAAAGAATGGTCCAAATCTGTGAGATGAATGCACACATCACACAGGAGTTTCTCAGAAAGCTTCTGTCTAGTTTTTATGTGAAGATGTTTCCTTTTTCACCATAGGCTTCAAAGCGCTCCCAAATATCCCTTTGCAGTTGCTACAAAAACATGATTTCCAAACTGTTCAATCAAAAGAATGGTTCAACTCTGAGAGATGAAGAAACATATCACAAAAAGTTTCTCAGAAAGCTTCTGCCCAGTTTTTACGTGAAGATATTTCCTTTTTCACCATAGGCCTCAAAGCACTCACAAATATCCCTTTGCAGATTCTAGAAGAAGTGAGTTTCCAAACTGCTCAATGAAAAGAAACATTTATCTCTGTGATATATATGCAATCATCACAAAGCTGTTCCTTAGAAATCTTCTTTTTACTTTTTATGTGAAGATATTTCCTTTTTCACCATTGGCCTCAAAGTGCTCCCAAATATCTGTTGGCAAATTCTACAAAAAGATGCCTCCCATTCTGGTCAATCAAAATAATGGTTCAACCCTGTGAGATGAAAGCACACATAACAAAGAAGTTTCTCAGAAATCTTCTATTTTTTATGTGAAGATATTTCTTTTTTCACCATAGGCCTCAAAGCAATTCCAAATGTCCCATTGGACTTTCTACAAAAAAGTGGTTCCAAACCGCTCAACAAAAAGGATGGCTCAACTCTGTGAGATGAATGCACACATCCCAAAGCAGTTTCTCACAAATTTTCTGACTAGTTTGTGATGGAAGATATTGTTTTTTCCATCTCAGGCCTCCATGTTAATGCTAATATCCCTTCCCAGATTCTAAAAACACTGTGCTTCCAAACTGCTCAATCAAAATTATGGTTCAACACTGTGAGATGAATGAACACATTACAAAGAAGTTTCTCAGATAGCTTCTGTGTAGTTTTTATGTGAAGACATTTCCTTTTTCAATGTAGGCCACAAAACACTAAAAAATATCCCTTTACAGATTCTAGAAAAACAGAGTTTACAAAATGCTCAATGAAAAGAAACTTTTACATCTGTGAGATGGATGCACACATCATAAAGCTGTTTCTCAGAATGCCTCTTTCTAGTTCTTTTTTTTAAGGTTTTTTTTCTTTTATTATGATACTTTAAGTTTTAGGGTACATGTGTACAATGTGCAGGTTAGTCATATATGTATACATGTGTCATGCTGGTGTGCTGCACCCACTAACTTGTCATCTAGCATTAGGTATATCTCCCAATGTTATCCCTCCCCCCACACCCACCCCACAACAGTCCCCAGAGTGTGATGTTCCCCTTCCTGTGTCCATGTGATCTCATTGTTCAATTCCCACCTACGAGTGAGAATATGCAGTGTTTGGTTTTTTGTTCTTGTGATAGTTTACTGAGAATGATGATTTCCAATTTCATCCATGTCCCTACAAAGGACATGAACTCATCATTTTTATGGCTGCATAGTATTCCATGGTGTATATGCACCACATTTTCTTAATCCAGTCTATCATTGTTGGACATTTGGGTTGGTTTCAAGTCTTTGCTATCGTGAAAAATGCTGCAATAAACATACGTGTACATGTGTCTTTATAGCAGCATGATTTATAGTCATTTGGGTATATACCCAGTAATGGGATGGCTGGGTCAAATGGTATTTCTAGTTCTAGATCCCTGAGGAATCGCCACACTGACTTCCACAAGGGTTGAACTACTTTACAGTCCCACCAACAGTGTAAAAGTGTTCCTATTTCTCCACATCTTCTCCAGCACCTGTTGTCTCCTGACTTTTTAATGATTGCCATTCTAACTGGTGTGAGATGGTATCTCATTGTGGTTTTGATATGCATTTCTCTGATGGCCAGTGATGATGAGCATTTTTTCATGTGTTTTTTGGCTGCATAAATGTCTTCTTTTGAGAAGTGTCTGTTCATGTCCTTTGCCCACTCTTTGATGGGGTTGTTTGTTTTTTTCTTGTAAATTTGTTTGAGTTCATTGTAGATTCTGGATATTAGCCTTTTGTCAGATGAGTAGGTTGTGAAAATTTTCTCCCATTTTGTAGGTTGCCTGTTCACTCTGATGGTAGTTTCTTTTGCTGTGCAGAAGCTCTTTATTTTAATTAGATCCCATTTGTCAATTTTGTCTTTTGTTGCCATTGCTTTTGGTGTTTTAGACATGAAGTCCTTGCCCATGCCTATGTCACACATAGGCTCACAATAAAAGGATGGAGGAAAATCTACCAAGCAAATGGAAAACAAAAAAAGGCAGGGGTTGCAATCCTAGTCTCTGATAAAACAGACTTTAAACCAACAAAGATCAAAAGAGATGAAGAAGGTCATTACATAATGGTAAAGGGATCAATTCAACAAGAAGAGCTAACTATCCTAAATATATATGCACCCAACACAGGAACACCCAGATTCATAAAGCAAGTCCTGAGTGACCTACAAAGAGACTTAGACTCCCATAAATTAATAATGGGAGACTTTAACACCCCACTGTCAACATTAGACAGATCAACGAGACAGAAAGTCAACAAGGATACCCAGGAATTGAACTCAGCTCTGCACCAAGCTGACCTAATAGACATCTACAGAACTCTCCACCCCAAATCAACAGAATATACATTTTTTCAGCACCACACCACACCTATTCCAAAATTGACCACATAATTGGAAGTAAAGCTCTCCTCAGCAAATGTAAAAGAACAGAAATTATAACAAACTATCTCTCAGACCACAGTGCAATCAAACTAGAACTCAGGATTAAGAATCTCACTCAAAACCACTCAACTACATGGAAACTGAACAACCTGCTCCTGAATGACTACTGGGTACAAAATGAAATGAAGGCAGAAATAAAGCTGTTCTTTGAAACCAAGGAGAACAAAGACACAACATACCAGAATCTCTGGGACACATTCAAAGCGGTGTGTAGAGAGAAATTTATAGCACTAAATGCCCACTAGAGAGAGCAGGAAAGATCCAAAATTGACACCCTAACATCACAATTAAAAGAACTAGAAAAGCAAGAACACACACATTCAAAAGCTAGCAGAAGGCAAGAAATAACTAAAATCAGAGCAGAACTGAAGGAAATAGAGACACAAAAAACCTTTCAAAAAATTAATGAATCCAGGAGCTGGTTTTTTGAAAGGGTCAACAAAATAGATAGACCGCTAGCAAGACTAATTAAAAAAAAGAGAGAAGAATCAAATAGATGCAATAAAGAATGCTAAAGGGGACATCACCACCGATCCCACAGAAATAAAAACTACCATCAGACAATACTACAAACACCTCTACACAAATAAACTACAAAATCTAGAAGAAATGGATAAATTCCTTGACACATATGCTCTCCCAAGACTAAACCAGGAAGAAGTTGAATCTCTGAATAGACCAATAACAGGATCTGAAATTGTGGCAATAATCAATAGCTTGCCAACTAAAAAGAGTCCAGGACCAGACGGATTCACAGCCGAATTCTACCAGAGGTAGAAGGAGGAACTGGTACCATTCCTTCTGAAACTATTCCAATCAATAGAAAAAGAGGGAATCCTCCCTAACTCATTTTATGAGACCAGCATCATTCTGATACAAAAGCAAGGCAGAGACACAACAGAAAAAGAGAATTTTAGACCAATATCTTTGATGAACATTGATGCAAAAATTCTCAATAAAATACTGGCAAACCGAATCCAGAAGCACATCAAAAAGCTTATCCACCATGATCAAGTGGGCTTCATCCCTGGGATGCAAGGCTGCTTCAATATACGCAAATCAATAAGTTTAATCCAGCATATAAACAGAGCCAAAGACAAAAACCACATGATTATCTCAATAGATGCAGAAAAGACCTTTGACAAAATTCAACAACCTTCATGCTAAAATCTCTCAATAAATTAGGTATTGATGGGACGTATTTCAAAATAATAAGAGCTATCTATGACAAACCCACAGCCAATATCATACTGAATAGGCAAAAACTGGAAGCATTCCCTTTGAAAACTGGCACAAGACAGGGATGCCCTCTCTCACCACTCCTATTCAACATAGTGTTGGAAGTTCTGGCCAGGGCAATTAGGCAGGAGAAGGAAATAAACGGTATTCAGTTAGGAAAAGAGGAAGTCAAATTGTCCCTGTTTGCAGACGACATGATTGTATATCTAGAAAACCCCATTGTCTAAGCCCAAAATCTCCTTAAGCTGATAAGCAACTTCAGCAAAGTCTCAGGATACAAAATCAATGTACAAAAATCACAAGCCTTCTTATGCACCAACAACAGACAAACAGAGAGCCAAATCATGAGTGAACTCCCATTCACAATTGCTTCAAAGAGAATAAAATACCTAGGAATCCAACTTACAAGGGATGTGAAGGACCTCTTCAAGGAGAACTACAAACCACTGCTCAAGGAAACAAAAGAGGATACAAACAAATGGAAGAATATCCCATGTTCATGGGTAGGAAGAATCAATATCGTGAAAATGGCCATACCGCCCAAGGTAATTTATAGATTCAATGCCATCCCCATCAAGCTACCAATGTCTTTCTTCACCGAATTGGAAAAACCTACTTTAAAGTTCATATGGAACCAAAAAAGAGCCTGCATCACCAAGTCAATCCTAAGCCAAAAGAACAAAGCTGGAGGCATCACACTACCTGACTTCAAACTTTACTACAAGGCTACAGTAACCAAAACAGCATGGTACTGGTACCAAAACAGAGATATAGATCAATGGAACAGAACAGAGCCCTCAGAAATAATGCTGCATATCTACAACTACCTGATTTTTGACAAACCTGAGAAAAACAAGCAATGGGGAAAGGATTCCCTATTTAATAAATGGTGCTGGGAAAATTCTCTAGCTGTACGTAGAAAGCTGAAACTTGATCCCTTCCTTACACCTTATACAAAAATCAATTCAAGATGGATTAAAGACTTAAACGTTAGACCTAAAACCATAAAAACCCTAGAAGAAAATCTAGTTCTTATATGACAGTATTTCCTTTTTCCCCATAGGCTTCAAATCACTCCCAAATATACCTTTGTAGATTCCATGAAAAGACGTTTTCCAAACTGCTCAATCAAAAGAAGTGTTCACCTCTGTGAGATGAATGCACACGTCACAAAAAAGTTTCTCAGAAAGCTTCTGTCAAGTTTGTGTCAGAAGATATTATTATATCCACCTCAGGCCTCTATGCTAATGCAAATATCCCTTCGCAGATTCTACACACACTGTGCTTCCATACTGCTCAATCAAAAGATTGGTTCAATTCTGTGAGATGAATGCACACATTACAAAGAATTTTCTGAGATAGCTTCTGTCTAGTTTTTATGTGAAGATATTTCCTTTTTCACCATAGGCCTCAAAGCACTCGCAAATATCCCTTTGCTGATTCTAGAAGAACAGAATTTCCAAACTGCTCAATGGAAAGAAGTGTTTACCTCTGTGAGATGAATGCAAACGTCACAAAGAAGTTTCTCAGAATGCTTCTGTCTAGTTTTTTTGTGAAGATATTTCCTATTTCACCATAGGCCTCAAAGTGGTCCCAAATATCCCCTTCTAGATTCTACAAAGAGATGGTTTCCAAACTGCTCTATCAAAGAATGGTTCAACTCTGTCAGATGTACACACACATCAAAAAGAAGTTTCTCAGAAAGCTTCTGTCTAGTTTTTATGTGAAGATATTTCCTTTTTCACTGGAGGCCTAAAAGTGCTCACCAATATCCCTTTGCAGTTAATAGAAGAACAGAGTTTCCAAACTGCACAATGAAAAGAAATGTTCATCTGTGTGAGATGAATGCACACATCACAAAGCAGTTTCTCAGGAAGCTTCTTATTAGTTTTTATGTGAAGACATTTTCTTTTTCATCATAGGCCTCAATGCACTCCCAAATATAACTTTGCAGCATCTATAGAAAGACTGTTTATGAAAAGAATGGTTCAACTCTGTGAGATGAATGCACACATCACAAAGAAGTTTTTCAGAAAGTTTCTGTCTAGTTTCTAAGTGAATATATTTCCTTTTTCACCGTAGGCCTCACAGTGTTCAAAAATATCCCTTTGAAGATTCTAGATTCTAGAAGACCAGGTTTTCCAAACTGCTCAATGAAAAGAAACTTTTACATCTGTGAGGTGAATGCACACATCACAAACAGTTTCTTTTTTTTTTTTTATTATACTTTAAGTTTTAGGATACATGTGCACCTTGTGCAGGTTAGTTACATATGTATATATGTGCCATGTTGGTGCGCTGCACCCACTAACTCGTCATCTAGCATTAGGTATATCTCCCAATGCTATCCCTCCCCCCTCCCCCCACCCCGCCACAGTCCCCAGAGTGTGATATTCCCCTTCCTGTGTCCATGTGATCTCATTGTTCAACTCCCACCTATGAGTGAGAATATGCGGTGTTTGGTTTTTTGTTCTTGTGATAGTTTACTGAGAATGATGATTTCCAATTTCATCCATGTCCCTACAAAGGACATGAACTCATCATTTTTTATGGCTGCATAGTATTCCATGGTGTATATGTGCCACATTTTCTTAATCCAGTCTATCATTGTTGGACATTTGGGTTGGTTCCAAGTCTTTGCTATTGTGAATAATGCCGCAATAAACATACGTGTGCATGTGTCTTTATAGCAGCATGATTTATAGTCATTTGGGTATATACCCAGTAATGGGATGGCTGGGTCAAACGGTATTTCTAGTTCTAGATCCCTGAGGAATCGCCACACTGACTTCCACAATGGTTGAACTAGTTTACAGTCCCACCAACAGTGTAAAAGTGTTCCTATTTCTCCACATCCTCTCCAGCACCTGTTGTTTCCTGACTTTTTAATGATTGCCATTCTAACTGGTGTGAGATGGTATCTCATAGTGGTTTTCATTTGCATTTCTCTGATGGCCAGTGATGGTGAGCATTTTTTCATGTGTTTTTTGGCTGCATAAATGTCTTCTTTTGAGAAGTGTCTGTTCATGTCCTTCGCCTACTGTTTGATGGGGTTGTTTGTTTTTTTCTTGTAAATTTGTTTGAGTTCATTGTAGATTCTGAATATTAGCCCTTTGTCAGATGAGTAGGTTGCGAAAATTTTCTCCCATTTTGTAGGTTGCCTGTTCACTCTGATGGTAGTTTCTTTTGCTGTGCAGAAGCTCTTTAGTTTAATTAGATCCCATTTGTCAACAAACAGTTTCTAAGAAAGCTTCTTTCTAGTTTTTATAGGAAGATATTTCCTTTTTCACCATAGGATTCAAAGCACTCACAAATATCCCTTTGCAGATTCTACAAAAGACTGTACCCAAACAGCTCCATCAAAAGGATGCTTCAACTCTGTGAGTTGAATGCATACATCAAAAAGAAATTTCTCAGAAAGCTTCTATCTGGTTGTTACATGAAGATATTTCCTTTTTCACCCTAGGCCTCAAAGCACTCCAAATATCCATTTGCAGATTCTACAAAAAGACTGTTTCTAAACTGCTCAATCAATAGAAAGGTAAAACTCTGTGATATGAAAGCACACATCACAAAGAAGTTTCTCAGAATGCTTCTGTATAGTTTTTATGTTAAGATATTTCCTTTTTCACCATAGGCCTCCAATCTCTCACAAATATCCCTTTGCTGATTCTAGAAGAAAAGAGATTCCAAACTGCTCAATGGAAAGAAACCTTTCCCTCTGTGAGATGAGTGCACTCATCCCAAAGTAGTTTCTTGGAGAGCTTCTGTCTAGTTTTTATGTGAAGATAGTTCCTTTTTCACCATCACCCTCAAAGCGCTCCCAAATATCCCTTTGCAGATTCTACAAAAAAAAAAATGATTTCCACACTGCTCAATCAATGATGGTTCAACCCTGTGAGATGTATGCATACACCCCAAAGAAGTTTCTCAGATTGTTTCTGTCTAGTTTTTATGTGAAGTTATTTCCTTTTTCACCATAGGCCTCAAAGCACTCAAAAATATCCCTGTGGAGATCCTCAAAGAACAGAGTTTCCAAACTGCTCAATGAAAAGAAAGGTTTACCTCTATGAGATGAATGCACACATCCCAAAGCAGTTTATCAGAAAGCGTTTTTCTAGTATTTATGTGAAGATATTTCTTTTTTCACCATATTCCTCAAAGTGTTCCCAAATATCCCTTTGCAGATTCTACAAAAAGACATTTACCCAACTACTCAATCAAAAGAATAGTTCAACTCTGAGAGATGATTGCACACATCACAAAGATGTTTCTCAAAGAGCTTCTGTCCAGTTTTTATGTGAAGATGTTTCCTTTTTCACCATAGGCCTCAAAGAACTCTCAAATATCTCTTTGCAGTTCTAGAAGAACAGAGATTCCAAGCTGCTCGATGAAAGGAAACGTTTACCTCTATGAGATGAATGCACACATCACAAAGCTGTTTCTCAGAAAGCTTCTTTCTAGTTTTTATGTGAAGATATTTCCTTTTTTCACAATAGGCCTCCAAGCACTCCCAAATATCCCTTTTCAGATTCTTCAAAAAGACTGTTTCCAAACTGCTCATTCAAAGGTATGTTTCACCTATCTGAGATGAATGCACACATCACAAAGAAGTTTCTCAGAAAGCTTCTGTCTACTTTTTATGTGAAGATATTTCCTTTTCACCATAGGCCTCAAAGCACTTACAAATGTGCCTTTGCAGATTCTACAAAAAGACGGTTTCCAAACTGCTCAATCAAAGGTGTGGTTCAACTCTGTGAGATGAATGCACACATCACAAAAAGTTTCTCAGAAAGCTTCTGTCTAGATTTTCCATGAAGATATTTCCTTTTTCACCATAGGGCCTCAAAGTGCTCACAAATATCTCTTGGCAGATTCTAGAAGAACAGATTTTGTAAACTTCTCAATGAAAAGAAAAATTTACCTCTGTGAGATGAATTCATGCATTACAGAGCAGTTTCTCAGAAAGCTTCTTTCTAGTTTTTATGTGGAGATATTTCCTTTTTCACCATAGGCTTCAAAGTGTTCCGAAATATCTCTTTGCAGATTCTACAAAAAGACTGTTTCCAAATGGCTCAATCAAATGAATGCTTCAACTCTTTGAGATGAATGCAAGCATCACAAAGAAGTTTCTCAGAAAGCTTCTGGCTAGTTTTTATGTGAAGATATTTCCTTTTTCACTGTAGGGCTCAAAGCGCTCTGAAATATCCCTTTGCAGTTTCCACAAAAATGTTGTTTAAAAAATGCTCCATCAAAGAAAGTTTTACTCTGTGAGATGAA
Source organism: Homo sapiens (assembly GCF_000001405.40). NCBI lineage: Eukaryota > Metazoa > Chordata > Mammalia > Primates > Hominidae > Homo > Homo sapiens. Next base: position 62,610,577 of record NC_000007.14, read on the forward strand.
TGCTCATATCAGAAAGCAGTTTCTCAGAAAGCTCCTTTCTGTTTTCTATGTAAGGATATTTCCACTTTCACCATAAGACTCAAAGGGCTCCCAAATATCCCTTTGCAGATTCTACAAAAACAGTGGTTCCGAGCTGCTCCATCAAAATAATGGTTCAAATCTGTGACATGAATGCACACATCACAAAGCATTCTCTAAGAAAACTTGTGTCTAGTTTGTATCAGAAGATATTTCCTTATTCACCACAGGCCTCCATGCAAATCAAAATATCACTTCACAGATTCTACAAACACTGTGTTTCCAAACTGTTCAATCAAAAGATTGGTTCAGCTCTGTGAGATACATACAAAAATCACAAAGCAGTTTCTCAGAAACTCTCTTTCTGGTGTTTATTGGAAGATATTTCCTTTTTCACCATAGTCCTCAATGCTCTCCCAAATATCCCTTTGCAGATTCTAGAAGAACAGTTTCCAAACTGCTCAATGAAAAGAAACTCTGTGAGATGAATGCACATATCTCAAAGCAGTCTCCCAGAAAGCTTCTCTCTACTTTGTATCAGAAGATATTTCCTTTTTCACCATAGACCTAAAAGCAAATCCAAATACCCCTTGGCAGATTCTTCAAACCCTGTGTTTCCAAACAGCTCAATCAAAAGAATGGTTTAACTCTGTGAGATGAATGCACAGATCACAGAGCAGTTTCTAAGAAAGCTTTTTTCTAGTTTTTATGTGAGGATATTTCATTTCTCACTATAGACCTCTAAGCACTCACAGATATCCCTTTGCAGATTCTAGAAAAACAGTGGTTCCAATATGCTCAATCAAAACAATGGTTCAACTCTGTGAGATGGATGCACACATCACAAAGCAGTTTTTCAGAAACTCTCTTTCTAGTTTGTATCAGAAAATATTTCCTCTTTCACCATAGGCCTCTATGCTTTCCCAAATATCCTTTTGCAGATTCTAGAAGAACAGAGTTTCCAAACTGCTCAATGAAACTAAACGTATAACTCTCTGGGATGAATGCACACATTGCAAAGCATTCTCTCAGAAAGCTTCTGTCTAGTTTGTTTCTGAAGATATTTCCTTTTTCACCACAGACTTCCATGTGAATCAAAATTTCCCTTTGCAGATTCTACAAACACTGTGTTTCCAAATTGCTCAATCAAAATTATGGTTCAACTCTGTGAGTTGAATGCCCACATCACAAAGAAGTTTCTCAGAAACTCTCTTTCTAGTTTGTATCAGAAGATAATTCCTTTTTCACCATAAGCCTTAATGTGCTCCCTGATATCCCTTTGCAGCTTCTAGAAGAAAGAGTTTCCAAACAGCTCAATGAGAAGAAACGTTTTACTCTGTGAGATGAAAGCACTCATCACAAAGCAGTCTCTCAGAAAGATTCTGTCTAGTTTGTATCAGAAGATATTTCCTTTTTCCCCATAGCCCTCAAGGCAAATCCAAGTATCCCTTCACGGATTCTTCAAACACTGTGTTTCCAAACTGCTCAATCAAAAGAATGGTTTAACTCTGTGAAATGAACGTACAGATCAGAAAGCAGTTTCTAAGAAAGGTCCTTCCTAGTTTTTGTGTGAGGATATTTACTTTTTCTTCATAGAACTCAAAGTGTTCACAAATATCCTTTTGTGGATTCTAGAAAACCAGTGGTTCCAAACTGCTCAATCAAAAGAAAGGTTCAACTCTGTGATAGGAATGAAAACATCAAGAAGCAGTTTCTCAGAAAGCTTCCTTCTAGTTTTTAGGTGAAGATATTTCCTTTTTTAACATAGGCTTGAAAGCCCTCCAAAATATCCCTTTGCAGATTCTACAAAAATGGTGTCTCCAAAATGCTCCATCAAAAGAAATTTTAAAGTCTGTGAGATGAATGCTCATATCTCAAAGCAGTTTTTCAGAAAGCTCCTTTTTAGTATTTATGTAGGATATTTCCTTTTTCACCATAAGACTCAAAAGGCTCCCAAATATCAATTTGCAGATTCTTCAAAAACAGTTTCCAAACAGCTCCATCAAAAGAGTGGTTTAACTCTGTGAGATGAATGCATACATCACAAAGCAGTCTCTCAGAAAGCTTCTGACTAGTTTGCATCTCTAGATATTTCCCTTTTCACCACAGGTTCCATGCGAAAAGTAATATCTCTTCAAAGATTCTACAAACACTGTGTTTCCAAACTGCTCAATCAAAAGAATGGTTAAACTCTGTGAGATGAATGCACACACCACAAAGCAGTTTCTCAGAAACTCTCTTTCTACTTTCTATTGAAAGATATTTCCTTTTCACCTTAAGCCTCAATGCTCTCCCAAATATCCCTTTGCAGATTATAGAAGAGCAGAATTTCCAAACTGCTCAATGAAAAGAAACGTTTAACTCTGTGAGATGAATGCACACATTACAAAGCAGTCTCTCTGGAACCTTCTGTCTAGCTTGTATTGGTAGATATTTCCTTTTTCACCATAGGCCTCAATGCACTCCCAAATATCCCTTTCCAGATTCTACAAAAACAGAGTTTCCAAACTGCTCTATGAAAAGAAATGTTTAACTCAGTGAGATGAATGCACACATCGCAAAGCAGTCTCTCAGAAAGCTTCTGTCTAGCTTGTATCAAAAGATATTTCCTTTGTCACTGTAGGCCTCAAGGTGAATCTAAATATCCCCTCACAGATTCTTCAAACACTGTGAAACTGCTCAATCGAAAGAATGGTTTAGCTTTCTGAGATGAACACAGATATCACAAAGCAGTTTCTAAGAAAGCTCCTTTCTAGTTTTTATGTGAAGATATTTCCTTTTTCAGTATAGACCTCAAAGTGCTCATATATCCCTTTACAGATTCTAGAAAAGCAGAGGTTCTAAACTGCTCAATCAAAAGAATGGTTCAACTCTGTGAGAGGAATGCACACATCATGAAGCAGTTTCTCAGAAACCTTCCTTCGAGTTTTTAGGTGAAGGTATTTCCCTTTTCACCATAGGCATGAAAGTGCTCTGAAATATCCCTTTGCAGATTCTACAAAAACGGTGTTTCCAAAATGCTCCATCAAAAGAAAGCTTTAACTCTGTGAAATGAATGCACACAACACAAAGCAGTTTCTTAGAAAGCTCCTTTCTAGTTTTTATGTGAGGATATTTTCTTTTTCACCATAGGCTTGAAAGCACTCTGAAATATCCCTTTGCAGATTCCACAAAAACAGTGGTTCTAAACTGCTCCATCAAAAGAATGGTTCAACTCTGTGAGTTGAATGCACACATCACAAAGCAGTCTCTCAGGAAGCTTCTGTCTAGTTTGTATGAGAAGATGTTTCCTATTTCACCACAGGCCTCCATGTGAATCCGAATATCCCTTTGCAGTTTCTACAAACACTGTTTCCAAACTGCTCAATCGAAAGAATGGCTCAACTCTGTGATATGAATGCACACATCACAAAGCAGTTTCTCAGAAACTCTCTCATTTGTATTGGAAGATATTTCCTTTTTCGCCATAGGCCTCAATGCACTCTGAAATATCCCTTTGCAGATTCTAGAAGAAAAGAGTTTCCAAACTGCTCAATGAAAAGAAACACTTAACTCTGTGAGAAGAATGCACACATTGCAAAGCAGTCTCTCAGAAAGCTTCTGTCTAGTTTGTAACAGAAGGTATTTCCTTTGTTACCATAGGTCTTAAGGTGAATCCAAATATCCCTTTGCAGATTCTAGAAGAACAGAGTTTCCAAACTGCTCAATCAAAAGAATGGTTCAATTCTGTGAGATGAATGCACACATCACAAAGCAGTTTCTCAGAAACCCTCTTTCTACTTTGTATTGGAACATATTTCCTTTTTCACCATAGGCCTCAAGGTGAATCCAAATATCCATTCACACATTCTTCAAACTCTGTGATTCCAAACTGCTCAAACGAAAGAATGGTTTAACTCTGTGAGATGAAAGCACAGATCAAGCAGTATCTAAGAAATCTCCTTTCTAGAATTTGTTTGAGGGTATTTCCTCTTTCACCATAGACCTCAAAGTGTTCACAAATATCACTTTGCCCTTTGCAGATTCTACAAAACAGTGATTCCAAACTGCTCAATCAAAAAAAAATGGTTTAACTCTGTGAGAGGAATGCACACATCACAAAGCAGTTTCTCAGAAATATTCATTCGAGTTTTTAGGTGAAGATATTTCCTTTTTCACCATAGGCCGGAAAGTACTCTAAAACATCCCTTTGCAGATTCTACAAAAATGGTGTTTCCAAAATGCTCCACCAAAAGAAAGTTTTAACTCTGTGAGATGAATGCATCTATCACAAAGCAGTTTCTAAGAAAGCTCCTTTCTAGTTTTTATGTGAGGATATTTCCTTTTCCCAATAAGACTCAAAGGGCTCCCAAATATCCTTTTGCAGATTCTACAAAAACAGTGGTTCCAAACTGCTCCATCAAAAGACTGTTTCACCTCCATAAGATGAATGCACACATCTCAAACCAGTCTCTCATAAAGTCTCTGTCTAGTTTGTGTCAGAAGGTATTTCCTTTTTCTCCACAGGCTTCCACATGAATCCAAATATCCCTTTGCAGATTCTACAAACACTGTATTTCCAAACTGCTCAATCAGAAGAATTGTTAAGCTCTGTGAGATGAATGCACATATCACAAGGCAGTTTCTCAGAAACTCTCTTTCTGGCTTGTATCTGAAGATATTTCCTTTTTCACCACAGGACTCTATGTGCTCCCAAATATCCCTTTGCAGACTCTAGAAGAACAGAGTTTCCAAACTGCTCAATGAAAAGAAACGTTTAACTCTGTGAGATGAATGCACACATCACAAAGCAGCCTCTCAGAAAGCTTCTTTCTAGTTTGTATCAGAAGATATTCCCTTTGTCACCATAGGCCTCAAAGCAAATCCAATATCCTTTCATGGATTCTTCAAACACTGTGTTTCCAAACTGCGCAATCAAAAGAATGGTTTAACTCTGTGAGATGAATGGACAGATCACAAAGCAGTTTCTAAAAAGCTCCTTTCTAGTTTTTATGTGAGGATATTTCCTTTTTCACCAGAGGCCTGAAGGTGCTCTGAAACATCCCTTTGCAGATCCTACAAAAATGGTGTTTCCAAAATGCTCCATCAAAGGAAAGTTTTAACTCTGTGAGATGAATGCACATATCACAAAGCAGTTTCTCACAAAGCTCCTTACTAGTTTTTATGTGAGGATATTTCCTTTTTCACCATAAGACTCAAATGGCTCCCAAATATCCCTTTGCAGATTCCACAAAAACAGTGGTTCCAAAGTGCTCCATCAAAAGAATGGTTCAACTCTGTGAGATGAATGCATACATCACAAAGCAGTCTCACAGAAAGCTTCTGTCTAGTTGGTGTTAGAAGATATTTCCTTTTTCTCCACAGGCTTCCATGCGAATCCAAATATCCCTTTGCAGATTCTACAAACACTGTGTTTCCAAACTGCTCCATCAAAAGAATGGTTAAATTCTTTGAGATGAATGCACACATTACAAAGTAATTTCTCAAAATCTCTCTTTCTTGTTTGTATTAGAGAAATTTCCTTTTTCACTATGGGCCTCAATGTACTCCCAAATATCCCTTTGCAGACTCTAGAAGAACAGAGTTTCCAAACTGCTCAATGAAAAGAAATGTTTAACTCTGTGAGATGAATGCACACATCACAAAGCAGTCTCTCAGAAAGCTTCTGTCTAGTTTTTATGTGAAGATATTTCCTTTTTCACCATAAGCCTCAAACCGCTCACAAACTTCCCATTGCAGATTCTACAAAAAGACTGTTTCCAAACTGCTCAATCAAAAGAAAGGTTCAACTCTGTGAGATAAATACACACATCTCAAAGCAGTCCCTCAGAAAGCTTCTGTCTACTTTGTATCAGAAGATATTTCCTTTTTCCCTGTAAACCTCAATGTGAATCCAAATATCCCTTCACAGATTCTTCAAACACTGTGTTTCCAAACTGCTCAACCAAAAGAATGGTTTAACTCCGTGAGACGAATGCACAGATCACAAAGCCTTTTCTAAGAAAGCTCCTTTGTAGTTTTTATGTGGGGATATTTCCTTTTTTACCATAGACCTCAAAGCTCTCACAAATATCTTTTTGCACATTCTAGAAAAACAGTGGTTCCAGCAATAGTTTACTGAGAATGATGATTTCCAATTTTATCCATGTCCCTACAAAGAACATGAACTCATCATTTTTTATGGCTGCATAGTATTCCGTGGTGTATATGTGCCACATTTTCTTAATCCAGTCTATCATTGTTGGACATTTGGGTTGGTTCCAAGTCTTTGCTATTGTGAATAATGCCACAATAAACATACATGTGCATGTGTCTTTATAGCAGCGTGATTTATAGCCATAACAAAAAACCAAACACCACATATTCTCACTCATAGGTGGGAACTGAACAATGAGATCACATGGACACAGGAAGGGGAATATCACACTCTGGGGACTGTGGTGGGGTGGGGGGAGGGTGGAGGGATAGCATTGGGAGATATACCTAATGCTAGATGATGAGTTGGTGGGTGCAGTGTACTGGCATGGCACATGTATACATATGTAACTAACCTGCACAATGTGCACATGTACCCTAAAACTTAAAGTATAATTAAAAAAAATAAAATAAAATAATTAAAAAAAAAAAAGAAAAACAGTGGTTCCAAACTGCTGAATCAAAAGAATGGCTCAGCTCTGTGAGATGAATGCACACATCACAAAGCCGTTTCTCAGAAACTCTCTTCCCAGTTTGTATTGGAAGATAATTCCTTTTTCACCATAGGCCTCAATGCGCTTCCCAATATCCCTTTGCAGATTCTAGAAGAACAGAGTTTCCAAACTGCTCAGTGAAAGGAAACTTTTAACTCTCTTAGATGAATGCATGTATCACAAAGCAGTCTCTCAGAAAGCTTCTGTCTAGTTTGTATCAGAAGGTATTTCCTTTTTCCCCATAGGCCTCAAGGTGAATCCAAATATTCCTTCTCAGATTATTCAAACATTGTGTTTCCAAACTGCTCAATCAAAAGAATGGTTTAACTCTGTCAGATGAATGTGCAGATGACAAAGAAGTTTCTAAGAAGACTCCTTTCTAGTTTTTATGTGAGGATATTTCCCTTTTCACCATAGACCCCAAAGCACTCACAAATATCCCATTGCAGATTCTAGGAAAACAGTTGTTCCAAATTGCTCAATCAAAAGAATGGTTCAACTCTGTGAGAGGAATTCACACATGATGAAGTTTCTCAGAAAGCTTTCTTTGAGTTTTTAGGTGAAGATATTCTTTTTTTAACCATATGCCTGAAAGCACTCCGAAATATCCCTTTGCAGATTCTACAAAAACGGTGTTTCCAAAATGCTCCATCAAAAGCAAATTTTAACCCTGTGAGCTGAATGCACATATCACAAAGCAGTTTCTCAGAAAGCTCCTTTCTAGTTTTTATGTGAGGACATTTCCTTTTTCACCATAAGACTGAAAGAGTTCCCAAATATCCTTTTGCAGATTCTACAAAAACAGTGGTTCAAAACTGCTCCATCAGAAGAATGCTTCAAATCTGGGAGATGAATGCACACATCACAAAGCAATCTCTGAGAAAGTTTCTGTCCAGTTTGTATCAGAAGATATTTCCTTTTTCACCACAGGCTTAGATGTGAATCCAAATATCCCTTCTCAGATTCTATGAACACTGTATTTCCAGACTGCTCAGTCAAAACAATGGTTAAACTCTGTGAGATGAATGCACACGTCACAAGGCAGTTTCTCAGAAACTCTCTTCCTAGTTTGTATTGGATCATGTTTCCTTTTTCACAATAGGCCTGAAAGCACTCCCAAATATCTCTTTGCAGATTCTAGAAGAGCAGAGTTTCCAAACTGCTCAATGAAAAGAAACGTTTAAATCTGTGGGATGAATGCAGACATCACAAAACAGTCTCTCAGAAAGCTTCTGTCTAGTTTGCAACAGAAGATATTTTCTTTTTCACCACAGGCCTCCATGCAAATCCAAATATCCCTTCACAGATTCTACAAACACTGTTTTTCCAAACTGCTGAAACAAAGGAATGGTTCAATTCTGTGAGATGAATGCCCACATCTTAAAGCAGCTTCTCAGAAACTCTCTTTATAGTTTGAATCGGAAGATATTTCTTTTTCACCATAGGCCTCAGTGCTCTCCCAAATATCCCTTTGCAGATTCTAGAAGAACAAAGTTTACCAACTGCTCAATTAAAAGACATGTTTAACTCTATGGGATGAATGCACACACTACAAAGCATTCTCTCAGAAATCTTCTATCTAGTTTGTATCAGAAGATATTTTCTTTTTCACCACAGGCCTCCATGTGAATCAAAATATCCCTTCGCAGATTCTACAAACACTGTGTTTCCAAACTGCTCAATCAAAAGAATGGTTCAACTCTGTGAGATGAATGCACACATCACCAAGCAGTTTCTCAGAAAATCTCATTCTAATTTGTATCAGAAGATATTTCTTTTTTGCCTTTGGCCTCAATGTGCTCCCAAATATCCCTTTGCAGATTCAAGAACAGAGTTTACAAACTGCCCAATGAAAAAAAACATTTAACTCTGTGAGACGAATGCACACATCACAAAGCATTCTCTCAGAAAGTTTCTGTCTAGTTTGTTGTAGGGAAAAGAAAGAGAGATCAGACTGTTACTGTGTCTATGTAGAAAGGAAAGACATAAGAGACTCCATTTTGAAAAAGACCTGTACTTTAAATAATTGCTTTGCTGAGATGTTATTAATTTGCAACTTTGCCCCAGCCACTTTGACCCAACCTGGAGCCCACAAAAACAAGTGTTGTATGAAATCAAGGTTTAAGGGATGTAGGGCTGTGCAGGACATGCCTTGTTAAGAAAATGTTTACAGGCAGTATACTTGATAAAGGTCATTGCCATTATCTAGTCTCAGTAAACCAGGAGCACAATGCACTGTGGAAAGCTGCAGGGACCTCTGCCCTTGAAAGTGGGGTATTGTCCAAGGTTTCTCCCCATGTGATAGTCTGAAATATGGCCTCATGGGATGAGAAAGACCTGACCATCCCCCAGCCTGACACCCATAAAGGGTCTGTGCAGAGGTGGATTAATAAAAGAGGAAAGCCTCTTACAGTTGAGATAAAGGAAGGCCACTGTCTCCTGACTGCCCCTGTGAACTGAATGTCTTGGTATAAAACCCGATTGTACATTTGTTCAATTCTGAGATAGGAGAGAAACTGCCCTATGGTGGGAGGTGAGACATGTTTGCAGCAATGCTGCCTTGTTCTTCTTTACTACACTGAGATGTTTGGGTGGAGAGAAACATAAATCTGGCTTACTTGCACATCCGGGCACAGTACCTTCCCTTGAACTTCATTATGACATAGATTCTTTTGCTCACAAGTTTTTTGCTGACCTTCTCCTAATTATCACCCTGTTCTCCTACTACATTCTTTTTGCTGAAATAATGAAAATAATAATGAACTCAGAGGCCGGTGCCGGTGCACGTCCTTGGTGTGCTGAGTGCTGGTCCCCTGAGCCCACTGTTGTTTCTCTATACTTTGTCCCTGTGTCTTATTTCTTTTCTCAGTCTCTTGTCCCACCCGACTAGAAATACCCACAAGTGTGGAGGGGCAGGCCACCCCTTCAGTTTGTATCAGAAGATATTTCATTTTTCCCCATAGGCTTCAAGGTGAATCAAAATATCCCTTCTCAGATTCTTCAAACGCTGTGTTTCCAAACTGCTCAATCAAAAGATAGGTTTAACTCTGTGAGATGAACGAACAGATCACAAAGCAGTGTCTAAGAAAACTCCTTTCTACTTTTTATGTGAGAATATTTCCTTTTCCTCCATAGACGTCCAAGTGCTCACAAATATCCCTTTGCAGATTCTAGAAAAAGAGTCCTTCTAAACTACTCAATCAAAAGAATGGTTCAAGTCTCTGAGAGGAATGCACACATCATGAAGCAGTTTCTCAGAAAGCTTCCTTTGAGTTTTTATGTGAAGATATTTCCTTTTTCACCATAGGCTTCAATGCGAATCCAAATATCCCTTCACAGATTCCACAAACACTGTGTTTCCAAACTGCTCAATCAAAAGAATGGTTCCACTCTGGAGATGAATGCAGACATCACAAAGCAGTTTCTCAGAAACTCTCTTTCTAGTTTGTATTGGAAGATATTTCTTTTTTCACCATAGGCCAGAATGTGCTCCCTTGGCAGATTCTAGAAGAACAGAGTTTCCAAACTGCTCAATTAGAAGAAACGTTTAACTGTGAGTTCAATGCACACATCCCAAAGCAGTCTCCCAGAAAGCTTCTGTCTAGTTCGTATCAGAAGATATTTCCTTTATCCCCACAGTCCTCATGGTGAATCCAAATATCCCTTCGCAGATACTTCAAACACTGTGTTTCCAAACTGCTCAATCAAAAGAATTGTTTAATTCAGTGAGATGAAACACAGGCCACAAAGCAGTTTCTAAGAAAACTCCTTTCTAATTTTTATGTGAGGTTGTTTCCTTTTTCACAAAAGCCCTCAAAGTGCTCACAAATGTACCTTTGCAGATTCTACAAAAACAGTGATTCCAAACTGCTCAATAAAAAGAATGGTTCAACTCTGTGGGAGGAATTCACACATTACAAACAGTTTTTAAGAAAGCTTCCTTCGAGTTTTTAGGTGAAGATATTTCCTTTTTCACCATAGGCTTGAAAGTGCTCTGAAATATCCCTTTGCAGATTCTGCAAAAACCATGTTTCCAAAATGATCCATCAAAGAAAGTTTTAACTGTGAGATGAATGCACATATCACAAAGCAGTTTCTCAGAAAGCTCCTTTCTAGTTTTCATGTGAAGATATTTCCTTTTTCACCATAAGACTCAAAGGGTTCCCAATTATCACTTTGCAGATTCTACAAAAACAGTGGTTCCAAACTGCTCCATCAAAAGAATGGTTCAACTCTGTGAGATGAATGCACACATCACAAAGCAGTCTCTCAGAAAGCTTCTGTCTAGTTTGTATCAGAAGATATTTCCTTTTACACCACAGCCTGCCATGAGAATCCAAATATCCCTTTGCAGATTCTACAAACACTGTGTTTGCAAACTGCTCAATCAAAAGAATGGTTCAACTCGGTGAGATGAACACACACATCACAAAGCAGTTTCTCAGAAACTTTCTTTCTAGTTTCTATCAGAAAATATTTCCTTTTTCACCATACACCTCAATGCACTCCCAAATATTCCTTTGTCAATTCTAGAAGAACAGAGTTTCCAAACTGCTCAATTAAAAGAAATGTTTAACTGTGAGTTCAATGCACACATCCCAAACCACTCTCCCAGAAAGCTTCTGTCTAGTTTGTATCAGAAGATATTTCCTTTTTCCCCATAGTCCTCATGGCGAATCCAAATATCCCTTCACAGATACTTCAAACACTGTGTTTCCAAACTGCTCAATCAAAAGAATGGTTCAACTCTGTGAGATGAATGCACACATCACAAAGAAGTTTCTCAGTAACTCTCGTTCTACTTTGCATTGGAAGATATTTGCTTTTTCACCATAGGCCTCAATGCACTCCCAAATATTCCTTTTCACATTCTAGAAAAATAGTTTCCAAACTGCTAAATGAAAAGAAACGTTTAACCCTGTGGGATGAATACACACATTATAAATCACTCTCTCAGGAAGCTTCTGTCTAGTTTGTATTGGAAGACATTTCCCTTTTCACCACAGGCCTCCATGCGAATCCAAATATCCCTTCACAGATTCTACAAACACTGTGTTCCAAACTTATCAATCAAAACAATGGTTTGCATTTGTGAGATGAATGCACACATCACAAAGCAGTTTCTAAGAAAGCTCCTTTCTAGAATTTATGTGAGGATATTTCCTTTTTCACCATAGACCTCAAAGCACTCATGGATATCCCTTTGCAGATTCTAGAAAAACAGTGGTTCCAAACTGCTCTATTAAAAGAATTGTCCAATTCTGTGAGATTAATTCACGCATCAGAAAGCACTGTTTCCAAAAGCTTCTGTCTATTTTGTTTCAGAAGTTATTTCCTTTTTTTATCACAGGCCTCCATGTGAATCCAAATATCCCTTTGCAGATTCTACAAACATTGTGTTTCCAAACTGCTCAATCTAAAGCATGGTTCAACTCTGTGAGAGGAATGCACACATAACAAAGCAGTTTCTCAGAAAGCTTCCTTCGAGTTTTTAGGTGAAGATATTTCCTTTTTCACCATAGGCCTGAAAGCAGTCCCAAATATCCTTTTGCAGATTCTCCAAAAATGGTGTTTCCAAAATGTTCAATGAAAAGAACGGTTTAACTCTGTGAGATGAATGCACAGATCACAAAGCAGTTTCTAAGTAAGCTCCTTTCTAGTTTTTATGTGAGGATACTTCCTTTTCACCATAGGCCTCAAAGCTGTCACAAATATTCCTTTGCAGATCCCAGAAAAACAGTGGTTCCAATCTGCTCAATCAAAAGAATGGTTCAGCTCTGTGAGAGTAGTGCACACATCACAAAGCAGTTTCTCAGAAACCTTCCTTCGGGTTTTTAAGGGAAGGTATTTCCTTTCTCCCCATAGGCCTGAAATTGCTCTGAAATATCCCTTTTCAGACTCTACAAAAACGGTGTTTCCAAGATCCTCCATCAAAAGAAACTTTTAACTCTGTGAGATGAATGCACATATCACAAAGAAGTTTCTCAGAATGCTCCTTTCTAGTTTTTATGTGAGGATATTTCCTTTTTCACAATAGGCCTCAAAGGGTCCCCAAATAACCCTTTGCAAATTCTACAAAAGCAGTGGTTCCAAACTGCTCCATCAACAGAATGGTTCATCTAAGTGAGGTGAATGCACAATTCACAAAGCAGTCTCTCCAAAAATTTCTGTCTACTTTGTATCAGAAGATACATCCTTTTTTACCACAAGCCTCCACACACCTTAAAATATCCCTTTGCAGATTCTACAAACACTGTGTTTCCAAACTGCTCAACCAAAAGAATGGTTAAAGTCTGTGAGATGAATGCACACATCACAAAATATTCTCTCAGAAAGGTTCTGTCTAGTTTGTATCAGAAGATATATCCTTTTTCACCACAGGCCTCCATATGAATCAAAATATCTCTTCACAGATTCTATGAAAACAGTGGTTCCAAACTGCTCCATCAAAAGAATGGTTCAACTCTGTGAGATGAATGCACATATCACAAAGCAGTCTCTTAGAAAGCTTCCATCTAGCTTGTATCAGAAAATACTTCTTTTTTCACCCCAGCCCTCCATGAGACTCCAAAAATCCCTTCACAGATTCTGCAAACACTGTGTTTCCAAATTGCTAAATCAAAAGAATGTTTTAGCTCTGTGAGATGAATGCACAGATCACAAAGCAGTTTCTAAGAAAGCTCCTTGCTAGTTTTCTGTGAGGGTATTTCCTTTTTCAACATAGGATCCAAAGTGCTCACAGATATCCCTTTGCAGATTCTACAAATACAGTGATTCCCAACTGCTCAATCAAAAGAATTGTTCAACTCTTTTACAGGAATGCAAAGATCACAAAGCAGTTTCTCAGAAAGGTTCTTATCTGAAGATATTTCCTTTTTCACCATAGGCTTCAATGTGGCACAAAATATCTCTTTGCAGATTCTAAGAAAACTGTGTTTCCAAACTGCTGAATCAAATAAACGTTTGACTCTGTGAAATGAATGCATGCATCACAAAGCAGTCTCTCAGAAAGTTTCTTTCTAGTTTTTATCTGAAGATATTTCCTTTTTCACCATAGGCCTCAATGGGCTACAAAATATCTCATTGCAGACCATAAGAAAACAGTATTTCCAAACTATTGAATCAAAAGAAATGTTTAACACTGTGAAATGAATGCACACATCACCAAGTATTTTCTCAGATATCTTCCTTCCAGTATTTATCCTGGGATACTCACTTCTTTGCCATCGGCCTCAATGAGCTCCCAAATGTCCATTCACACAGTGGACAAAAACAGTGTTACCAAAGTGCTGAATACAAAGAAAGGTTTAACTCTGTCAGATGAATGCACACGTCACAAAGCAGTCTCTCAGAAATATTCTTTCCAGTTTTTGTCTTAAGATATGTCGTTTTTCACAATAGGCCTCATTGGGCTTTCAAATATCTGCTTGCAGAAACTAAGAAAACTGTGTTTCCAAACTGCTGAATCCAAAGAAAGGTTTAACTGTGTGAGATGAATGCACACATTGCAAAGCAGTCTCTCAGAAAGGTTATTTCCAGTTTTTATCTGAAGATACTTCCTTTTTCACCATAGGCCTAAATGCACTACCAAATATCTCTTCTCAGATTCAAAGAAAACTTTGTTTCCAAACTACTGAATCAAAAGAAAGGTTTAACACTGTGAGATGAATGCACACAACAGCAAGCTTTTTCTCAGATCTCTTCCTCAAAGTTATCCTGGGATATTCACTTTTTTGCCTATCACCTCAATGAACTCCCAAACGTCCATTCACACAATGGACAAAAACAGTGTTACCAAAATGCTGAATATCAAGAAAGGTTTAACTCTGTCAGATGAAAGCACACACCACAAAGCAGCCTCTCAGGAAGATTCTTTCCAGTTTTTGTAAGAAGATATTTCCTTTTTCACAATAAGCCTCATTGCGCTACCAAATATCTGCTTGCAGAATCTAAGGAAACTGTGTTCCCAAACACCTGAATGTAAAAAATGTTTAACTCTGTGAGATGAAAGCTCACATCACAAAGCAGTTTCTCATTAAGCATTAAGCTCTTTCTAGTTTTTATCTAAAGATGTTTTCTTTTTCACCGTGGGACTCAATGTGGCACCAAATATCTCTTAGCAGCTTCTAAGAAAACTGTGTTTCCAAACTGCAGAATCAAAAGATAAGTTTAACTGTGAGATGATTCAGCAAATCACAAATCAGTTTCTCATTAAGCTTCTTTTGAGTTTTTATCTGAAGATGTTTCCTTTTTCTCCATAGGCCTCAAAGCCCTGTCAAATTTTCCTTCGCAGATTCTCCAGAAACAGTGTTTCCAAACTGCTGAATGAAAAACGAAGGTTTAACACTGTGAGATGAATGCACACATCACCAAGCGTTTTCTCAGATATCTTGCTTCAAGTTTTTATCCTGGGATATTCACTTTTTTGCCAGTGGCCTCAATGAGCTCCCAAATGTCCATTTGCACAATGGACAAAAACAGCATTACCAAAGTGCTGAATATAAAGAAAGGTTTAACTCTGTCAGATGAATGCACACAGCACAAAGCAGTCTCTCAGAAAGATTCTTTCCAGTTTTTGTCTTAAGATATTTTGTTTTTCACAATAGGCCTTATTGGGCTACAAAATATCTGCTCACAGAATCTAAGAAAACTGTGTTTACAAATGGCTGAATTGAAAGAAAGATTTACGGTATGAAATGAATGCACACAGTGCAAAACATTATCTCAGAAATGTTCTCTTTAGTTTTTATCTTAAGATATTTCCTTTTTTATCATAGGCTTCAATGGGCTACAAAATATCTCTTTGAAGATTCAAAGAAAAGTGTGTTTCCAAACTACTGAATCAAAAGAAAGGTTTAACACTGTGAGATGAATGCACACAACAGCAAGCGTTTTCTCAGATATCCTCTTTAAAATTATCCTGTGATTATCACTTTTTCACCTTTGGCCTCAATGAGCTCCCAAATGTCCATTCACACAATGCACAAAAACAGTGTTACCAAAGTGCTGAATATCAAGAAAGGTTTAAGTCTGTGAGATGAAAGCACACATCACAAACCAGTCTCTCAGGAAGATTCTTTCCAGTTTTTATCAGAAGATATTTCCTTTTTCACTATAGGCCTCATTGCACTACCAAATATCTGCTTGTAGAATCTAAGGAAACTGTGTTCCAAAACTACTGAATGTAAAGAAACGTTTAACTCTGTGAGATGAATGCACACATCACAAAGCATTTTCTCATTAAACTTCTTTCTAGTTTTTATCTGAAGAAGTTTTCTTTTTCACCATGGGACTCAATGTGGCACCAAATATGTCTATGCAGATTCTAAGAAAACTGTGTTTCCAAACTGCAGAATCAAATGATAGGTTTAACTCTGTGAGATGATTCAGCAAATCACAAAGCAGCTTCTCATTAAACTTCTTTGGAGTTTTTATCAGAAGATGTTTCCTTTTTAGCCATTGGCCTCAATGCACTGCCAAGTAATCCTGCATAGATTCTCCAAAAACAGTGTTTCCAAACTACTGAATGAAAAACAAAGGTTTAACACTGTGAGATGAATGCACACACCATAAAGCGTTTTCTCAGACATCTTCCTTCTTGTTTTCATTATGGGTTATTCACGTTTTTGTCATTGACCTCAATGATGTCCCAAATGTCCATTCACAGAATGGAAAAAAAACGGTGTTAACCAACTGCTGAATCCAAAGAAAGTTTTATTTCTGTGAGATGAATGCACACATCATGAAGCATATTCTCAGAATAGTTCTTTCTAGTTCTTATCTGAAGATATTTCCTTTTTCACCATAGGCCTCAATGTGGCAACAAATATCCCTTTGCAGATTCTAAGAAAACTGTTTCCAAACTGCTGAATCAAAAGAAAGGTTGAGCTCTGTGAGATGAATGTACATATCACAAAGCAGTTTCTCAGAAAGGTTCTTTCTAGTTTTTATCTGAAGATATTTTCTTTATCAGCATAGGCCTCAACATGGCATGATTTATTCTTTGCAGATTCTAAAAGAACTGTTCACAAACTGCTGAAGCAAAAGATAGGCTGAACTCTGTGAGATGATTCAACACATCACAAAGCAGTTTCTCATTAAGTTTCTTTTTAGTTTTTCTTTGAAGATGTTACCTTTTTTGCCATAGGCCTCAATGTGCTGCCAAATATTCCTTCACAGTTTCTCCAGAAACAGTGTTTCAAAACTGTTGAATGAAAAGAAAGGTTTAACACTGTGAGATGAATGCACACATCACAAGGCGTTTTCTCAGACATCTTCCTTCTAGTTTTCATTATGGGACATTCACTTTTTCGCCATTGGCCTGAAGGAGCTCCCAGATGTCCATACGTACAATGGACAAAAACAGTGTTACTACAGTGCTGAATACCAGGAAAGGTTTATCTTTGTCAGCTGAATGCACACATCACAATGCAGTCTCTCAGAAAGATTCTTTCCAATTTTTCTCTGAAGTTATTTCCTTTTTCACAATAAGCCTCATTGCACTACCAAATAACTACTTGCAGATTCTAAGAAAACTGTGTTTCCAAAATGCTGAATCAAAAGAAAGTTTTAATTCTGTAAGATGTAGGCATACATCACAAAGCAGTTTCTCACAAAGGTTCTTTCTATTTTTTATCTGAAGAGATTTCTTTTTCACCATAGGCCTCAATGTGGCACTAAATTTCCCTTTGCAGATTCTCAGAAAACTGTTCCCAAACTGCTGAATCAAAAGAAAGGTTTAACTCTGTGAGATGAATGCACACACCACAAAGCAGTTTCTCAGACAGGTTCTTTGTAGTTTTTATCTGAAGATATTTCCTTTTTCAACAAAGGCCTCAATGTGGTCCCAAATATCTCTTTGCAGATTCTAAGAAAACTGTGATTCCAAGCTACTGAATCAAAACAAAGGTTTAACTCTGTGAGATTAATGGACACAGAGCAAAGCAGTCTCTCATAAAGGTTCTTTCTAGTTTTTATCTGAAGATATTTCCTTTTTCACCATAGGCTTCAATGTGCTACTAAATATCTCTTTGCAGATTCTAAGAAAACCATGTTCCCAAACTACTGAATCAAAAGAAAGATTTAACACTGCAAGATGAATGCACACATCACCATGCATTTTCTTAGTTATCTTCCTAGAGGTTATCCTGTGATATTCAGTTTTTCACCTTTGGCCTCAGTGAGCTCCCAAATGTCCATTCGCACAATAGATAAAAACAGTGTTACCAAAGCGCTGAATATCAAGAAATGTTTAACTCTGTCAGATGAATGCACACATCACAAAGGAGTCTCTCAGAAAGATTCTTTCCAGTTTTTGTTTGAAGATATGTCCTTTTTCACAATATGCCTCACTGTGCTACCAAATATCTGCTTGCAGAATCTAAGGAAACTGGGTTCCCAATATACTGAAAGTAAAGAAAGTAAAGTGCATTAACTCTGTGAGATGAATGCACACATCACAAAGCAGTTTCTCATGAAGCTTCTTTCTAGTTTTTATCTGAAGATGTTTGCTTTTTCACCATAGGACTCAATGTGGCACCAAATATCTCTTTGTAGATTCCAACAAAACTCTGTTTCCAAACTGCTGGATCAAAAGATACGTTTAACACTGTGAGATAATTCAACACATCACAAAGCAGTTTCTCCTTAAGCTTCTTTTGAGTTTGTATCTGAAGATGTTTCCTTTTTTGCCACAGGCCTCAAGGTGCTACAAATATTCCTTCACAGATCCTCCAGAAGGAGTGATTCCAAACTGCTGAATGAAAAGAAATGTTTAAGACTGTGAGATGAATGCATACATCAGAAGGCGTTTTCTCAGACATCTTCCTTCTAGTTTTCATTATAAGATATTCACTTTTTTGCCATTGACCTCAATGAGCTCCCAAATGTCCATTCGCAGAATGGACAAAAACAGTGTTAACAAACTGTTGAATCCAAAGAAATGTTTATCTCTGTGAGATGAATGCACACACCACAAAGCAGTTTCTCAGAAAGATTCTTCCTAGTTTTTATCTGAAGATATTTCCTTTTTCACCACAGGCCTCAATGTGCTACCAAATATCTCTTCGCAGATTCTAACAAAACTGTGTTTCCAAACAACTGAATCAAAAGAAAGGTGTAACACTGCAAGATGAATGCACACAACACCACGTGTTTTCTCAGATATCTTCCTTAAAGTTATCCTGGGATATTCACTTTTTTGCCTTTGGCCTCAATGAGCTTCCAAATGTCCATTCTCACAGTGGACACAAACAACGTTACCGAAGTGCTGAATATCAAGAAAGGTTTAACTCTGTCAGATGAATGCACAAATCTCAAAGCAGTCTCTTAGAAAGATTCTCTCCAGTTTTTGTCTGAAGATATTTCCTTTTTCACATGAGGCCTCATTGCGCTACCAGATATCGGCTCGCAGAATCTAAGGAAACTGTGTTCCCAAACTACTGAAAGTAAAGAAAGGTTTACCTCTGTGAGATGAATGCACACATTGCAAAGCAGTTTCTCAGAAAGGTTCTTTCTAGTTTTTATCTGAAGATAGTTCCTTTTTCACCATGGGCCTCAACGTGGCACCAAATATGTCTTTGCAGATTCTAAGAAAACTGTGTTTCCAAACTGCTGAATCCAAAGAAAATTTTAACTCTGTGGGATGAATGCACACATCACAAAGCTGTTTCTCAGAAAGGTTCTTTCTAGTTTTTATCTAAAGATATTTCTTTTTTCACCATAGGCCTCTATGTGGCACCAAATATCTCTTTGCAGATTCTAAGAAAACTCTGTTTCCAAACTGCTAAATCAAAAGAGAGGTTTACCTCTGTGAGATGAATGTACACATCACAAAGCAGTCTCTCAGAAAGGTTATTTCCAGTTTTTATCTGAAGATATATCCTTTTTCACCATATTCCTCAACGTACTACAAAATATCTCTTTGCAGATTCTAAGAAAATTGTGTTTCCAAACTACTGAATCAAAAGAAAGTTTTAAAACTGTGAGATGAATGCACACATCACCAAGCATTTTCTCAGATAGATTCCTTCTAGTTTTTATCCTGGGATATTCATTTTTTCTCCATTGGCCTCAATGGGCTCCCAAATGTAAATTTGCACAATGGACAAAAACAGTGTTACCAAAGTGCTGAATACCAAGAAAGGTTTAACTCTGTCAGATGAAAGCACACATCACAAAGCAGTCTCTCAGAAAGATTCTTTCCAGTTTTTGTCTGAAGATATTTCCTTTTTCACAATAGGCCTCATTGCACTACCAAATATCTGCTCACAGTATCTAAGGACACTCTGTTCCCAAAATACTGAATGTAAAGAAAGTTTTAACTCTGTGAGATAAATGCACACATCACAAAGCAGTTTCTCATTAAGCTTCTTTCTAGTTTCTATCTGAACATATTTTCTTTTTCACCATAGGACACAAAGTGGTACCAAATATCTCCTTGCAGATTCTAAGAAAACTGTGTTTCCAAACTGCTGAATCAAAAGAAAGTTTTAATACTGTGAGATGAATGCACACATCACCAATCGTTTTCTCAGATATGTTCCTTCCAGTTTTTGTCCTGGGAAATTCCCTTTTTCAACATTGGCCTCAATGAGCTCCCAAATGTCCATTCGCACAATGGACAAAAATAGTGTTACCAAAGTGCTGAATACCAAGAAAAGTTTATCTGTGTCAGACGAAAGCACACATCACAAAAGAGTCTCTCAGAAAGTTTCTTTCCATTTTTTGTCTGAATATATTTCCTTTTTCACAATAGGCCTCATTGCGCTACCAAATATCTGCTTGCAGATTCTAAGAAAACTGTGTTTCCAAACTGCTGATTCAAAAGAAAAGTTTAACTCTGTGAGATGAATGCACATATCACAGAACAGTTTCTCAGAAAGGTTTCTTCTAGTTTTTAGCTGAAGGTATTTCCTTTTCCACCATAGTTCTCAATGTGGCACAAAATATCTGCTTGCAGATTTTAAGAAAACTGTGTTTCCAAACTGCTGAATCAAAAGAAAGCTTTAACTCTGTGAGATGAATGCACACATCACAAGTCAGTTTTCTCAGAAAGTTCTTTCTAGTTTTTATCTGAAGATATTTCCTTTTTCACTATAGCCCTCAATGTGGCACAAAATATCTCTTTGCAGATTCTAAGAAAACTGTGTTTCCAAACTGCTGAAGCAAAAGAAACATTTAACTCTGTGTGATGAATGTACACTTTGGAAAGCAGTCTCTCAGAAAAGTTCTTTCTATTTTTTATCTGAAGATATTTCCTTTTTCACCAAAGACCTCAACATGGTACCAAATATCTCTTTGCAGGTTCTAACAAAACTGTGTTTCCAAACTATTGAATCAAAAGAAAGGTTTAACACTGTGAGGTGAATGCACACATCCCAAAGCCTTTTTCAGATCTCCTCCTTTCAGTTGTTATCCTGGGATATTCACTTTTTCACCATTGGCATCAATGAGCTCCCAAATGTCCATTTGCACAAAGGACAAAAACAGTGTTACCAAATTGCTGAATACCAAGAAAAGTTTACCTCTGTCAGGTGAATGGACACATCACAAAACAGTCTCTCAGAAAGATTCTTTCCAGTTTTTGTCTGAAAATATTTACTTTTTCAAAATAGACCTCATTGTGCTACCAAATATCTGTTCGCAGATTCTAAGAAAACTGTGTTTCCAAACTGCTGAATCTAAAGAAAGGTGTAAAGCTGTGAGGTGAATGCACACATTGCAATGCAGTTTCTCAGAAAGGTTTTTTCTAGTTTTTAACTAAAGATATTTCCTTTTTCACCATAGTCTTCAATGTGGCAAGAATATCCCTTTGCATATTCTAAGAAAACTGTCTCCAAACTGCTGAATCAAAAGAAAGATTTAACTCTGTGAGTTGAATGCACACATCAGAAAGCAGTTTCTCAGAAAGGTTCTTTCTAGTTTTTATCTGAAGATATTTCATTTTTTTCCATAGGCCTCAATGTGGCACCAAATATCTCTTTGCAGATTCTAAGGAAATTGTGTTTCCAAACTTCTGAATCAAAAGAATGGTTTACCTCTGTGAGATGAATGCACACATCACAAAGCAGTTTCTCAGAAAGGTTCTTTCTATTTTTTATCTCAAGATATTTCCTTTTTCACCATAGTTCTCAATGTGGCACCAAATATCTGCTCACAGATTTTAAGAAAACTGTGTTTCCAAACTGCTGAAGCAAAAGAAAGCTTTAACTGTGTGAGATGATTTAACTCATCACAAAGCAGTTTCTCATTAAGCTTCTTTCGAGTTTTTATCTGACAATGTTTCCATTTTTGCCATAGACCTCAATGCACTGCCAGATATTCCTTCACAGGTTCTCCAGAAACAGTTTCAAAACTGCTGAAGGAAAAGGAAAGTTTAATACTGTGAGATGAATGCACACATCTCAAGGCATTTTCTCAGACATCTTCCTTCTGATTTTCCTTATGGGATATTCACTTTTCCGCCCTTGGCCTCAGTGAGCTCCCAAATGTCCACTTGCAGAATCAACAAAAATGGTGTTAACAAACTGTTGAATGAAAAGAAAGGTTTAATTCTGTGAGAAGAATGTACACATCACAAAACAATTTCTCAGAAAGGTTCTTTCTTGTTTTTATCTGAAGATATTTCCTTTTTCACCATAGGCCTCAATGTGGCACAAAATATCCTTAAGCAGAGTGTAAGAAAACTGTGTTTCCAAACTACTGAATCAAGGGAAAGTTTTAACTCTGTGAGATGAATGCACACATCACAAAGCAGTTTCTCAGAATGTTCTTTCTAGTTTTTATCTGAAGAGATTTCATTTTTCAATATAGGCTTCAATGTGGCACCAAATATCTCTTTGCAGATTCTAAGAAAACTCTGTTTCCAAACTGTTGAATCAAAAGAAATGTTTAACTCTGTGAGATGAATGTACACATTGCAAAGCAGTCTCTCAGAAAAGTTCTTTCTAGTTTTTCTCTGAAGATATGTCCTTTTTCACCAAAGGCCTCAATGTGGTACAAAATATCTCTTCACAGGTTCTAACAAAACTGTGTCTCCAAACTATTGAATCAAAAGAAAGGTTTATCACTGCGAGATGAATGCACACATCACCAAACGTTTTCTCAGATCTCTTCCTTCAAGTTGTTATCCTGGGATATTCACTTTTTCGCCATTCGCATAAATGAGCTCCCAAATGTCCATTCACACAATGGACAAAAACAGTGTTACCAAAGTGCTGAATACCAAGAAAGGTTTAACTCTGTCAGCTGAATGCACACATCACAAAACAGCCTCTCAGAAAGATTCTTTCCAGTTTTTGCCTGAAGATATTTCCTTTTTCACAGTAGGTCTCATTGCGCTACAAAATATGTGTTGGCAGATTCTAAGAAAACTGTGTTTCCAAACTGCTGAATCAAAAGAATGGTATAACCCTGTGAGGTGAATGTATACATTGCACAGCAGTTTCTCAGAAAGGTTCTTTCTAGTCTTTATCTGAAGATATTTCCTTTTTCACCTTAGTCCTCAATGTGGCAAGAATATCCCTTTGCAGGTTCGAAGAAAACTGTTTCCAAACTGCTGAATCAAAAGAAAGATTTAACTCTATGAGATGAATGCACACATCAGAAAGCAGTTTCTCAGAAAGGTTCATTCTAGTTTTGATCTGAAGATATTTCCTTTTTCACCATAGGCCTCAAGGTGGCACAAATGTCTCTTTTCAGATTCTAAGAAAACTGTGCTTCCAAACTGCTGAATCAAAAGAAAGATTTAACACTGTGAGGTGAATGCACAGATCAAGTGTTTTCTCAGATAGCATCCTTCCCGTTTTTATCCTGGGATATTCACTTTTTCGCCATTGGCCTCAATGAGCTCCCTAATGTTCATTAGCACAATGGACAAAAACAGTGTTACCAAAGTGCTGAATAAAAAGAAAGGTTTAACTGTGTCAGATGAATGCACACATCATTAAGTAGTCTGTCAGAAAGATTCTTTCCAGTTTTTGTCTGAATATATTTCCTTTTTCACAATAGGCCTCATTGCGTTACCAAATATCTACTTGCAGATTCTAAGAAAACTGTGTCTCCAAACTGCTGATTCAATAGAAATGTTTAACTCTGTGAGATGAATGCACACATCACAAATCAGTTTCTCAGAAAGGTTCTTTCTAGTTTTTATATGTATATATTTCGTTTTTCACCATAGGTCTCAATGTGGCACCAAATATCTGCTCGCAGATATTAAGAAAACTGTGTTTCCAAATGGCTGAAGTAAAAGAAAGTTTTAACTCTCTGAGATGATTTATCTCATCTCAAAGCAGTTTCTCATTAAGCTTCTTTTGAGTTTTTATCTGAAGATGTTTCCTTTTCCACCATAGGCCTCAATGCACTGCCAAATATTCCTTCACAAATTCTCCAGAAAGTTTCCAAACTGCTGAATGAAAAGAAAAGTTTAATACTGTGAGATGAATGCACACATTGCAAGGCATTTTCTCAGACATCTTCCTTCTACTTTTCATTATGGGATATTCAACTTTCTGCCCTTGGCCTCAAGGATCTCCCAAATGTCCATTTACAGAATTGACAAAAACTGTGTTAACAAACTGCTGATATCTGAAGATATTTCCTTTTTCACCATAGGCCTCAAAATGGCACCAAATATCTCTTTGCAGAGTCTAAGAAAACTGTGTTTTCAAACTGCTGAATCAAAAGAAAGGTTTATCTCTGTGAGATGAGTGAAAACATTGGAAAGCAGTTTCTGAGAAAGGACCTTTCTAGTTTTTATCTGAAGATATTTCCTTTTTTGCCTTAGGCTTCAATGTGGCACAAAATATCTCTTTGTTGATTCTAAGAAAACTGTGTTTCCACACTTCTGAGTGAAAAGACAGGTTTAACTCTGTGAGATGAATGCACACATCAGAAAGCAGTTTCTCAGAAAGGTTCTTTCTAGTTTTTATCTGAAGATATTTCATTTTTCGCCATAGGCCTCAAAATGGCACCAAATATCTCTTTGCAGATTCTAAGAAAACTGTTTTCAAACTGCTGAATGAAAAGAAAGGTTTTTCTCTGTGAGATGAATGCAAACATCAGAAAGCAGTTTATCAGAAAGGACTTGTCTAGTTTTTATCTGAAGATATTTCCTTTTCCGTTTTAGGCCTCAATGTGGCACAAAATATCCCTTTGTTGATTCTGAAAAAACTGTGTTTCCAAACTACTGAATTAAAAGAAAGGTTTAACATTGCGAGATGAATGCACACATCAACAAGCGTTTTCTCAGATCTCTTCCTTCCAGTTTATATCATGGGATATTCCCCTTTTCACCAGTGGCCTCAATGAGCTCCCAAATGTCCATTCACACAATGGACAACAACAGTGTTACCAAAGTGCTGAATACCAAGAAAGGTTGAACTCTGTTTAATGAATGCACACCTCACAAGGCAGTGTCTCAGAAAGTTTCTTTCCAGTTTTTGTCTGAAGATATTTCCTTTTTCACAGTAGGCCTCATTGCACTACAAAACATCTGTACTGTTCATAGAATATCCGGAAACTGTGTTCCCAAACTACTGAATGTAAAGGAAGGTTTAACTCTGTGTGATGAATGCACACATCACAAAGCAGTTTCTCATTAAGATTCTTTCTATTTTTTAACTGAGGCTATTTTAATTTTCACTGTAGGACTCAATGAGGCACCAAATATCTCTTTGTTGATTCTAAGAAAACTGTTTCCAAACTGCTGAATCAAAAGAAAGGTTTCAATCTGTGAGGTGATTCAACAAACTACAAAGCAGTTTCTGGTTAAGATTTTTTTGAGTTTTTACCTGAAGATGTTTCCTTTTTCGCCATAGGCCTCAATGAGCTTCCAAATATTCCTTCACAGATTCTCCAGAAACATTGTTTCCAAATTGCTGATTGAAAAGAAAGGTTTAACACTGCAAGGTGAATGCACACATCAGAAGGTTTTTTCTCAGACATGCTCCTTCTCGTTTTCATTATGGGATATTCGCTTTTTTGCCATTGGCCTCAATGAGCTCTGAAATGTCCATTCACAGAATGGACATAAACTGTGTTAACAAACTGCTGAATCCAAATGGACATTGTCTATTCACAAAATGGACAAAAGCAGTGTTACCAAAGTGTTGAATACCAAGAAAAGTTTAACTTTGTCAGATGAGTGCACACATCACAAAGCAAACTCTCAGAATGATTCTTTCCAGCTTTTGTCTGAAGATATTTCCTTTTTCACAATAGGTCTTATATCTGCTCTCAGAATCTAAAAAAAACTGTGTTCCCAAATTACTGAATGTAAAGAAAGGTTTAACTCTGTAAGATGAATGCACACAATACAAAGCAGCTTCTAATTAATCTTCTTTGTAGATTTTATCTGAAGATATTTTCTTTTTCACCATAAGACTCAATGTGGCACCAAATATCTCCTTGCAGATTCTAAGAAAACTGTGTTCCCAAACTGCTGAATCAAAAGAAAGGCTTAACTCTTTGGGATGTTTCCCACGCATCACAAAACAGTTTCTCATTAAGCTTCTTTCCAGTTTTTACCTGAAGATGTTTCTTTTTTCACCACAGGCCTCAAAGCTCTGCCAAATATTCCCTCACAGATTCTCCAGAAACAGTATTTCCAAACTGCTGAATAAAAACAAAGGTTTAACACTGCAAGGTGAATGCACACATCACAAGGCTTTTTCTCAGACATCATCCTTCTAGTTTTCATTATGAGATATTCACGTTTTTGCCTTTGGCCTCACTGAGCTCTCAAATGTCCATTTGCAGAATGGACAAAAACGGTGTTAACAAACTGCTGACTCCAAGGAAAGGTCTAACTCTGTGAGATGAAAGCACACATCAGAAAGCAGTTTTCAGAAATCTTCTTACTAGTTTTTATCTGAAGATGTTTCCCTTTTCACCATAAGCCTCAATGTGCTAACAAATATCTCTTCACAGATTCTAAGAAAACTGTGTTTCCAAACTGCTGAATCAAAAGAAAGATTTAACACTGTGGGATGAATTGACACATCACAAGGCACTTTCTCTGACATCTTCCTTCTAGTTTTCATCATGGGATATTCACTTTTTCCTCATTGGCCACAGTGAGCTCCCAAATGTCCATTTGCAGAATGGACAAAACCAGTTTTAACAAACTGCTGAATCCAAAGAAAGGTTTAACTCTGTGAGATGAATGGACACATCTGAAATTAGTTTTTCAGAAAGTTTCTTTCTAGTTTGTATCTTAATATATTTCTGATACCACCATTGGCCTCAAGGCTTTCCCAAATATACCTTCACAGATCCTACATTAGCAGTGCTTGCAAAGTGCTCTGTCAAAAGAATGATTTAACTCTATGAGATGAATGTACAAGTCACAAACCAGTTTCTCAGAAAGTTCCTTTCTATTTTGCACCTGAGGATATTTCCCTTTTTCACTTCGTAGATTCTACAAAAACAGTGTTTCTAAACTGCTCAAAAAAAGAAACGATTAACTCTGTGAGATGAATGCACAATACAAAAGCAGTTTCTGAGAAAGTTACTTTCTAGCTTATATCTGAAGATATTTCCTTTATCACCATGTGTCTCAAGGCTTTCCCAAATATACCTTCACAGATTCTACAAAAACAGTGCTTGCAACTGATCTACCAAAAGAAAGGTTTAGCTCTATGAGATGAAAGTACACATCACAAAGCAGTTTCTCAGGAAGTCCTTTCTAGTTAGTATCTGAAGATATTTCCTTTATCACCATAGGCCTCAAGGCCTTCCCAAATATACCTTCACAGATTCTACAAAAGCAGTGTTTGCAAACTGCTCTATCAAAAGAAAGGTTTTAACTCAATGACATGAATGTACACATCACAAAGCAGTTTCTCAGAAAGTCCCTTTCTAGTTTTTATCTGAAGATATTTCCCTTTTCACCATAGGCCTCAATGGGCTCCCAAATATCAGTTCATAGATTCTACAAAAACAGAGTTTCCAAATTGCACCAATAAAAGAAAAGTTTAACTCTGTGAGGTGAAGACACAATTCACAAAGCAGTTTCTGAGAAAGTTACTTTGTAGTTTTTATCTGAAGATATTTCCTTTTTCACCATTGGCTTCAAAGTGCTCCAGAATATCTCTTCAGGGATTCTACAAAAACAGTGGTTCCAAACTGCCTAATCAAAAGAAAGGTTTAACTCTGTGAGATGAATGCACAATTCACAAAGAAGTATCTGAGAAAGATGCTTTCTAGTTTTTATCTGAAGATATTTCCTTTATCACCACAGGCCTCAAGGCTTTCCCAAATATACCTTCGCAGACTCTACAAAAGTAGGGCTTGCAAACAGGTCTATCAAAAGAAAAGTTTAACTCTGTGAGATGAGTGTACACATCACAAAGCTGTTTCTTAGAAACCTTCTTTCTAGTTTGTATATGAAGATATTTCCCTTTTCTCCATAGGCATCAGTGGGCTCCGGTTTAACTGTGTCAGATGACTGCACAATTCACAAAGCAGTTTCTGAGAAAGTTACTTTCTAGTTTTTATGTGAAGATATTTCCTTTATCAGCATAGACATGAAGCTTTCCCAATATACCTTCACAGATTCTACAAAAGCAGTGCTTGCAAACTGCTCTATCAAAGGAAAGGCTTAACTCTATGAGATGAATGTACACATCACAAAGCAGTTACTCAGAAACACCCTTTCTAGTTTGTACCTGAAGATTTTTCCCTTTTCACCGTAGGCCTCAATGGGCACCCAAATATCACTTCATAGACTCTACAAAAACAGTGTTTCCAAACAACTCAAACAAAGGAAAGGTTTAACTGTGTGAGATGAATGCACAATTCACAAAGCAATTTCTGAGAAAGTTACTTTCTAGTTTTTTTTTATTATACTTTAAGTTTTAGGGTACATGTGCACAACGTGCAGGTTTGTTATATATGTATACATGTGCCATGTTGGTGTGCTGCACCCATTAACTCGTCATTAAACATTAGGTATATCTCCTAATGCTATCCCTCCCCCCTAACCCCACCCATCTCATGTGCAGAGACACACATAGGCTCAAAATAAAGGGATGGAGGAAGATCTACCAAGCAAATGGAAAACAAAAAAAGGCAGGGGTTGCAATCCTAGCCTCTCATAGAACAGACTTTAAACCAACAAAGATCAAAAGAGACAAAGAAGGCCATTACATAATGGTAAAGCAATCAATTCAACAAGAAGAGCTAACTATCCTAAATATATATGCACCCAATAAAGGAGCACCCAGATTCAAAAAGCAAGTCCTGAGTGAAACACAAAGAGACTTAGACTACCACACAATAATAATGGGAGACTTTAACAACCCACTGTCAACATTAGACAGATCAACGAGGCAGAAAGTTAAAAAGGATATCCAAGAATTGAACTCAGCTCTGCACCAAGCGGACCTAATAGACATCTACAGAACTCTCCACCCCAAATCAACAGAATATACATTCTTTTCAGCACCACACCACACCTATTCCAAAACTGACCACATAGTTAGAAGTAAAGCACTCCTCAGCAAAAGTAAAAGAAGAGAAATTAAAACAAACTATCTCTCAGACCACAGTGCAATCAAATTAGAACTCAGGATTAAGAAACTCACTCAAAATTGCTCAACTACATGAAAACTGAACCACCTGCTCCTGAATGACTACTGGGTACATAAAAAAACGAAGGCAAAAATAAAGATGTTCTTTGAAACCAACAAGAACAAAGACACAACATACAAGAATTTCTGGGACACATTCAAAGCAGTGTGTAGAGGGAAATTTATAGCACTAAATACCCACAAGAGAAAGCAGGAAAGATCTAAAATTGACACTCTAACATCACAATTAAAAGAACTAGAGACGCAAGTGCAAACACATTCAAAACCTAACGGAAGGCAAGGAATGACCAAGATCAGAGCAGATCTGAAGGAAATAGAGACACAAAAAAAAACCTTCAAAAACTCAATGAATCTAGGAGCTGTTTTTTTTAAAGATCCACAAAATTGATAGACCGCTAGCAAGACTAATAAAGAAAAGAGAGAAGAATCAAATAGATGCAATAAAAAGTGATGAAGGGGATATCACCATCGATCCTGCAGAAATACAAACTACCATTAGAGAATTCTATAAACACCTCTACACAAATAAAATAGAAAATCTAGAAGAAATGGATAAATTCCTCAACATATAAACCCTCCCAAGACTAAACCAGGGAGAAGTTGAATCTCTGAATAGATCAATAACAGGCTCTGAAATTGAGGCAAAAATTAATAGCATACCAACCAGAAAAAGTCCA
Organism: Homo sapiens; assembly: GCF_000001405.40. NCBI lineage: Eukaryota > Metazoa > Chordata > Mammalia > Primates > Hominidae > Homo > Homo sapiens. Next base: position 62,640,556 of record NC_000007.14, read on the forward strand.
GGACCACATGGATTCACAGCTGAATTCTACCAGAGGTACAAGGAGGAGCTGGTACCATTCCTTCTGAAAATATTCCAATCAATAAAAAAGAGGGAATCCTCCCTAACTCAATTTATGAGGCCAGCATCATCCTGGTACCAAAGCCTCATAGAGACACAACAAAAAAAAGAGAATTTTAGACCAATATCCCTGATGACCATTGGTGCAAAAATCTTCAATAAAATACTGGCAAACCGAATCCAGCAGCACATCAAAAAGCTTATCCACCATGTTCAAGTGGGCTTCATCCCTGGGATGCAAGGCTCATTCAACATATGCAAATCAATAAACCTAATCCAGCATATTAACAGAACCAATGATAAAAACCACATGATTATCTCAAAAGATGCAGAAAAGGCTTTTGACAAAATTCAACAGCCCTTCATGCTAAAAACTCTCAATAAATTAGCTATTGATGGGACGGAACTCAAAATAATAAGAGCTATTCATGACAAACCCACAGCCAATATCATACTGAATGGGCAAAAACTGGAAGCATTCCCTTTGAAAACTGGCACAAGACAGGGATGCCCTCTCTCACCACTCCTATTCAACATAGTGCTGGAACTTCTGGCCAGGGCAATCAGGCAGGAGAAGGAAATAAAGGGTATTCAACTGGAAAAGAGGAAGTCAAATTGTCCCTGTTTGCAGATGACATGATTGCATATCTAGAAAACCCCATTGTCTCAGCCCAAAATCTCCTTAAGCTGATAGCCAAATTAAGCAAAGTCTCAGGATAAAAAAATCAATGTACAAAAGTCACAAGCATTCTTATACACCAATAACAGACAAACAGAGAGCCAAATCATGAGTGACTTTTCATTCACAACTGCTTCAAAGAGAATGAAATATCTAGGAATCCAACTTACAAGGGATGTGAAGGAACTCTTCAAGGAGAACAACAAACCACTGCTCAATGAAATAAAAGAGGTTAAAAACAAATGGAAGAACATTCCATGCTCGTGGGTAGGAAGAATCAATATCATGAAAATGACCATACTGCCCAAGGTAATTTATAAATTCAGTGCCATCCCCATCAAGCTACCAATGACTTTCTTCACAGAATTGGAAAAAACTACCTTAAAGTTCATATGGAACCAAAAAAGAGACCACATCGCCAAGTCAATCTTAAGCCAAAAGAACAAAGTGGGAGGCATCAAGCTAACTGACTTCAAGCTATACTACAAGGTTACAGTAACCAAAGTAGCATGGTACTGGTACCAAAACAGAGATAGAGACCAATGGAACAGAACAGAGCCAAACTGACAAAAACAAGAAATGGGGAAGCAATTCCCTATTTAATAAATGGTGCTGGGAAAACTGGCTAGCCATACATAGAAAGTTGAAACTGGATCCCTTCCTTACGCCTTATACAAAAATTAATTCAAGATGGATTAAAGACTTATATGTTAGACCTGAAACCGTAAAAACCCTTGAAGAAAACCTTCGCAATACCATTGAGGACATAGGCATGGGCAAGGACTTCATGTCTGAAACACCAAAAGCAATGGCAACAAGAGCCAAAATTGTCAAATGGGATCTAATTAAACTAAAGAGCTTCTGCACAGCAAAAGAAACTACCATCAGAGTGAACAGGCAACCTACAGAATGGGAGAAAGTTTTTGCAATCTACTTGTCTGAAAAACGGCTAATATCTAGAATCTACAATGAACCCAAACAAATTTACAAGAAAAAGACAAGCTACCCCATCGAGAAGTGGGAGAAGGATATGAACAGACACTTCTCAAAAGAAGACATTTATGCAGCCAAAAGACACATGAAAAAATGCTCATAATCATTGGCCATCAGAGAAATGCAAATCAAAACCACAATGAGATACAAACCCACAGCAGTTAGAATGGTGATCATTAAAAAACCAGGAATCAACAGGTGCTGGAGAGGATGTGGAGAAATAGGAACACTTTTATACTGTTGGTGGGACTGTAAACTAGTCCAACCATTGTGGAAGTCAGTGTGGTGATTCCTCATGGATCTAGAACTAGAAATACCATTTCACCCAGCAATCCCATTACTGAGTATATACCCAAGTGATTATAAATCATGCTGCTATAAAGATACAAGCACATGTATGTTTATTGTGGCACTATTCACAATAGCAAGACTTGGAACCAACCCAAATGTCCAACAATGATAGACTGGATTAAAAAAATGTGGCACATATAAACCATGGAATACTCTGCAGCCATAAAAAATGATGAGTTCATGTCCTTTGTAGGGACATAGATTAAGCTGGAAACCATCATTCTCAGCAAACTATCACAAAGACAAAAAACCCAACACCGCATGTTCTCACTCATAGGTGGGAATTGAACAATGAGAACACATGGACTTTCTAGTTTTCATCTGAAGATATTTCCTTTTTCAAAATTGGCCTCAATGCACTGCGAAATATCTCTTCAGAGATTCTACAAAAACAGTGGTTCCATACTGCTCAATCAAAAGAAAGGTTTAACTCGGTGAGATGAATGCACAATTCACAAAGCAGTTTCTGAGAAAGTTACTTTCTAGTTTTTATCTGAAGATATTTCCTTTTACACCATAGGCCTCAATATGCTCCCTAATATCCCTTCTCAGATGCTACCAAAACTGTGTTTCCAAACTGCTCAATCCAAAGAAAAGTTTATCTCTGTGAGATGAATGCACACATCAGAAAGCAGTTTCTCAGAAAACTTCTTTCTTGTTTGTACCTGAAGATATATCCATTTTCAACATAGGCCTCAATAAGCTCCCTAATATGCCTTCTCAGATTCTGCCAAAACAGTGTTTCCAAACTGTTCCATCCAAAGAAAAGTTTAACCCTATGAGATGAAGACACACATCACAAAGCAGTTTCTCAGAAACCTTTTCAAGTTTGCATCTGAAGACATGTCCTTTTTCACAATAAGCCTCAAAGCCCTCCCTAATATTACTTTGCAGATTCTACAGAATCAGTGTTTCCAAACTGCTCCATCAAAAGAAAGGTTTAACTCTGTGAGATGAAGGAACACATCACAGAGCAGTGTCTCTGAATGTTTCTTTCTACTTTTTCTGTGAAGTTAATTTCTTTTTCACCATAGGCCTGAATGCACTCCCAAAAATCCTGTTACAGATTCTACAAAATTGAGTGTTTCCAAACTTCTCAATCAAAAGAAAGTTTACCTCTGTGAGATGAATGCACACAACACAAAGCAGTGTTTCAGAAAGCTTCTTTCTAGTTTTTATGTGAAGATATTTCCTTTTTGACCATAAGGGTCAAAGGGTTCCCAAACATCACTTTACAGTTTCTACAAAAGCAATCTTTCCAAACTGCTCAATCAAAAGGTAGCTTTAACTCTGTGAGATAAATGCACACATCACACATCACAAAGCAGTTTCTCAGAAAGATTTCTGCTAGTTTGTATCTGAAAATATAACCTTTTTCACCAAGTTTATCTCTGTGAGATGAATCCACACATCCAAAAGCAGTTGGTCAGAAAGCGTCTTTCTGGTTTGTATCTGAAGATATATCCTTTTTCACCATAGGCCTCAAAGCACTCCCTAATATCACTTCACAGTTTCTATGAAAAAAGAGTTTCCAAACTGCTCAATCCAAAGAAAGGTTTATCTCTATGACATGAATGTACACACCTCAAAGCAGTGTCTCAGTATGTTTCTTTCTAGTTTTTATGTGAAGATATTTCATTTTTCACCCAAAGACTGGATGGGCTCCCCAGTATCCCTTGGCAGATTCTACAAAAGCAGTCTTTCCAAACTGCTAAATCCAAAGTAAGGTTTAACTCTGCGAGATGAATGCACACATCATAAAGCAGTTTCTCAGAAGGTTTCTTTCTAGTTTGTATCTGAAGATATTTCCTTTATCACCATAGACCTCAAGGCTTTCCCAAATATACCTTTGTGGACTCTACAAAAGCAGTGTTTGCAAACTGCTCTATCAAAAGAAAGGTTTAACTCTATGAGTTGAATGCACACATTACAAAGCCGTCTCACAGAAACCTTCTTTCTAGTTTGTATCTGAAGATATTTCCTTTTCAAAATAGGCCACAATGGGCTCCCAAATATCACTTTGTATATTCGACAAAAACAGTGTTTCCAAACTGTTCAAACAAAAGAAAGGTTTAACTCTGTGAGATGAATGTACAATTCACAAAGCAGTTTCTGAGAAACTTATTTTCTAGTTTCTATCTGAAGATATTTGCTTTCTCACCATTGGCCTCAAAGTGCTCCAAAATATCTCTTTGGAGATTCTACAAAAACAGTGGTTCCAAACTGCTCAATCAAAAGAAAGGTTTAACTCTGTGAGATGAATGCACAATTCACAGAGCAGTTTCTGAGAAAGTTACTTTCTCATTTTTATCTGAAGATATGTCCTTTATCACCATATGCCTCAAGGCTTTCCCAAATATACATTTGCAGATTATATAAAAGCAGTGCTTGTAAACTGCTCTATCAAAAGAATGGTTAATTCTATGACGTGAATGTACACATCACAAAGCAGTTTCTCAGAAAGGCCCTTTCTAGTTTGTATCTGAAGATATTTCCCTTTTAACCATAGGCCTCAATGGGCTCCCAAATATCACTTCGTAGTTTCTATAAAAGCAGTGTTTCCAAACTGCTCAAACAAAAGAAAGTTTTAACCCTGTTAGATGAATGCACAGTTCACAAAGCAGCTTCTAAGAAAGTTACTTTCTAGTTTTTATATGAAGATATTTCCTTTTCACCATTGGCCTCAAAGTGCTCTGAAATATCTCCTCAGAGATTCTACAAAAACAGTGGTTATAAAATGTTCAATCAAAAGAAAAGTTTAACTCTGTGAGATGAATGCACCATTCACAAAGCAGTTTCTGTGAAAGGTGCTTTCTAGTTTTTATCTGAAGATATTTCCTTTATCACCATAGGCCTCAAGGCTTTCCAAAATATGCCTTTGCAGATTCTACAAATGCAGTGCTTGCAATCTGCTCTATCAAAAGAAAAGTTTAACTCTATGAGATGAATGTACACATCACAAAGCAGTTTCTCAGAAAATCCCCTTCTAGTTTGTATCTGTAGATATTTCCCTTTTCACCATAGGCCTCAATGGGCTCCCAAATATCACTTTGTAGATTCTACAAAAACAGTGTTTCCAAACTGCTCAAACAAAAGAAAAGTTTTACTCTGCCAGATGAATGGACACATCACAAAGCAGTTTCTCAGAAAGTTTCTTTCTACTTTGTATCTGAAGGTATTTCCTTTATCATCATAAGCCTCAAGTCTTTCCCAAACACACCTTTGGAGATTCTACAAAAGCAGTGTTTGCAAACTGCTGTATCAAAAGGTATGTTTAACTCTATGAGGTGAATGTACCCATCACAAAGCAGTTTCTCGGAAAGTCCCTTTCTAGTTTGTATCTGAAGATATTTCCCTTTTCACCATAGGCCTCAGTGGGCTCCCAAATATCACTTCATAGATTCTACAAAAACAGTGGTTCCAAACTGCTCAATCAAAAGAAAGGTTTACCTCTGTGAGATGAATGCACAATTCACAAAGCAGTTTCTGAGAACGTTACTTTCTAGTTTTTGTCTGATGATATTTCCTTTTTCACCATAGGCCTCAATGCACTCTGAAATATCTCTTCGGACATTCTACAAAATCAGTAGTTCTTTTTTGCTCAATCAAAAGAAAGGTTTAACTCTGTTAGATGTATGCACAGCTCACAAAGGAGTTTCTGAGAAAGTTACTTTCTAGTTTTTGTCTGATGATATTTCCTTTTTCACCATAGGCCTCAATGCACTCTGAAATATCTCTTTGGACATTCTACAAAATCAGTGGTTCTTTTCTGCTCAATCAAAAGAAAGGTTTAACTCTGTTAGATGAATGCACAGCTCACAAAGCAGTTTCTGAGAAAGTTACTTCTAGTTTTTATCTGAAGATATTTCCTTTATCACCACGTGCCTCAAGGCTTTGCCAAATATACCTTCACAGATTCTACAAAAACGGTGCTTGCAAACTGCTCTATCAAAGGAAAGTTTTAACTTATGAGATAAACGTACACATAACAAAGCAGTTTCTCAGAAACCCCCTTTCTAGTTTGTATCTGAAGATATTTCACTTTTCACCATAGACCTCAATGGGCTCCCAAATATGACTTCGAAGATTCTACAAAACCAGTGTTTCCAAACTGCTCAAACAAAAGAAAGGTTTAACTCTGTGAGATGAATGCCCAATTCACAAAGCAGTTGCTGAGAAAGTTACTTTCTAGTTTTTATTTGAAGATATTCCCTTTTTCACCATTGGCTTCAATGTGCTCTGAAATACCTCTTCAGAGAATCTACAAAAAGAGTAGTTCCAAACTTCTCAATCAAAAGAAAGGTTTAATTCTGTGAGATGAATGCACAAATCAAAAAGAAGTTTCTGAGGAAGTTACTTTCTGGTTTTTATGTGAAGATATTTCCTTTATCACCTTAGGCCTCAAGGCTTTCCCAAATATAACTTCACAGATTCTACAAAAACAGTGCTTGCAAACTGCTCTATCAAAAGAAATGTTTAAATCTATGTGATGAATGTACACATTCCAGAGCAGTTTCTCAGAAAGTCCCTTTCTAGTTTGTATCTGAAGATACTTCCCTTTTCACCATAGGCCTCAATAGGCTCCAAAATATCCCTTCACAGATTCTTCAAAAAAAATCATTTCCAAACTGCTCAAACAAAAGAACAGTTTAACTCGGTGAGATGAATGCCCCATCCCTTCTAAGATGATACCAAAACAGTGTTTCCAAACTGCTCAATCAAAAAAAGGTTTAACTGTATGAGACAAAGGTACACGTCAGAAAGCAGTTTCCCACAAACCTTTCAAATTTGTATCTGAAGATATGTCCTTTTTCACAATAGGCCTCAAAATGCTCTATAATATTACTTTGCAGATTCTACAGTGTTTCCAAACTGCTCCAACAACAGAAAGGTTCAACTCTGTGAGATGAATGAACACATCTCAAAGCTGTGTATCTGAATGTTTCCTTCTAGTTTTTCTGTGAAGATGTTTCCTTTTTAACCATAGGCCTGAATGCAATACCAATAATCCTATTACAGTTTCCACAAAATTGAGTGTTTCCAAACTTTTCAATCAAAAGAAAATTTTAACTCTGTGAGATGAATGCACATATCACAAAGCAGTTTCTCAGAAAGCTTCTTTCTAGTTTTTATATGAAGATATTTCCTTTTTGACCTTAAGGGTCAAAGGGCTCCCAAATATCCCTTTGCAGATTCTACAAAAACAATCTTTCCAAACTGCTCAATCAAAAGAAAGTTTTAACTCTGTGAGATGAATGCACACATCATAATGCAGTTTCACAGAAAGATTTCTTCTAATCTGTATTGAAGATATAACTTTTTCACCAAAGGCCTCATTGGGCCCAAAAATATCCTTTTCAGATTCTATAAAAACAGCCTTTCCAAACTCCTCCATCAAAAGAACGTTTAATCTCTGTGAGATGAATCCACACATCTAAAAGCCATTCCTCACAAAGCGTCTTTCCAATTTGTATCTGAAGATATTTCCTTTCTCACCATAGGCCTCAAAGCACTCCCTAATATCACCTTGCAGTTTCTACAAAAACAGACTTTCTAAACTGCTCAATCCAAAGAAAGGTTTATCTCTATGAGATGTATGTATACATCTCAAAGCAGTGTCTCAGAATGTTTCTTTCTAGTTTTTATGTGAAGATATTTCATTTTTCACCCTGACTGAATGGGCTCCCCAATATCCCTTGGCAGATTCTACCAAAACAGTCTTTGCAAACTGCTGAATTCAAGGAAAGGTTTAACTCAGCGAGATGAATGCACACATCACAAAGCAGTTTCTCAGAAAGTCTCTTTCTAGTTTGGATCTGAAGGTATTTCCCTTTCACCATAAGCCTCAATGGGCTCCCAAATATTACTTTGTAGATTCTACAAAAACAATGTTTCCAAACTGCTCAAACAAAAGAAAAGTTTAACTCTGTGAGACGAATGCACAATTCACAAAGCGGTTTCTGAGAAAATTACTTCCTACTTTTTATCTGAAGATATTTCCTTTTTCACCATTGGCCTCAATGCACTTAGAAATATCTCTTCAGAGATTCCACAAAAACAGTGATCCCATACTACTCAAACAAAAGAAAGGTTTAACTTTGTGAGATGAATGCACAATTCACAAAGTAGTTTCTAAGAAAAGTACTTACTATTTTTTATCTGAAGTTATTTCCTTCATCACCATAGACATCAAGGCTTTCCCAAGTATACCATCACAGATTCTACAAAAGCCGTGCTTGCAAACTGCTCTATCAAAGGAAAGGCTTACCTCTATGAGATGAATGTACACATCACAAAGCAGTTTCTCAGAAATTCTCTTTCCAGTTTGTACCTGAAGATATTTCTCTTTTCGCCATAAACCTCAATGGGATCCCAAATATCACTTCGTAGATTTGACAGAAACAGTGTTTCCAAGCTGCTCCAACGAAAGAAAAGTTTAACTCTGTGAGATGAATGCACAATTCACAAAGCAGTTTCTGATTAAGTTACTTTCTAGTTTTTATCTGAAGATATTTCATGTTTCACCATTGGCCTCAGTGCGCTCTGAAATATCTCTTCGGAGATTCTACAAAAACAGTGGTTCCAAACTGCTGAATCAAAAGAAAAGTTTAACTCCGTGTGATGAATGCACAATTCACAAGGCAGTTTCTGAGAATGTTACTTTCTAGTTTTTATCTGAATATATTTCATTTATCACCAATGGCCTCAAGGCTTTCTGAAATATACCTTCACAGATTCTTCAAAAGCAGTGCTGGCAAACTGCTCTATCAAAAGAAAGGTTTAACTCTATGACATGAATGTACACATCACAAAGCAGTTTCTCAGAAAGTCCCTTTCTAGTTTTTATCTGAAGATATTTGCCTTTTCACCTTAGGCCTTAATGGGCCCTGAAATATCACTTCATAGATTCTACAAAAACAGTGGTTCCAAACTGCTCAATGAAGATAAAGGTGTAACTCTGTGAGATGAATTCACAATTCACAAAGCAGTTTCTGAAAATGTTACTTTCTAGTTTTTATCTGAAGATATTTCCTTTTTTGCCATAGGCCTCATTATGTTCCCTAATATACCTTGTCAGATTCAACCAAAACAGTGTTTCCCAACTGCTCAATCAAAAGAAAGTTATAACCCTGTGTAATGAATGCACACATCAGAAAGCAGTTTCTCAGAAAACTTCTTTCTAGTTTGTACCTGAAGTTTTATCCATTTTCAATGTAAGCCTCAGTACGCTCCCTAATGTCCCTTCTCAGATACTGCCAAAACAGTGTTTCCAAACTGTTCAATCCAAAGAAAGGTTTAACTCTCTTTGACAAATGCACACTTCAGAAAGCAGTTTCTCAGAAACCTTCTTTCAAGTTTGTATCTGAAGATATGTCCTTTTTTACAGGGGGACTTAAAGCGTTTCTTAATATTACTTCACAGATTCTTCAGAAACAGTGTTTCCAAACTGCTCAATTAAAAGAAATGTGTAACTCTGTGAGATGAATGAATACATCTCAAAGCAGTGTCTCTGAATCTTTCTTTGTAGTTTTTATGTCAAGATATTTCCTTTTTACCATAGGCCTGAAGGCACTCCTGAAAATCCCATTACATATTCTTCAAAATTGAGTGTTTCCAAACTTCTCAATCAAAAGAAAGGTTTAACTCTGTGAGATGAATGTTAACACCACAAAGGAGTTTCTCAGAAAGCTTCTTTCTAGTTTTTATATGAAGATATTTCCTTTTTGACCAAAAGGGTCAAAGGGCTCCCAAATATCCCTTTGCAGATTCTACAAAAACAGTCTTTCCAAACTGCGCAATCAAAAGAAAGCTTTAACTCTGTGAGATGAATGCACACGTCATAAAGCAGTTTCTCTGAAAGATTTCTTCTAGTTTGTATCTGAAGATATAATCTTTTCCACTAAAGGCCACATTGGGCTCACCCATATCCCTTTTCAGATTCTACAGAAACAGCCTTTTCAAACTCCTCCATCAAAACAAAGGTTTAACTCTGTGAGATGCATGCACACATTCAAAACTAGTTTCTCTGAAAGCATCTTTCCAGTTTGTATCTGAAGATATTTCCTTTTTCACCATAGGCCTCAATGCACTCCCTAATATCACTTCGTAGATTCTACAAAAACAGAGTTTTCAAACTGCTCCATCCAAAGAAAGGTTTATCTCTGTGAGTTGAATGCACACATCTCAAAGCAGTGTCTCAGAATGTTTCTTTCTAGATTTTATGTGAAGATATTTCATTTTTCACCCTAAGACTTAATGGGCTCCCAAATATCCCTTGGCAGATTCTACAAAAGCATTCTTTCTAAACTGCTGAACCCAAAGAAAGGTTTAACTCTGTGAGATAAATGCACACATCACAAAGCAGTTTCTCACAAAGTTTCTTTCTAGTTTGTAACTGAAGATATTTCCTTTATCACCACAGGCCTCAAGGCTTTCCCAAATATACTTTCACAGATTCTACAAAAGCAGTGTTTGCAAACTGCCTTATCAAAAGAAAGTTTAACTCTGTGAGATGAATGCACACATCACAAAGCAGTTTCTCAGGAAGACGTCTTCTAGTTTGTATCTGAAGTTATGAACTTTTTTACCAAAGCCTCATTGAGCTCACAAATATCCCTTTTCAGATTCTACAAAAACAGCCTTTCCAAACTCTTCCATCAAAACAAAAGTTTAACTCTGTGAGATGCATGCACACATTCAAAAGCAGTTTCTCAGAAAGCATTTTTCCAGTTTGTATCTGAAAGTATTTCCTTTTTCATCATAGGCTTCAAAGTGCTCCCTAATATCACTTCACAGATTCTACAAAAACAGAGTGTCCAAACTGCTCCATCCAACGATTGCATTATCTCTGTGATTTGAATGCACACATCTCAAAGCAGTGTCTCTGAATGTTTCTTTCTAGTTTTTATGTGAAGATATTTCATTTTTTTACCCTAAGACTCAATGGGCTCTCACATATCCCTTGGCAGATTCTACAAAAGCATTCTTTCCAAACTACTCAACCCAAAGAAACGTTTAACTCTGCAAGATGAATGCACACATCACAAAGCAGTTTCTGAGGAAGTTACTTTCTAGTTTTTATGTGAAATATTTCCTTTATCACCATAGGCCTCAAGGCTTTCCCAAATACACCTTCACAGATTCTTCAAAAGCAGTGTTTGAAATCTGTGCTATCAAAAAAGGTTTAACTCTATGGGACGTATGTATACATCACAAAGTAGTTTCTCAGAAAGTCCCATTCTCGTTTGTATCTGAAGATATTTCCCTTTTCACCATAGGCCTCAATGGGCTCCCAAATATCACTTCATAGATTCTACAAAAACAGTGTTTCCAAACTGCTCAAACAAAAAAAGTGTAACTCTCTGAGATGAATTCAAAATTCACAAAGCAGTTGCTGAAAAAGATACTTTCTAGTTTTTATCTGAAGATATTTCCTTTTTCACCATTGGCCTCAATGCACTCAGAAATATCACTTCGGAGATTCTTCAAAAACAGTGGTTCCAAACTGCTCTATCAAAAGAAAGGTTTAACTCTGTGGGATGAATGCACAATTCACAGAGCAGTTTCTGAGAAAGTTACTTTCCAGTTTTTATCTGAAGATATTTCCTTTATCACCATAGGCCTCAAGGCTTTCCCAAATATACCTTCGCAGATTCTACAAAAGCAGTGTTTGCAAACTGCTCTATCAAAAGAAAGGTTTTAACTCAATGACATGAATGTACAAATCACAACGCAGTTTCTCAGAAAGTCCCTTTCTAGTTTTTATCTGAAGATATTTCCCTTTTCACCGTAGGCCTCAATGGGCTCCCAAATATCACTTTGTAGATTCTACAAAAACAGTGTTTCCAAACTGCTCAATCAAAAGGAAGATTTAACTCTGTGAGATGAATGCACAATTCACAAAGCAGTTTCTGAGAACGTTACTCTCTAGTTTGTATTTAAAATATATGTATAAAAATATTTTTTCTTTTTCACCAAAGGTCTCAATACGCTCCCTAATATCTGTTCTGAGATTCAAGCAAAACTGATAAATCAAAAGACAGGTATAACTCTGTGTAATGAATGTACACATCAGAAAGCAGTTTTTTAGAAAACTTCTTTGTAGTGTGTACCTGAAGATATATCCATTTCCAACATAGGCCTCAATACGCTCCCTAATATCCCTTCTCTGATTCTGCCAAAACAGTGTTACCAATCTGTTCAATCAAAAGAAAGGTTTAACTCCATGAGATGAAGGCACACTTCACAAAGCAGTTCCTCAGAAACCTTCTTTCAAGTTTTTATCTGAAGATAAGTCCTTTATCACAATAGGCCTCAAAATGCTCCCTAATATTACTTCATAGATTCCTCAGAAACAGTGTGTCCAAACTGCTCAAACAACAGAAAGGTTTAACTTTGTGAGATGAATGAACACATCTCAAAGAAGTGTCTCTGAATGTTTCTTTCTAGTCTTTCTGTGAAGATATTTCCTTTTTCAACATAGGTCTGAATGCACTCCCAAAAACCCCTTTACAGATTCTACAAAATTGAGTGTTTCTAAACTTCTCAAAGAAAAGAAAGGTTTAACTCTGTGAGATGAATGCACACATCACAAAGCAGTTTCTCAGAAAGCTTCTTTCTCGTTTTTATATGAAGATATTTCCTTTTTGACCATAAGGGTCAAAGGGCTCCCAAATATTCCTTTGCAGATTCTACAAAAACAGTCTTTCCAAACAGCTCAATCAAAAGAAAGCTTCAACTCTGTAAGATGAATGCACACATCACAAAGCAGTTTCTCAAAAAGCTTCTTTATAGGTTTTATCTGAATACATTTCTATTTTCACCATAGGCTTCATAGCGCTCCCAAATATCCCTTTGCAGATTCTACAAAACCATTGTTTCAAAACTGCTCAATAAAAAGAAACGTTTACCTCTGTGAGATGAATGCACACATCACAGAGCAGTTTCTCAGAATGTTTCTAAGTCTTCCCTGAAGATACTTCCTTTTCCACCATAGGCCTCAAGTTGCTCCCAAATATCCTTTTGTAGATTCTACAAAAACAGTGTTTCCAAACTGTTCCATCAAAAGAAGGACTTGTCTCTTTGAGATGAATGCACACATCAGAAATCAGTTTCTCATAACGCTTCTTTCCAGTTTTTATCTGAAGATATTTCCTTGTTCACCACTGGCCTTTTTGCGGTACCTAACATCACTTCACAGATTATACAAAAACAGGATTTCCCAACTGCTCAGGCAAAACAAAAGTTTAACTCTGTGGGATGAATGCATACATCACAAAAGAGTTTCTCAACAAGCTTCTTTCCAGTTTTTATCTGAAGATATTTACATTTTCACCATAGGCATCAGTGCCCTCCCAAATATCCCTTTGCAGATTCTAGAAAAACAGTGTTTCCGTACTGCTAAATCAAAAGAAAAGTTTAACTCTGTGAGAAGATTGCACACATTTCAATGTGGTTTCTCTACAAGTTTCTTTTCAGTTTTTATCAGAAGTTATTTCCTTTTCCACCACAGGCCTCATGAGCTTCCACATATCTCTTCCGGATTCTACAAAAAACAGTGTTTCCAAACTGCTCAATCAAAAAAGAGGTTTAACTCTGTGACTTTAATGCACACATCACAAAGCAGTTTCTCAAAAAGCTTCTTTCAAGTTTTTATCCGAAGATACATCCTTTTTCACCACAGGCCTCAGTGCGCTCCCAAATATACATTTACAGATTCTACAAAAACAGCATTTCCAAACTGCTCAATGAAAAAAAAGTTTTAACTCTGTGAGATGAATGCACACATCACAAAGCAGTTTCTCAGATAGCTTCTGTATAGTACTTCTCTGAAGATATTTCCTTTTCCAACCTAGGCCTGAATGCACTCCCAAATATCCCTTCGCAGATTCTATAAAAAGTGTTTCCCAACTGTTCCTTCAAAAGAAGGATTTAACTATGTGAGGTGAATGCACATATCAGAAAGCAGTTTCTCATAACGCTTCTTTACGGTTTTTAAATGAATATATTTTCTTGTTCACTATAGGGCTTTTTGTGCTACAAAACATCGCTTTGCAGATTATACTAAAACAGTGTTTCCAAACTGCTCAGTCAAAAAAATGTTTAACTCTGTGAGATGAATGCACACATCACAAAGCAGTTTCTCAGAAAGCTTCTGACTAGTTCTCTGTAGATAATTTCTTTTCCACCATAGGACTCAAGGCACTCCAAAATATCCCTTCACAGATTCCACAAAAACAGTGTTTCCAAGATGTTCCATCAAAAGAAAGAAACTCTGTGAGAACACACACATCAGAAAGCAGTTTCTCATAACGATTCCTTCCAGTTTTTATCTGAAGTTATTTATTTCCTTGTTCAATATAGGCCTTTTTGCACTACCTAACATTGCATTGCAGATTATACAAAAACAGTGTTTTCAAACTGTTCAGTGAAAAGAAATTTTTAACTATGTCAGATGAATGTATACATCATAAACAGTTTCTCAGAAAACTTCTTTCTAGTTATCTGAAGATATTTCCTTTTTCACCATAGGCATCAGTGCACTCTGAAATATCCATTTGCAGATTCTAAAAACCAGTGTTTCCAAACTGCTCCATCAAGAGAAATGTTTAACTCTCTGTGAAGATTGCACACCTCACCAAGTGACTTCTCTGAAAGATTCTTTCCAATATTTATCTGAAGATATTTCCTTTTTCAATGTAGGCTTTTTTTGTGCTACCTAATATTTCTTCACAGATATTGCAAAAACAGCACTTCCAACTGCTCAGTCAAAAGAGTGTTTTATGTGAGATGAATGTATACATCACAAAGCAGTTTCTCAAAAATCTTCTTTCTAGTTTTTATCCAAAGGTATTTCCTTTTCACCATAGGCTTCAATGCTCTACAAAATGTCCCATCACAGATTCTACAAAAACATGTTTCAAAACTGTTCCAATAAAAGGACTTAACTCTGTGAGATGAATGCACACATCAGAAAGCAGTTTCTCATATCGCTTCTTTCCAGTTTTTATCTGAAGATATTTCCTTGTTCACCATAGGCTTTTTTCCAATACCAAAGATCTCTTGGCAGATTTTGCAAAAACAGTGTTTCCAAACTGCTCAGTCAAAAGAAAGTTTAACTCTGTGAGACGAATGCACACATCACAAAGCAGTTTCTCAAAAAGCTTCTTTCCAGTTTTTGTCCAAAAAGTATTTCCTTTATCACCACAGGCTTCAGTGCACTCCCAAATATCCCATCACACATGCTACAAAAACCTTGTTTCCAAACTGCTCAATCAAAAACAGGTTTAACACTGTGAGTTGAAAGCACACATCATAAAGCAGTTTCTCAAAAACATTCTTTCTAGTTTTTATCCAAAGATATATCCTTTTTCACCTTAGGCTTCTATGCACTGTCAAATATCCCTTCGCAGATTCCACAAAAACAGTGTTTCCAAACTGCTCAATCAAAAGAAACGTTACTCTGTGAGATAAATGTGCACATCACAAAGTATTTTATCAGAAAGCTTCCATTTATTTTGTCTCTGAAGATATTTCCTTTTGCACCATAGACCTCAAGGCACTCCCAAATATCCCTTCACAGATTCTAGAAAGCAGTGTTTCCAAACTGTCCAATCATAAACAGGTTTAACTCTGTGAGTTGAACATGCACATCACAAAGCAGTTTTTCAGATAGGTTCTGTTTAGTTCTTCCCTGAAAATATTTCATTTTCCACCATAGGCCTCAATGCACTCCCAAATAACCCTTCACAGATTCTGCCAAAAGGGTGTTTCCAAACAGCTCCATCAAAGGAAATTTTTAACACTGTAAAATGAATGCAAACATCACAAATCAGTGCTACAGAAAGCTTCTTTCCAGTTCTTTTCTGAAGATATTAACTCTTTCACCATAAGTCTCTATGCACTACCTATTATCACTTTGCAGATTATACAAAAACAGTGTTTCCAAACTGCTCAGTCAAAAGAAAGGTTTAACTCTGTGTGATGACTGCAAACATCACAAATCAGTTTCTCAAAAAGCTTCTTTCTAGTTTTTATCCGAATATATTTCCTTTTTCATCATAGGTTTCAATGTGCTCCCAAATATCCCATTGCAGATTCTCTAAAAACTTTGTTTCCAAACGGCTCAAAAAAACACTTTTAACTCTGTGAATGGAACGCACACATCATTAAACAGTTTCTCAGAAAGTTTCTTTCTAGTTTTTATCCGAAAATAGTTCCTTTTTCACCATAGGCCTCAGTGTGCTTCCAAATATACCTTTGCAGATTATCTGAATCAGTGTTTCCAAATTCCTCAATCAAAAAGGAAGGTTTAAGTCTGTGAGATGAATATACACATCACAAAACAGTTTCTCATATACCTTCTGTCTAGTTCTTCTGTGAAGACATTTTCTTTTTCACCATAGGCCTCAATGTGCTCCCATATATCCATTCACAGATTCTACAAAAACAGTGTTTCCAAACTGTTCCATCAAAAGGACTTACCTCTCTTAGATGAAGGCACACATCAGAAAGCAGTGTCTCATAGTGCTGCTTTCCAGTTTTTATCTGAAGACAATTACTTTATCACCATAGGCTTCAATGTGCTCCCAAATATCCCATCACAGATTCTACAAAAAGAGTGTTTCCAAACTGCTCAGTCAAAAAAGAGGTTTAACTCTGCGAGTTGAATGCACACATCTCAAAGCAGTTTCTCAAAAAGCTTCTTTCTACTTTAAAAAGAGTATTTCCAAACCGCTCAGTCAAAAAAGAGGTTTAACTCTGTGAGTTGAATGCACACATCTCAAAGCAGTTTCTCAAAAAGCTTCTTTCTACTTTTTATCCGAAGATATTTCCTTTTTCACCATAGGCCTCTATACGCTCCCAAATGTACCTTTGCATATTCTACAAAAATAGTGTTTACAAACTGCTCTATCAAAAGATTGGTTTAACTCTGTGAGATGAATGCACACATCACAAAGCAGTTTCTAATATAGCTTCTGTCAAGTTCTCTGAAGATATTTCCTTTTCCACCGTAGGCCTCAATGTGCTCCCAAATATACCTTTCAGATTCCACAAAATCAGTGTTTCCAAACTGCTCATTCAAAGGTTTAACCGTGTGACAGGAATAAACACATCACAAAGCAGTTTGTCAGAAAGCTTCTCTCTAGTTTTCATCAGAACATATTTCATTTTTCAACATAGGCTTCAATGTGCTGAAAAGTATCCCTGTTCTCAAAAATAACCCTTCACAGATTCTATAAAAACAGTGTTTCCAAACCTCTCAATCAAAAGAAATGCTTAACTCAGTGAGGTAAGTGAACACATCACAAAGAAGTTTCTCAGAAAGCTTCTTTCTAGTTTTTATCAGAAGATATTTCCTTTTCCACCAAAGGCCTCAATGTGCTCCCAAATATCCCTTCACAGATTCTATAAAAACAGTGTTTCTGAACTGTCCCATCAAAACAAGGGTTTAATTCTGTGAGATGAATGTGCACATCAGAAAGCAGTTTCTCATAATGCTTCTTTCCAGTTTTTATCTGAAGTTATTTCCTTGTTCACTACAGGCCTTTTTAGGCTACAAAACATTGCTTCACAGATTATACAAAGCAGTGCTTCCAAACTGCACTGTCAAAAGAAAAGTTTAACTATGTGAGATGAATGCAGACATCACAGAGAAATTTCTCAAAAGACTTCTTTCTAGTTTTTATCCAAAGATATGTCCTTTTTCACCATAGGAATCAGTTCGCTCCCAAATATCCCATTTCATATCCTACAAAAACAGTGTTTCCAAACTGATCAGTCAAAAGAGATGTTTAACTCTGTGAGAAGAATAGACACATCACAAAGTGATCTCTCAGAAAGCTTCTTTCTAGTTTTTATCTGAAGTTATTTCCTTTTTCACCATAGGCCTCATGCACTCCCAAATATCCCTTCACAGATTCTACAAAAACAGTGTTTCCAAACTGATCAGTCAAAAGAAAGCCTTAACTCAGTGAGACGAATGCACACATCACAAAGTAGTTTCTCAAAAAGCTTCTTTCTCGTTTTTATCTGAAGATATTTCCTTTATTACCATAGGCTTCAATGTGCTCCCAAATATCCCTTTGCAGACTCTGCAAAAACAGCCTTTACCAACTGCTCAAAAAAACAGGTTTAACTCTGTGAGTTTAAGACACTTCATACAGCAGTTTCTCAAAAAGCTTCTCTCTAGTTTTTTTCTGAAGTAATTTCTTTTTTTCACCATAGGCCTCAATGTGCTCCAAAATAACCCTTTGCAGATTCTACAAAAACAGTGTTTCCAAACTGCTCAATCAAAGGAAGGTTTAACTCTGTTTGATGAATGCACATGTCACAAAGCATTTTTCAGATAGTTTCTCTCTAGTTCTTCTTTGAAGATATTTCATTTTCCACCATAGGCCTCAATGCACTCCCAAATATCCCTTTGCAGATTCTGTAAAAACTGTTTCCAAACTGTTCCACCTAAGGAAGGGTTTAATCCTGTGAGATGAACACACACATCAGAAATCCATTTCTCATAACTCTTCTTTCTAGTTTTTATCTGAAGATAATTCCTTTATCATCATAGGTTTCAAAGCGCTCCCAAATATCCCATCGCAGATTCTACAAAAACAGTGTTTCCAAACTGCACTGTCAAAAAAGAGGTTTAACTCTGTGAGTTGAATGCACATATCACAAAGCAGTTTCTCAAAAAGCTTCTTTCTACTTTTTATCTGAAGATATTACCTTTTTCACCATAGGCCTCTGTGCTCTCCCAAGTATCCCTTTGAAGCTTGTGCAAAAACAGTGTTTCCAAGCTACTCAATCAAAAGAATTCTTTAACTCTGTGAAATGAATGCATGCATCACAAAGCAGTTTCTCAGATAGTTTTTGTCAAGTTCTTCTCTGAAGATATTTCCTTATCCAACATAGGCCTCAATGTGCTCCCACATATTCCTTTGCAGATTCTACAAAAACAATGTTTCCAAACTGCTCAGTCAAAGGTTTAACTGTGTGACAAGAATGAACACATCACAAAGAAGTTTCTCAGAAATCTCCTTTCTCGTTTTTATTGGAAGATATTTCCTTTTTAAACCTAAGCCTCAATGCGCTCAAAAGTTTCCCTGTGCTCACAAGTATCCCTTCACAGATTCTACAAAAACAATGTTTCTAAACTTCTCAATCAAAAGAAAGGCTTAACACAGTGAGGTGAGAGAACACATCACAAAGCAGTTTCTCAGAATGCTTCTTTTTGGTTTTTATCAAATGATATTTCATTTTCCACCATAGGCCTCAATGCGCTCCCAAATATCCCTTCACAGATTCTATGAAAACAGTGTTTCCAAAGTGTTCCATTAAAAGAAGTGTTCAATTCCATAAGATGAACTCACACATCAGTAAGCAGTTTCTAATAACGTTTCCTTCCAGTTTTTATCTGAAGTTATTTCCTTGTTCACTATAGGCTTTTTATGCTACCTAACATCACTTCATGGATTGTACAAAAAAAGTGTTTCCAAACTGCACAGTCAAAAGAAAAGTTTAACTCTGTGATTTGAATGCAGACTTCACAAAGCAGTTTCTCCAAAGGCTCCTTTCTAGTTTTTATCTGAAGATAAGTCCTTTTTCACCATAGGCATCAGTGCACTCCCAAATATCCCATTGCAGATACTACAAAAACAGTGTTTCCAAACTGATCATTCAAAAGAGACATTTTACACTGTGAGAAGAATGCACACATCTCAAAGCTGTATCTCAGGAAGCTTCTTTCTAGTTTTATCTGAAGTTAATTCTTTTTTCACCACAGGCCTCGTGCACTCCCATATATCCCTTCACTGATTCTACAAAAACAGTATTTCCAAACTGCTCAAACAAAAGAAAGTTTTAACTCTGTTGGCTGAATGCCCACATCACAAAGCAGTCTCTCAGAAAGCTTCTGTGTAGTTCTTCTCTGAAGATATTTCCTTTTCCACCATAGGCCTCAATGTGCTCCCGAATATCCCATCGCAGATTCTACAAAAACAGTGTTTCCAAACTGTTCCATCAAAAGAAGGACTTCACTCAGTGAGATGAATGCACATATCAGAAAGCAGTTTCTCAAAATGCTTTTTCCCAGTTTTTATCTGAAGATAATTTCTTTTTCACCATAGACTTTATTGCACTACATAATATCACTTCAGAGATTGTGCAAAAACAGTGTTTCCAAACTGCTCAGTCAAAGAAAAGTTTAAATCTGTGAGATGAATGCACACATCAAAAAGCAGTTTCTCAAAAAACATCCTTCTATTTCTTATCTGAAGATACTTCCTTTATCACCATAGGCGTCCATGCACTCCCAAATATACCATCGCAGATTCTAGAAAAACTGTGTATCAAAACTGCTCAATTAAAAAACAGGTTTAACTCTGTGAGTGGAACACACATATGACAAAGCAGTTTCTAAAAAAGCTACTTTCTGGTTTTTATCTGAAGATATTTCATTTTTCAGCATAGGCCTCAGTGCACTCTGAAATACACCTTTGCACATTCTAATAAAATGGTGTTTCCAATCTGCTAAATCAAAAGAAAGTTTTAACTCTGTGAGATGAATACACACATCACAAGGCAGTTTCTCATAACTCTTTTTTCCAGTTTTTATCTGAAGATATTTCCTTGTTCACCATAGGCCTTTTTGCGCTACATAACATCTCTTCTCAGATTATACAAAAACATGTTTCCAAACTGCTCAGTCAAAAGGAAAGTTTAACTCTGTGATGAACACACACGTCACAAAGCAGTTTCTCAGCTAGCTTCTGTCTAGTTCTTCTCTGAAGATCTTTCCTTTTCCAACATAGGCCTCAATGCACTCCAAAATATCACTTCACAGCTTCTATAAAAACAGTGTTTCTGAACGGTTAAATCAAAAGAAGGATTTAACTCTGTGAGATGAAAGCACACATTAGAAAGCAGTTTCTAATAATGCTTCTTTCCAGTTTTTATCTGAAATTATTTCCTTTTTCACCATAGGCTTTTTTGTGCTACCTGATATCACTTTGCAGATTTTGCAAAACATTGCTTCACACTTTATACAAAAACATTGTTTCCAATTTGCGGAGTCAAAAGAAAAGTTTAACTCTGTGAGATGAAAGTGCACATCACAAAGCAGTTTCTCAAAAAGCTTCTTTCTAGTTTTTATCCAAAGGTATTTCCTTTTTGACCGTAGACTTCGATGTACTCCCATATACCCCTTTGCAGACTCTACAAAAACAACGTTTCCAAACTGCCCAATCAAAAGAAAGGTTTAACTCAGTGAGATGAATGCGCACCCCACAAAACAGTTTCTCAGATAGTTTCTGTCTAGTTCTTCTATGAAGATTTTTCCTTTTCCACCATAAGCCTCAATGTGCCCCCAAATATCCTTTCACAGATTCTACAAAAACAGTATTTCCAAAGTGTTCCATCAAAAGAAGGACTTCACTCTGTGAGATGAACACACACATGAGAAAGCAGTTTCTCATAATGCTTCTTTCCAGTTTTTATGTGAATATATTTCCTTTTTCACCATAGGCTTTTATGCACTACCTAATATCACTTCACAGATTTTGCAAAAACAGTGTTTTCAAACTGCTGAATCCAAACAAAGGTTTAACTCTGTGAGACAAAGGTACACACCACAAAGCAGTTTCTCCAAAACTTCTGTCTAGTTTTTATCCAAAGATATTTCCTTCATCACCGTAGGCTTCAATGCACTCCCAAATATCCCATCACAGATTCTACAAAACATTCTTTCCAAACTGATCAATCAAAAATCATGTTTACCTCTGCGAGTTGAATGCACACATCACAAAGGAGTTTCCCAAAAGGATTCCTTTAGTTTTCATCCAAAGATATTACCTTTTTCACCATTGGACTCAGTGAGCTGCAAAATATACCTTTGCAGATTCTACAAAAACAGTGTTTCCAAACTGCTCAATCAAAAGAAATGTTTAACTCTGTGAGATGAATGCACACATCACAAAGCAATTTCTCACATAGTTTTTGTCTAGTAATTCTCTGAAGACATTTACTTTTCCACCATAACCCTCTGTGCACTCACAAATATCCCTTTGCAGATTCTATAAAAACAGCATTTCCAAACTGTTCCATCAAAAGAAGGATTTAACTCTGTGAGATGAATGCACACATCAGGAAGCAGTTCCTCATAGCACTTCTTTCCAGTTTTTATCTGAAGTTATTTCCTTTTTCAACAATGGCTTTTTTGCACTACAAAATATCGTATGACAGATTTTGCAAAAACAGGGCTTCCAAACTGCTCAGATAAAAGGAAGGTTTAACTCTGTGAGATGAATTCACACATCACAAATCAGTTTTTTAAAAGCTTCCTTCTAGTTTTTCTCCGAAGATATTTCCTTTATAACTGATGGCTTCAACATGCTCCAAAATATTCCATCACAGATTCTACAAAAACAGTGTTTCCACACAGCTCAATCAAACGAAAGGTTTAACTCTGTGAGATGAATGCACACATCACAAAGCAGTTTCTCAGAAAGCTTCTGTCTAGTTCTTCTCTGAAGTTATA
Organism: Homo sapiens; assembly: GCF_000001405.40. Lineage (NCBI taxonomy): Eukaryota > Metazoa > Chordata > Mammalia > Primates > Hominidae > Homo > Homo sapiens. Next base: position 62,663,171 of record NC_000007.14, read on the forward strand.
TCTTTTTCCACCATAGGCCCAAATGAGCTCCAAAATATCACTTCGCAGATTCTACAAAAACAGTGTTTCTCAACTGTTCCATCAAAAGAAGGATTTAACTCTGTGAGATAAATGCACACATCAGAAAGCAGTTTCTCATAACGCTTCTTTCCAGTTTTCATCTGAAGATATTTCTTTTTTCACCATAGGCCTTTTTGCACTACCATACATCACTTCACAGATTATGCAAAAACAGTGTTTCCAAACTGCTCTGTTAAAAGAAAGGTTTAACTCTGTGAGATGAATACACACATCACAAAGCAGTTTCTCAAAAAGCTTCTTTCTAGTTATTATCCAAATATATTTCCTTTTTCACCATAGGCTTCAATGTGCTCCTAAATATCCCTTCACAGATTCTACAAAAAGAGTGTTTCCAAACTATTCAGTCAAAAAAACCAGTTTTACTCTGTAATTGGAATGCACACAACACAAAGCAGTTTCTCAAAAAGCTTCTTTCTAATTTTTATCTGTAGATAGTTCATTTTTCACCATAGGCTTCAATGCATGCCAAAATATACCTTTGCAGATTCTACAAAAACAGTGTTTCCAAACTCCTCAATCAAAAGAAAGGTTTGACTCTCTGACATGAATGCACATATTACAAAGCAGTTTGTCAGAAAGCTTCTGTCTAGTTCTCTGAAGATATTTCCTTTTCCACCATAGGCCTCAAATCTCTCCCAAATATTCCTTTGCAAATTCTACAAAAGCAGTGTTTCCAAACTGTCCCATCAAAAGAAGACATAACTCTGTGAGATGAACGCACACATCACAAAGCAGTTTCTCAGATAGCTTCTGTCTAGTTCTAATCTGAAGATATTTCCTTTTCCACCTTAGGCCTCAATGCACTCTCAAATATCCCTTTGGAGAGTCTATAAAACCAGTGTTTCCTAACTGTTCCATCAAAAGAAGGCTGTAACACTGTGAGATGACTGCACACATAAGAAAACAGTTTCTGATAACTCTTGTTTCAGTTTTTATCTGAAGATATTTTCTTGTTCACCATAGGCCTTTTTGTGCTATCATCACTTCGCAGATTACACAAAAACAGTACTTCCAAACTACTCAGTCAAATAAAAGTTTAACTCTGCGAGAGGAATGCATACATCATAAAGCAGTTCTCAAAAAGCTTCTTTCTAGTTTTTATCTGAAGTTGTTTCCTTTTTCACCATAGGCTTCAAAGTGCTCCAAAATACCCATTCACTGATTCTACAAAAATGGTGTTTCCAAACTGCTAAATCAAAAGAAAAATTTAGCTCTGTGAAATGAATACATACATCACAAAGCAGTTTCTCATAACTCTTGTTTCCAGTTTTTTCCTGAAAATATTTCCTTGATTGCCATAGGCCTTTTTGGGCTACCTATCATTGCTTTGCACATTACAAAAAAACAGTGTTTCCAAACTGCTCAGTCAAAAGACAAGTTTAACTGTGTGAGATGAAAGCATACAGCACAAAGTAGTTTCTCAGAAAGCTTCTTTCTAGTTTTTATATGAAGATATTTCCTTTTACACCATAGGCCTCAATGCTCTCCCAATTATCCGTTACCAGATTCTACAAAAACAGTGTTTCTGAACCGTTCCATCAAAGGAAGGATTTAACTCTGTTAGATGAACAGACCCATCAGAAGGCAGTTTCTCATAAAGATTCATTCAATTTTTTATCTGAAGATATTTCCTTGTTTACCATAGGACTTTTTCACTACTTAATATCACTGCACAGATTTTACAAAAACAGTGTTTCCATACTATTCAGTCTAAAAAAAAGTTTAATGCTGTAAGACGATTGCACACATCACAAAGCAGTTTCTCAAAAAGCTTCTTTCAAATGTTTATCTGAAGATATTTCCTTTATCACCATAGGCTTCAATGCACTCCCAATATTCCATTACAGTTTCTACAAAATCAGTGTTTTCAAGCTGCTCAATCAAAAAACTGGTTTAAATCTGTGAGTTGAATGCACACATCTCACAGCAGTTTCTCAAAAAGTTCTTTCTAGTTTTTATCTGAAGATTTTCCTTTTTCACCATAGGATTCATGCACTCCCAAATATCTCTTCACAGATTCTACAAAAACAGTGTTTCCAAACTGATCAATCAAAAGATAGGTTTAACTCTATGAGATGAATGCACACATCACAAAGCAGTTTCTCAAAAAGATTCTTTCTAGTTTTTATCTGAAGACATTTCCTTTTTCACCTCAGGTTTCAATGCACTCCAAAATATCCCTTCACAAATTATACAAAAACATTGTTTCCAAACTGATCAATTAAAGAAAGGTTTAATTCTGTGAGATGAATGCATACATCCAAAGCAGTTTCTCAGAGAACTTCTTTCTAGTTTTTATATGAAGATATTTCCTTTTTGACCATAAGGGTCAAAGGGCTCCCAAATATCCCTTTGCGGATTCTACAAAAACAGTCTTTCCAAAGTGCTCAATCAAAAGAAAGCTTTCACTCTGTGAGATGAATGCACACATCACAAATCAGTTTCTCAGAAAGATTTCCTGTAGTTTATATCTGAAGATATAACCTTTTTCACCAAAGGTCTCATTGGGCTCACAAATACCCATTTTCAGATACTACAAAAACAGCCTTTCCAAACTCCTCCATCAAAACAAAGGTTTAACTCTGTGAGATGAATGCACACATTCAAAAGCAGTTTCTCAGAAAACGTCTTTCCAGTTTGCATCTGCAGATATTTCCTTTTTCTCCATAGGCCTCAATGCACTCCCTAATATCACTTTGCAGATTCAACAAAAACAGAGTTTCCAAACTGCTCAATCCAAAGAAAGGTTTATCTCTGTGAGTTGAATGCACGCATCTCAAAGCAGTGTCTCAGAATGTTTCTTTCTAGTTTTTATGTGAAGATATTTCATTTTTCACCCTAAGACTCAAAGGGCACCCAAATAAACCTTGGCAGATTCTACAAAAGGAATCTATCCAAACTGCTGAATCCAAAAGTAGGTTTAACTCTTTGAGATGAATGCACCCATCACAAAGCAGTTTCTCAGAAAGTTTCTTTCTAGTTTGTATCTGAAGGTGTTTCCTTTACTGCCATAGGCCTCAAGGCTTTTCCCAATATTCATTCACGGATTCTACAAAAGCAGTGTTTGCAAACTGCTCTATCAAAAGAAACGTTTAACTCTATGAGATGCATGTAAACATTACAAAGCAGTTTCTCAGAGAGTCCCGTTCTCGTTTGTATCTGAAGATATTTCCCTTTTCACCATAGGCCTCAATGGGCTCCTAAATATCACTTCATAGATTCTACAAAAAAAAGTGTTTCCAAATGGCTCAAAAAAAGAAAGGTTTAACTTTGTGAGATGAATGCACAATTCACAAAGCAGTTTCTGAGAAAGTTACTTTCTAGTTTTTATCTGAAAATATTTCCTGTTTCACCATTGGCCTCAATGACCTCTGAAATATCTCTTCAAAGATTGTACAAAACCAGTGGCTCCAAACTGCTCAATCAAAAGAAAGGTTTAACTCTGTGAGAAGAATGCACAATTCACAAAGCAGTTTCTGAGAAAGATACTTTCTAGTTTTTATCTGAAGTTTCTTCCTTTTTCATCATAGGCCTCAATATGCTCCCTAATATCCCTTCTCAGATTCTACAAAAACAGTGTTTCCAAACTGCTCAATCAAAAGTAAGGTTTAGATTAGAGCCAAGATATCTGAATGGGAACAGCTCCAGTCTACAGCTCCCAGCATGAGCGACGAAGAAGACGGGTGATATCTTCATTTCCAACTGAAGTTCCAGTTTCATCTCACTGGGGAGTGTCAGACAGTGGGTGCAGGACACGGGGTGCAGCTCAATGAGTGTGAGCCACAGCAGGGTGAGTCATCACTTTACACAGGAAGTGCAAAGGGTCAGGGTATTCCCCTACTGAGTCAAAGAAAGGGGTGACAGACAGCTCCTGGAAAATCAGGTCACTTCCACCCTAAGATTGCACTTTTCCAATGGTCTTAACAAATGGCATACCAGGAGATCATATCCCGTGCCTGGCTTAGTTGGTCCTATGCCCATGGAGCCTCACTCATTGCTAACACAGCAGTCTGAGATCAAATTGCAAGGTGGCAGTGAGGCTGGGAGAGGAGCGCCCACCATTGCTGAGGCTTCAGTAGGTAAACAAAGCAGCTGGGAAACTCAAACTTGGTGGAGTACACAGCAGGACAAGGAGGCCTGCCTGCCTCTGTAGACTCCACCTCTGGGGGCAGGGCATAGCCAAACGAACAGCAGCAGTAACTTCTGCAGCATTAAATGTCCCTGTCTGACAGCTTTGAAGAGAGTAGTGGTTCTTCCAGCACACAGCTTGAGAACTCAGAATGGACAGACTGCCTCCTCAAGTGGGGCCCTGACCCCTGAGTAGCCTAACTGGGAGGCACCTCCCGGTAGGTGCAGAGTGACACTTCACATGGCCAGGTGCTCCTCTGAGGAAAAACTTCCAGAGGAACAATCAGGCAGCAACATTTGCTTTTCACCAATATCCGCTGTTCTGTAGCCTCCACTGCTGATACCCAGACAAATAGGGTCTGGAGTGTATCTCCAGCAAACTCCAACAGACCTCCAGCTGAGGGTCTTGACTGTAAGAAGGAAAACTAATAAGCAGAAAGGATATCCACACCAAAACCCCATCTGTACATCACCATCATCAAAGACAAAAGGTAGATGAAACCACAAAGATGTGAAAAAAAACAGAGCAGAAAAACTGGAAACTCTAAAAATCAGAGCACCTCTCCTCCTCTAAAGAATGCAGCTCCTCACCAGCAATAGAACAAAGCTGGACAGAGAATGACTTTGACAAGTTGAGAGAAGAAGGCTTCAGATGATCAAACTACTCTGAGCTAAAGGATGAAGTTCAAACCCATGGCAAAGAAGTTAAAAACTGTGAAAAAAAATTAGACAAATGGTTAACTAGAATAACCAATGCAGAGAAGTTCTTACAGGACCTGATGGAGCTGAAAACCACAACATGAGAACTATGTGATGAATGCACAAGCCGCAGTAGCTGATTCGATCACTTGAAGAAAGGGTATCAGTGGTGGAAGATCAAATGAATGAAATGAAGGGAGAAGAGAAATTTAGGGAAAAAAGAATAAAAAGAAATGAACAAAGCCTCCAAGAAATATGGGACTAATGGAAAAGACCAAAAACACGTCTGATTGGTGTACCTGAAAGTGACGGGGGAATGGAACCAAGTTGGAAAACATTCTGCAGGTTATTATCCAGGAAAACTCCTCTAATCTGGAAAAGCAGGCCTACATTCAAATTCAGGAAATACAGCGAATGCCACAAAGATACTCCTCGAGAAGAGCAACTCCAAGACACATAATTGTCAGATTCACCAAAGTTGAAATGAAGGAAAAAATGTTAAGGGCAGCCAGAGAGAAAGGTCGGGTTACCCACAAAGGGAAGCCCATCAGACTAACAGCAGATTTCTCGGCAGAAACTGCACAAGCCAGAAGAGAGTGGGGGCCAATATTCAACATTCTTAAAGAAAAGAATTTTCAACCCAGAATTTCATATCCAGCCAAACTAAGCTTCATAAGTGAAGGAGAAATAAAATACTTTACAGACAAGCAAATGCTGAGAGATTTTGTCACCACAAGGCCTCCACTAAAAGAGCTACTGAAGGAAGCACTAAACATGGAAAGGAACAACCAGTGCCAGCCACTGCAAAAGCATGCCAAGTTGTAAAGACCATCAAGGCTAGGAAGAAACTGGATCAACTAATGAGCAAAATATCCAGCTAACATCATAATAACAGGATCAAATTCACACAAACCAATATTAACCTTAAATGTAAATGGGCTAAATGCTCCAATTAAAAGACACAGACTGGCAAATTGGATCAAGAGTCAAGACCCATCAGTGTGTTGTATTCAGGAGACCCATCTCACATGCAGAGACACACATAGGCTCAAAATAAAAGGATGGAGGAAGATCTACCAAGCAAATGGAAAACAAAAAAGGCAGGGCTTGCAATCCTAGTCTCTCATAAAACAGACTTTAAACCAACAAAGATCAAAAGAGAAAAAGAAGGCCATTACATAATGGTAAAGGGATCAATTCAACAAGAAGAACTAACTATCCTAAATATATATGCACCCAATACAGGAGCACCCAGATTCATAAAGCAAGTCCTTAGAGAGCTACAAACAGACTTATACTCCCACACAATAATAATAGGAGACTTTAACACCCCACCATCAACATTATACAGATCAATGAGACAGAAAGTTAACAAGCATACCCAGGAATTGAACTCAGCTCTGCACCAAGTGGACCTAATAGACATCTACAGAACCCTCCACCCCAAATCAACAGAATGTACATTCTTCTCAGCACCACACCACACTTACTCCAAAACTGACCACAGAGTTGGAAGTAAAGCAATCCTCAGCAAATGTAAAAGAACAGAAATTATAACAAGATGTCTCTCAGACCACAGAACAATCAAACTAGAACTCAGGATTAAGAAACTCACTCAAAACCGCTCAACTACACGGAAACTGAACAACCTGCTCCTGAATGACTACTGGGTACATAATGAAAAGAAGGAAGAAATAAAGATATTCTTTGAAACCAATGAGAACAAAGACACAACATACCAGAATCTCTGGGACACATTCAAATCAGTGTGTAGAGGGAAATATATAGCACTGAATGCCCACAAAAGAAAGCAGGAAAGATCTAAAATTGACACCCTAACATCACAATTAAAAGAGCTAGGAAAGCAAGAGCAAACACAATCAAAAGCTAGCAGAAGGCAAGAAATAATTAAGATCAGAGCAGAACTGAAGGAAATAGAGACACAAAAAACCCTTCAAAAAATCAATGAATCCAGAGCTGTTTTTTTGAAAAAATCCACAAAATTGATAGACTGCTAGCAAGATTAATAAAGAAGAAAAGAGAGAAGAATCAAATAGAAGCTATAAAAAATGATAAAGGGGATATCACCACTGATCCCACAGAAATACAAACTACCATTAGAGAATACTATAAACACCTCTAAGCAAATAAACTAGAAAATCTAGAAGAAATGGATAAGTTCCTCGACACATACATCCTCCCAAGACTAAACCAGGAAGAAGTTGAATCTCTGAATAGACCAATAACAGGATCTGAAATTGTGGCAATAATCAATAGGTTAACAACCAAAAAAAGTCCAGGACCAGATGGAATCACAGCCGAATTCTAACAGATGTACAAGGAGGAGCTGGTACAATACCTTCTGAAAATATTCCAATGACTATAAAAAGAGGGAATCCTCCCTAACTCATTTTATGAGGCCAGCTTCATCCTGATTCCAAAGCCTGACAGAGACACAATAAAAGAGATTTTTTGACCAATATCCCTGATGAACATCGATGCAAAAATCCTCAATAAAACGCTGGCAAACCGAATCCAGCAGCACATCAAAAAGCTTATCCACCATGATCAAGTGGGCTTCATCCCTGGAATGCAAGGCTGGTTCAACATACACAAATCAGTAAATGTAATCCAGCATATAAGCAGAACCAATGACAAAAACCACATGACTATCTCAATAGATGCAGAAAAGGCCTTTGACAAAATTCAACAACACTTCATGCTAAAAACTCTCAAAAAATTACTTATTGATGGGACGTATCTCACAATAATAAGAGCTATCTATGACAAACACACAGCCAGTACCTTAATGAAAGGGCAAAAACTGGAAGCATTCCCTTTGAAAACAGGCACAAAACAGGGATGCCCTCTCTCACCACTCTTACTCAACATAGTGTTGGAAGTTCTGGCTGGGGCAATCAGGCAGGAGAAGGAAATAAAGGGTAATCAGTTAGGAAAAGAGGAAGTCAAATTGTCCCTGTTTGAAGATAGATGACATGATTGTATATCTAGAAAACCCCATCATCTCAGCTCAAAATCTCCTTAAGCTCATCGGCAACTTCAGCAAAGTCTCAGCATACAAAATCAATGTGCAAAAATCAAAGCATTCTTATATACCATTAACAGACAATCAGAAAGCCAAATAATGAGAGATCTCCCATTCATAATTGCTTCAAAGAGAATAAAATACCTACGAATCCAACTCACAAGGGATGTGAAGGACCTCTTCAAGGAGAACTACAAACCACTGCTCAATGAAATAAAGAGGACACAAACAAATGGAAGAACAGTCCATGCTCATGGGTAGGAAGAATCAATATCGTGAAAATGGCCATACTGCCCAAGGTAATTTATACATTCAATGCCATCCCCATCAAGATACCAATGACTTTCTTCACAGAATTGGAAAAAACTACTTTAAAGTTGATATGGAAGTAAAAAAGAGTCTGCATTGCCAAGTCAATCCTAAGCCAAAAGAGCAAAGCTGGAGGCAACACGCTACCTGACTTCAAACTATACGATAAGGCTGCAGTAACCAAACAGCATGGTACTGGTACCAAAACAGAGATAACGACCAGTGTAACAAAACAAAGCCCTCAGAAATAAACCCGCCTATCTACAATTATCTGATCTTTGACAAACCTGACAAAAACAAGAAATGGGGAAAGGATTCCCTATTTAATAAATGGTGCCGGGATAATTGGCTAGCCATATGTAGAAAGCAGAAACTGGATCCGTTCCTTACACCTTATACAAAAATTAATTCAAGATGGATTAAAGACTTAAACGTTAGACCAAAAACCATAAGAACCCTAGAAGAAAACCTAGGCAATACCATTCAGGACATAGGCATGGGCAAGAACATCATGTCTAAACACCAAAAGCAATGGCAACAAAAGCCGAAAATGACAAATGGGAAATAATTAAACTAAGGAGCTTCTGCACAGGAAAAGAAACTACCATCAGAGTGAACAGGCAACCTACAGAATGGGAGAAAGTTTTTGAAATCTACTCATCTGACAAAGGGCTCATATTCAGAATCCACAAAGAACTCAAACAAATTTACAAAAAAAAGCAAACAACCCTATCAACAAGTGGGCGAAGGATATGAACAGACACTTCTCAAAAGAAGACACTTATGCAGCCAAAAGACACATGAAAAAATGCTTATCATCACTGGCCATCGGAGAAATGCAAATCAAAACCACAATGATATACCATCTCACGCCAGTTAGAATGGTGATCATTAAAAAGTCAGGAAACAACAGGTGCTGGAGAGGATGTGGAGAAATAGGAACACTTTTACACTGTTGGTGGGACTGTAAACTAGTTCAAACAGTGTGGAAGTCTGTGTGGTGATTCCTCAGGGATCTAGAACTAGAAATACCATTTGACCTAGCCTTCCCATTACTGGATATATACCCAAAGGATTATAAATCAGGATGCTATAAAGACACATGAACACATAGGTTTATTGCGGCACTATTCACAATAGCAAAGACTTGGTGCCAACCCAAATGTCCAACAATGATAGACTGGATTAAGAAAATGTGACACATATACACCATGGACATGGAATACTATGCAGCCATAAAAATGATGAGTTCTTGGCCTTTGTAGGCACATGGAAGAAGCTGGAAACCATCATTCTCAACAAACTATCGCAAGGACAAAAAAGCAAACACTGCATGTTCTCCCTCACAGGTGGGAATTGAGCAGTGAGAACACATGGACACAGGAAGGGGAACATCACACACCAGGGCCTGTTGTGGGGTGGGTGGAGTGGGGAAGGATAGCATTAGGAGATATACCTAATGCTAAATGACGAGTTCATGGGTGCAGCACACCAACATGACACATTTATACATATGTGACAAACCTGCACATTGTGCACATGTACCCTAAAACTTAAGGATAATAAAAATAAATAAATAAATAAAAATCAATTTAAAAAAACTAGCAAGAAGCTTTCTGAGAAACTGCTTTCTGATATTTGCATTCATCTCACAGAGTTAAACCTCGCTTCTCATTCAGCAGTTTGGAAACACTGATTTCTTAGAATCTGCAGAGATATTTGGTAGCGCTTTGAGGCCCATGGTGAAAAAGGAAATATATTGAGATAAAAACTAGCAAGAAGCTTTCTGAGAAACTGTCTTGTGATGTGTTCATTCATCCCAAAGAGTTAAACTTTCCTTTGGATTCAGCAGCTTGGAAAAACTGTTTCTGTTGATTCTGTGAATGGACATTTGGGAGCTCATTGAGGCCAATGGCAAAAAAGCAAATATCCCGGGATAAAAACTAGAAAGAAGCCATCTGAGAAACCGCTTTGTGATGTGTGCATTCATCTAGCAGAGTTAAACCATTCTTTTCATATGGTAGTTTGGAAACTGTTTTCTTAGAAACTGCGCAGCTATATTTCCTAGCGCAGCACTGTGGCCCATGGTGAAAAAGGAAATGTCCTCAGATAAATACTAGCAAGAAGCTTTCTGAGAAACTGCTTTGTGATGTGTTCATTCATCTGACAGAGTTAAGTCTTTCTTTGGTTTCAGCAGTTTGGTAACACGGTTTTTGTCCATTCTGTGAGTGACTGTTTGGGAGCTCTTTGAAGCCAAAGCCAAAAAAGTGAATATCCCAGGATTAAAACTAGGAGGAAGCTATCTGAGAAACTGCTTTGTGATGTGGTGCATTCATTTAGAAGTGTTAAACCTTTGTTTTCATTCAGCAGTTGGAAACACTGTTTTGGTAGAAACTGCAAAAGGATATTTGGCAGCGCATTGAGGCCTATGGGGAAAACGGAAATATCTTCAGATGAAAACTAGAAAGAAACTTTCTGAGAAACTACTTGGTGATGTGTGCATTCATCTCGCAGAGTTAAACCTTTCTTTTCATTCAGCAGTTTGGAAACACTGTTTCTGTCGAGTCTGTGAATGGACTTTTGGGAGCTCATTGAGGCAATAGGGAAAGAGTGAATATCCCTGCATTAAAACTAGAAGAAATCTATCTGCAAAATTGCTTTGCGATTTGTGAATTCATCTCACAGGGTTAAACCTTTCTTTTCATTCAGCAGTTTGGAAACACGGATTTCTTAGAATCTGTGAAGAGATATATGGTAGCACTTTGAGGCCCATGGTGAAAAAGGAAATATCTTCAGATAAAAACTAGCAAGAATCTTTCTGAGAAACTACTTTGTGATGTGTGCATTCATCTCACAGAGTTAAACTTTTCTTTTTATTCAGCAGTTTGGAATATCTGATTTCTTTAAATCTGCAAAGAGACATTTGGTAGCACTTTGAGGCCCATGGTGAAAAAGGAAATATCTTCAGATAAAAACCAGCAAGAAGCTTTCTGAGAAACTCTCTTGTGATGTGTTCATTCATCCTACAGAGTTAAACTTTTCTTTGGATTCGGCAGTTTGGAAACACTATTTCTGTTGATTCTCCAAAAGGACATTTGGGAGCTCTTTGAGGCTAGTGGCAGAAAAAGGAATATCCCAGGATAAAAACCAGAAGGACATTATCTGAGAAACCGTTATTGGATGTGTGCACTCATCTAGCAGAGTTCAACCATTCTTTTCATTCAGCAATTTGGAAACAGTGTTTTCTTAGAATCTGTGCAGCTATATTTGCTAGCGCAGCATTGTGGCTCATGGTGAAAAGATATATCTTCAGATAATTACTAGCAAGAAGCTTTCTGAGAAACCGCTTTGTGATGTGTTCATTCTCCCAGCAGAGTTAAGCCTTTCTTTGGTTTCAGCAGTTTGGTAACACGCTTTTTGTCCATTCTGTGAGTGGACGTTTGGGAGCTCATTGAAGCCAAAGCAGAAAAAGTGAATATCCCAGGATTAAAACTAGAAGAAAGCTATCTGAGAAACTGCTTTGTGACGTGTGCACTCACCTAGTAGTGTTAAACCTTTCTTTTCATTCAGCAGTTTGGAAACACTGTTTTTGTAGAAACTGCAAAAGGATATTTGGCAGCACATTGAGACATATGGGGAAAAAGGAAATATCTTCACATGAAAACTAGAAAGAAACTTTCTAAGAAACTGCTTCATGATGTGCTCATTCATCTCACAGAGTTAAACCTTTCTTTGGATTCAACAGTTTGGAAATATTGTTTTTTTCCATTTTGAGAATGGACATTTTGGAGCTCATTGAGGCCAATGGCAAAAAAGCCAATATCCCAGGATACAAACTAGAAGGAAGTTATCTGAGTGACCGATTAGTGATGTGTGCATTCATCTCACAGACTTAAATCTTTCTTTTCATTCAGCAGTTCAGAAACACTGTTTTCTTAGAATCTGCCAAGAGATATTTTGAAGACTATGGAGGTCAACAGGGAAAAATGAAATATCTTCCGATAAAAACTAGAAAGAAGCTTAATGAGAAACTAGTTTTTGATGTGTGCATTCATCTCAGAGAGTTAAACGTGGCTTTGGATTCTGCTGTTTGGAAGCACAGTTTTTGTCCATTCTTGGAATGGACATTTGGGAACTCATTGAGGCCAATGGTGAAAAAGCAAATATCCCAGGATAACAACTAGAAGGAAGCTATCTGAGAAACTGCTTTCCAATGTGAGCATTCTTCTAGCAGAGTTAAACCATTCTTTTCATTCAGCCGTTTGGAAACAGTGTTTTCTTAGAATCTGCACAGCTATATTTGCTAGTGCAGCATTGTGACCCTTAGTGAAAAAGGAAATATCTTCAGATAAATACTAGCAAGAAGATTTCTGAGAAACTGCTTTGTGATGTGTTCATTCATCCAACAGAATTAAGCCATTCTTTGGTCTCAGCAGTTTGGTAACATGGTTTTTGTCCATTCTGTTAGTGGACGTTTGGGAGCTCATTGAAGCCAAAGCTGAAAAAGTGAATATCCCAGGATTAAAACTAGAAGGAAGCTATCTGAGAAATCACTTTGTGATGTGTGCACTCATGTAGCAGTGTTAAATTATTCTTTTCAGTCAGCAGTTAGGAAACACTGTTTTTGTAGAAACCGCGGATTGATATTTGGCAGTGCATTGAGGCCTATGGGGAAAAAGGAAATATCTTCAGATGAAAACTAGAAAGAAACTTTCTGAGAAACTGCTTCATGATGTGTTCATTCATCTCACAGAGTTAAACCTTTCTTTGGATTCAGCAGTTTGGAAATACTGTTTTTTTTTTTTTCCATTTTGCAAATGGACATTTTGGAGCTCATTGAGGCCAATGGTGAAAAAGCGAATATCCCTGGGTAAAAATCAGAAAGAAGTGATCTGAGTAATCAATTCATGATATGTGCATTCATCTCACAGAGTTAAACCTTTCTTTTCATTCAGCAATTTGGAAAAACTGATTTCTTAGAATCTGCAAAGAGATATTTCGAAGTACGTTGAGACCTATCATGAAAAAGGATATATCTTCAGATAAAAACTAGCAAGAAGCTTTCTGAGAAACTGCTTTATGATTTATTCATTCATCCCACAGAGTAAAACCTTTCTTTGGATTCAGCAGTTTAGAAACACTGTTTCTGTCAAGTGTGCGAATTGACATTTTGGAGCTCAGTGAGGCCAATGGGGAAAAAACAAATATCCCAGGATTAAAACCAGAAGAAAGCTATCTGAGAAACTGCTTTGTGATGTGTGCATTCATCTTACAGAGTTAAACCTTTCTTTTCATTTAGCAGTTTGGAAACACTGATTTCTAAGAATCTGCAAAGAGATATTTCACAACACTTTGAGGCCAATGGGGAAAAAGCAAATATCCCAGCATTAAAATTCACATGAGGCTTTCCGAGAAACTGTCTTGTGATGTGGTCATGCATCCCACAGAGTTTAACTTTCTTTGGATTCAGCAGTTTGGAATCACTGTTTCTGTCGATTCTCCAAATGGACCTTTGGGAGTCATTGAGGCCAGTGGCAAAAAAGCAAATATCCCAGGATGAAAACTAGAAGGAAGTTACCTGAGAAACCGTTATCTGATGTGTGCATTCATCTAGCAGAGTTTAACCATTCTTTTCATTCAGTAGTTTGGAAACAGTGTTTTCTTAGAATCTGCGCAGCTATGTTTCCTAGTGCAGCAATGTGGCCCATGGTGAAAAAGGAAATATCTTCAGATAAATACTAGCGAGAAGCTTTCCGAGAAACTGCTTTGTGATGTGTTCATTCATCCAATAGAGTTAAGCCTTTCTTTGGTTTCAGCAGTTTGATAATACGGTTTTTGTCCATTCTGTGAGTGGAAGTTTGGGAGCTCATTGAAGCCAAAGCAGAAAAAGTGAATATCCCAGGATTAAAACTAGAAGGAAGCTATCTGATAAACCATTTGGTGATGTGTGCACTCATCTAGAAGTGTTAAACCTTTCTTTTCATTCAGCAGTTTGGAGACACTGTTTTTGTAGAAACTGTGAAAGGATATTTGGCAGCACACTGATGCCCATGGGCAAAAAATAAATACCTTCAGTTGAAAACTAGAAAGAAACTTTCTGAGAAACTGCTTTGTGATGTGTTCATTCATCTCAGAGAGTTAAACCTTTCTTTGGATTCAGCTGTTTGGAAATACTTTTTTTTTCCATTTTGCAAATGGACATTTAGGAGTTCATTGAGGCCAATGGTGAAAAATCCAATTTCCTAGGATAAAAACTAGAAGGACGTTATCTGAGTAAACAATTCATGATGTGTGCATTCATCTCACAGAGGTAAATCTTTCTTTTCATTCAGCAGTTCAGAAACACTTTCTTAAGAATCTCCCAAGATATATTTGGAAGACTATGGAGGTCAACAGTGAAAAATGAAATATCTTTTGACAAAACCTAGAAAAAAGCTTAATGAGAAACTGGTTTGGGATGTGTGCATTGGTCTCCGAGAATTAAACCTGGCTTTGGATACAGCTGTTTGGAAGCACAGTTTTGTCCATGCTTGGAATGGACATTTGGGAAACTCATTGATGCCAATGGCAAAAAAGTGAATATCCCAGGATAAAAACTAGAAGGAAATTATATGAGAAACCGACTGGTGATGTGTACATTCATCTCAGAGACTTAAACCTTTCTTTGGATTCACTAGTTTGGAAACACTGTTTGTGTCCATCCTGTGAATGGACGTTTGTTAGCTCATTGAGGCCAATGGCAAAGAGTTGAATATCCCAGGATTAAAGCTAGAAGAAAGTGATCTGAGAAACTGCTTTGTGATGTGTGCATTCATCTCACAGAGTTAAACCTTTATTTTCATTCAGCAGTTTGGAAACACTGATTTCTTGGAATCTGCAAAGAGATATTTAGTAGTGTTCTGAAGCCCATGGTGAAAAAGGAAATATCTTTAGAAAACTACTAACAAGAAGCTTTCTGAGAAACTAGTTTATGATGTGTTCATTCACCCCACCAACTTCAACTTTTCTTTGGATTTAGCTGTTTGGAAACACTGTTTCTGTCGATTCTGCAGATGGACATTTGGGAGCTCATTGAGGCCAAAGCCAAAAAAGTGAATATCTCAGGATAAAAACTAGAAGGAAGTTATCTGAGAAACCGCTTTCTGATGTGTGCATTCATCTAGAAGAGTTAAACCATTCTTCTCATTCAGCATTTTGGAAACAGTGTTTTCTTACTAACAGCCCAGCTATATTTGCCAGCACAGCAGTGTAGCCCATGGTGAAAACGGAAATATCTTCAGATAAAAACTAGCAAGTAGCTTTCTGAGAAACTGCTTTGTGATGTGTGCACTCATCTAGCAGTGTTAAACCTTTCTTTTCATTCAGCAGTTAGGAAACACTGCTTTTGTAGAAACTGCAAAAGGATAACTGGCAGCGCATTGAGATATACGGGGAAAAATGAAATATCTTCAGATGAAAACTAGAAAGAATCTTTCTGAGAAACTGCTTTGTGATATGTTCATTCATCTCACAGAGTTAAACCTTCCTTTGGATTGAGCAGTCTGGAAATACTGTTTTTTTTCCATTTAGTGAATGGACATTTTGGTGCTCATTGAGGCCAATGGCAAAAAACCCAATATCCCAGGATAAAAACTAGAAGGAAGTTATCTGAGTAATCAATTCATGATGTGTGCATTCATCTCACAGAGTTAAATCTTTCTTTTCATTCAGCAGTTCAGAAACACTGTTTTCTTAGAATCTGCCAGGAGATATTTTGTAGACTATGGAGGTCAACAGTGAAAAATGAAATATCTTTGATAAAAATTAGAAAGAAGCTTAAAGAGAAACTGGCTTGGGACGTGTGCATTCATCTCAGAGAGTTAAACTTGGCTTTGGATTCTGCTGTTTGGAAGCACAGTTTTTGTCCATTCTTGGAATGGACATTTGGGAACTCATTGAAGCCAGTGCTGAAAAAGCAAATATCCCAGGATAAAAACCAGAAGGAAGTTATGTGAGAAACCAATTCGTGATATGTGGATTTATCTCACACAGTTAAACCTTCCTTTTCAGTCAGCAGTTTGGAAACACTGATTTCTAAGAATCTGCAAAGAGATATTTGGAAGGGCGTTGAGGCCTATGGTGAAAAAGGATATATCTTCGGATAAAACTAGCAAGAAGATTTCTGAGAATCTGTTTTGTGTTGTGTTCATTCATCCCACAGAGTTAAACCTTTCTTTGGATTCAGCAGCTTGGAAACACTGTTTCTGTCGAGTTTGTGAATGGACATTTGGGAGCTCATTGAGGCCAAAGGGGAAAAAGCGAATATCCCAGGATAAAAACTAGAAGGATGTTACACGAGAAACCGATTCATGATGTGTGCATTCATCTCAGATCGCTAAACTTTTCTTTGGATTCAGTAATTTGGAAACACTATTTGTGTCCATTCCATGAATGGACGTTTGGGAGCTCACTGGAGCCAAAGCCAAAAAAGCAAATATGCCAGGATTAAAACTAGAATGAAGCTATCTGAGAAACTGCTTTGTGATGTGTGCATTCATCCAACAGAGTTAAACCTTTCTTTTCATTTGGAAATTTTGGAAACACTGATTTCTTAGAAGCTGCAAAGAGATATTTGGTAGCACTTTCAGGACCATGGTGAAAAAGAAAATATCTTCAGATAAAAACTAGCAAGAATCTTTCTGAGAAACTACTTTGTGATGTGTTCATTCATCCCATCAAGTTCAACTTTTGTTTGGATTCAGCAGTTTGGAAACACTGTTTCTGTCGATTCTGAGAATGGACATTTGGGAGCTCATTGAAACCAATGACAAAAAAGTGAATATCCCAGGATAAAAAACTAAAAGGAAATTATCTCAGAAACCACTTTTTAAAGTGTGCATTCATCAAGCAAAATTAAACCATTCTTTTCATTCAGCAGTTTGGAAACAGTGTTTTCTTAGAATATGCACAGCTATAGTTGGCAGCACATTGTGGCCCATGGTGAAAAAGGAAATATCTGCAGAAAAAAACTAGCAAGAAGCTTTCTGAGAATATGCTTTGTGATGTGTTCATTCATCCAACGGAGTTAAGCCTTTCATTGGTTTCAGCAGTTTGGTAACACTGTTTTTGTCCATTCTGCGAATGGACATTTGGGAGCTCATTGAAGTCAAAGCCAAAAAAGTGAATATCCCAGGATTAAAACTAGAAGGAAGCTATCTGAGAAAAAGCTCTGTGATGTGTGCATTCATCTAGAAGTGTTAAACCTTTATTTTCATTCAGCAGTTTGGAAACACTGTTTTTGTAGAAACTGCAAAAGGATATTTGGCAGTGCATTGAGACATACGGGGAAAAAGGAAATACCTTCAGATGAAAACTAGAAAGAAACTTTCTGAGAAACTGCTTTGTGATGTGTTCATTCATCTCACAGAGTTAAACCTTTCTTTGCATTCAGCAGTTTGGAAATACTGGTTTTTTTCCATTTTGCAAATGGACATTTTGGAGCTCATTGAAGCCATTGTCAAAAAAGCAATTATCCCAGGATGAAAACTAGAAGGAAGTTATCTGGGAAACAGATTCATGATGTGTGCATTCATCTCACAGGGGTAAATCTTTCTTTTCATTCTGCAGTTTAGAAACACTGTTTTCTTAGAATCTGCCAAGAGATATTTGGAAGACTATGGAGGTCAGTGGTGAAAAATGAAATATCTTCTGATAAAAACTAGAAAGAAGCTTACTGAGAAACTGATTTGGTAAGTGTGCATTCATCTCAGAGAGGTAAGCCTGGTTTTGGATTCAGCAGTTTGGAAACACAGTTTTTGTCCATTCTTGGAATGGACATTTTGGAACTCGTTGAGGCCAATGGTGAAAAAGCGAATACCCCAGGATAAAAACTGGAAGGAAGTTAGCTGAGAAACAAATTCGTGATGTGTGCATTCATCTACCAGAGTTAAACTTTTCTTTCCGTTCATTAGTTTGGAAGCACTGATTTATTAGAATCTGTGAAGAGATATTTGGTAGCACATTGAGGCCTAAGGAGATAAAGGATATATCTTCAGATAAAAGCAAGCAAGAAGCTTTCTGAGAAACTGTTTTGTGATGTGTTCATTCATCCAACAGAGATAAACTTTTCTTTGGAGTCAGAAGTTTGGAAACACTGTTTCTGTTGATTCTGCAAACGGATATTTGGGAGCTCATTGAATCCAGTCCCAAAAAAGCAAATATCACAGGATTAAAACTAGATGGAAGCTATCTGAGAAACAGCTTTTTGATATGTGCATCCATCTCACAGAGTTAAACCTTTCTTTTCATTCAGCAGTTTGGAATCACTGATTTCTTACAATCTGCAAAGAGATATTTGGGAGCCCAAGTGAAGTCGATGGTGAAAAAGGAAACATCTTCAGATAAAAACTAGCAAGAAGCTTTCTGAGAAACTACTTTGTGATATGTTCATTCATCACACGGAGATAAACATTTCCTTGGATTCAGAAGTTTGAAAATACCGTTTTTCTCCATTCTGTGAATGAGCATTTGGGAGCTCATTGGGGTCAAAGGCGAAAAAGCAAATATCCCCTGATAAAATCTTGAAGGAAGTTGTCTGAGAAACGGATTCATGATTGGTGCCTTCATCTCACAGAGTTAAATCTTTCTTTTCATTCAGCCGTTTAGAAGCACTGTTTTCTCAGAATCTGCAAAGAGATATTTGGAAGAGTATGGAGGCCAATGGTGAAAAAGGAAATATCTTCAGATAAAAACTAGAAAGAAGCTTAATAAGAAAATGGTTTGGGATGTGCACATTAATCTGAGAGAGTTAAATCTGTTTTTGTATACAGCAGTTTGGAAACACAGTTTTTGTCTGCTCTTGGAATGGACTTTTGGGAACTCATTGAGGCCAGTGGTGAAAAAGCCAGTATCCCAGGATAAAAACGAGAAGGAAGTTATCTGAGAAACCAATTCATGATGTGTGCATTCATCTCATGGATTTAAAACTTTCTTTGCATTCAGCAGTTAGGAAAAACTGTTTATGTCTATTCTGCAAATTTACATTTGGGGGCTCTTTGAAGCCAATGGCAAAAAAGGGAATATGCCAGGACAAAAACTAGAAGGAAGTTATCTGAAAACTGCTTTGTTGTGTGTGCATTCATCTAGCAGAATTAAACCTTTCTTTTCATTCAGCAGTTTGGAAACAGTGTGTTCTTAGAATCTGAGAAGAGATATTTGGTAGCACATTCTGGTGGAAAAGGAAATATCTTCAAATAACAACTAGCAGGTAGCTTTCTGAGAAACTGCTTTGCCATGTGTTCACTCATCCAACAGACTTAAGCCTCTCTTTGGATTCAGCAGTTTGGTAAAACTTGTTTTGTCCATTCGGCCAATGGACGTTTGGGTGCTCATTGAAGCCAATGGCAAAAAAGTGAATATCCCAGGATTAAAACTAGAAGGAAGCTATCAGAGAAACTGCTTTGTGATGTGTGCATTCATCTAGCAGAGTTAAACCTTTCTTTTCATTCAGCAGTTTGGAAACACTGTTTTTATAGAAACTGCCAAGGATATCTGGGAGCGCATTGAGGCCTACGGCAAAAAAGGAAATATCTTCAGATAAAAACTAGAAAGAAACTTTCTGAGAAACTGCTTTGTGATGCGTTCATTCCTCTAACAGAGTTAAACCATTCTTTGGATTCAGCAGTTTGGAAATACTGATTTTGTCCATTTTGCTAATGAACATTATGGAGCTCCTTGAGGCTGATGGTGAAAAAGGGAATATCCCAGGATAAAAACTAGAAGGAAGTTATCTGAGAAACCTATTCCTGATGTGTACATTCACCTCACAGAGTTAAGTCTTTCTTTTCATTCAGCAGTTTAGAAACACTGTTTTCTTAGAATCTGCCAACAGACATTTGGAAGACTATAGAGGTCAATGGTGAAAAAGGAAATACTTTCAGATAAAAACTGGAAAGAAGCTCTATGAGAAACTGGTCTGGGATGTGTGCATTCACTTCAGAGAGTTAAATCTGTCTTTGGATTCAGCAGTTTGGAAACACAGTTTTCGTCCATTCATGGAATGCACTTGTGAGAACTTATTGAGGCCAATGATGAAAAAGTGAATATCCCAGGATTAAAACTAGAAGAAAGTTATCTGAGAAACTGCTTTGTGAAGTGTGAATTCATCTCACAGAGTTAAACCTGTCTTTTCATTCAGCAGTTTGGAAACACTGATTTCATAGCATCTCCCTAGAGATATTTGGTAATGTATTGAGGCCCATGGTGAAAAACGAATTATCTTCAGATAAAAACTAGCAAGAAGTTTTCTGAGAAACTACTTTGTGATGTGTTCACTCATTTCACACAGTTAAACTTTTATTTGGATTCAGCAGTTTGGAAATGCTGTTTTTGTCCATTCTTCAAATGGACATTTGGGAGCTCATTGAGGCCAATGGCAAAAAAGGAAATATCCCCAGATGAAAACTTGAAGGAAGTTATCTGAGAAACCAATTCTTGATGTGTGCATTCATCTCAAAGAGTTAAATCTTCATTTTCGTTCAGCAGTTTAGAAACATTGTTTTCTTAGAATCTGCCAAGAGATATTTGGAAGAGTGTGGAGGCCAATGGTGAAAAAGTTAATATCTTCAGATACAATGTAGAAAGAAGCTTAATGAGAAACTGCTTTAGGATGTGTGCATTCACCTAAGAGAGTTAAATCTGTATTTGGATTCAGCAGTTTGGAAACACAGTTTTTGTCCATTTTTGGGATGGACATTTGGGAACTCCTTGAGGCCACTGGTGAAAAAGAGAATATCCCAGGATAAAAACTAGAAGGAAGTTATCTGGGAAACCAACTCATGTTGAGTCCATTCATCTCACAGAGGTAAATCTTTCTTTTCATTCAGCAGTTCAGAAACACTGTTTTCTTAGAATCTGCCAAGAGATATTTGGAGGCTATGGAGGTCAATGTTGAAAAATGAAATACTTTCTGATAAAAACTAGAAAGAAGCTTAATGAGAAACTGGTTTGTGATGAGTGCATTCATCTCAGAGATTCAAACCTGGCTTTGGATTCAGCAGTTTTGACACACAGTTTTTGTCCATTCTTGGAATGGACGTTTGGGAACTCATTGAGGCCAATGGTGAAAAATAAAATATCCCAGGATAAAAACTAGAAGGAAGTTATATGAGAAACAAATTCATGATGTCTGTATTCATCTCACAGAGTTAACCTTTCTTTGCATTCAGCAGTTTGGAAACTCTGATTTCCTAGAATTTGTGAAGAGATATTTTGTAGCACATTGAGGCCTATTTTGAAAAAGGATATATCTTCAGATAAAAACTAGTAAGAAGCTTTCTGAGAAACTGACTTGTGATGTGTGCATTCATCTCAGAGAGTTAAACTTTTATTTGGATTCAGCAGTTTGGAAACACTGTGTCCTTTCTGCGAATGGACATTTGGGATCTCATTGAGGTCAATTGTGAAAAAGCAAATATCAGAGGATTGAAACCAGAAGGAAGCTATCTGAGAAACAGCTTTTTGATGTGTGCATTCATCTCAGTGTTAAACCTTCTTTTTCATTCAGCAGTTTGGAATTACTGATTTCTTAGTATCTGCAAAGAGATATTTGGGAGCCCAGTGAGGTCGATGGTGAAAAAGGAAATATCTTTGGATAAAAACTAGCAAGAAACTTTGTGAGAAACTTTGTGATGTGTCTATTCATCACACAGAGATAAACTTTTCCTTGGATTCAGAGTTTCAAAATACTGTTTTTGTCCATTCTGTGAATGAACATTTTGGAGCTCATTGAGGCCAATGGTGAAAAAGTGAATATCCCATGCTAAAATCTTGAAGGAAGTTGTCTGACAAACCAATTCATGATGTGTGCCTTAATCTCACATAGTTAAATCTTTCTTTTCATTCAGCCCTTTAGAAACACTGTTTTCTCAGAATCTGTGAAGTGATATTTGGAAGAGTATGGAGGCCAATGGTGAAAAAGGAAATATCTTCAGATAAAAACTAGAAAGAAGCTTAATGAGAAACTGGTTTGGGATATCTGCATTCATCTGAGAGAGTTAAATCTGTCTTTTTATATGGCAGTTTGAAAACAGTTTTTGTCCATTCTTGGAATGGACATTTGGGAACTCATTGAGGCCAGTGGTGAAAAAGCCAGTATCCCAGGATAAAAACTAGAAGGAAGTTATCTGAGAAACCAATTCATGGTATGCACATTCATCTCACTGAGTTAAACCTTTCTTTTCATTCAGCAGTTTGTAAACACTGATTTCTTAGAATCTGTGAAGAGACATTTTGTAGTGCACTGAGGCCTATGGTGGAAACGTATATATCTTCAGATAAAAAATAGAAAGAAGGTTTCTGAGAAACTGCTTTGTGTGGAGTTCATTCATCCCATAGAGTGAAACATTTCTTTGGACTCAGCAGTTTGGAAACACTGTTTCTGTCAATTCTGTGAGTGGATATTTGGGAACTCATTGAGGCCAATCAGGAAAAAGTGAATATCCCAGGATAAAAACTAGAAGGAATATATATGAGAAACGGATTTATGATGTGTGCATTCATCTCAGAGAGTTAAACTTATGTTTGGATTCAGCAGTTTGGAAACACTGTTTGTGTCCATTCTGTGAATGGACGTTTCAGGGGTCATGGAGGCCAATGGTGAAAAAGTGAATATCTGGGGACTAAAACTAGAATGAAGCTATCTGAGAAACTGCTTTGTGATGTGTGCATTCATCTCACAGAGTTAAAACTTTCTTTTCTTTCAGCAGTATCTAATCACTGATTTCTTAGAATCTGCAAAGAGATATTTGGTAGTGCCTTGAGGCCCTTGGTGAAAAAGCAAATACCTTCTGATAAAAACTTGGAAGAAGCTTTCTGAGAAACTACTTTGTGATGTGTTCATTCATCTCACAGAGCTGAACTTTTCCTTGGATTCAGCACTTTCAACATATTGTTTTTGTCCGTTCTGTGAATGGACATTTGGGAGCCCATTGAGGCCAAAGGAGAAAAAGTGTATATTCCAGGATAAAAACTTGAAGGAAGTTGTCTGAGAAACCGATTCATGATGTGTGCATTCATCTCACAAAGTTAAATCTTTCGTTTCATTCATCCCTTTAGAGACACTGTTTTCTTAGAATCTGAGAAGAGATATTTTGAAAACTATGGAGGCCAAGGGTTAAAAAGGAAATACCTTCAGATAAAAACTAGCAAGAAGATTTCTGGGAAACTACTTTGTGATGTGTTCATTCATCTCACAGAGTTAAACATTTTCTTGGATTCAGCAGTTTGGAAATACTGTTTTTGTCCAATCTGCAAATGGACATTTGGGAACTCATTGAGGCCAATGGCAAAAAAGTGAATATCACAAGATAAAAAGTACAAGGAAGTTATAAGAGAAACCAATTCGTGATGTGTGTATTCATGTCACTGAGTTAAACCATTCTTTGCATTCAGCAGTTTGGAAACAATGTTTCTGTTGATTCTGTGAATGGATATTTTTAGTTCATTGTAGCCAATGTCAACTAAGTGAATATCCCAGGGTTACAACTAGAAGAAAATTATCTGAGAAACTGCTCTGTGACGTGTGTTTTCATCTAGCAGAGTTAAACCTTTCTTTTCATTCAGCAGTTTTGAAATAGTGTTATCTTGGAATCTGCAAAGGGATATTTGGTAGTGCATTGCAGCCCATGGTGCAAAAGGAAATATCTTCAGATAAAAATTAACAAGAAGCTTTCTGAGAAACTGCTTTGTGATGTGTTCATCCATCCAACAGAGTTAAACCTTTCTTTGTATTCAGCAGTTTGGTAACACTGCTGTTGTCCATTCTCGGAATGGACGTTTGGGAGCTCATTGAAGCCAATGGCAAAAAAGTGAATATCCCAGGATTAAAACTAGAAGGAAGCCCTCTGAGAAAGAGATTCATGATGTGTACATTCGTGACACAGAGCTAAAACTTTCATTTCATTCAGGAGTTTAAAACAATGTTTTTTTAGAATCTGCCAAGAGATATTTGGAAGTCTATGGAGGTCAATGGTGAAAAAGGAAATATATTCATATGAAAACTAGGAAAAAGCTTAATGAGAAACTGGTTTGGGATGTGTGCATTCATCTCAGAGAGTTAAACCAGTTTTTGGATTCAGCAGTTTGGAAACACAGTTTTTGTCCATTCTTGGAATGGACATTTGGGAACTCATTGAGGTGAAAGGCAATAAAGCAAATATGACAGGAAAAAAACTAGAAGGAAGTTATCTGAGAAACCAATTCATGATGTGTGCACTCATCTAACAGAGTTAAACCTTTCTTTTCATTCAGCAGTTTGGAAACACTGATTTCTTAGAATCTGCCAAGAGATATTTGATAGCGCATTGAGGCATATTTTCAAAAAGGATATATCTTCAGATAAAAACTAGAAAGAAGGTTTCTGAGAAACTGCTTTGTGATGTGTTCATTCATCCCACTGAATTAAACCTTACCCTGTATTCAGCAGTTTGGAAACACTGTTTCTGTTGATTCAGTGAATGGACATTTGGGAGCTCATTGAAGCCAATGGGGAATAAGCAAATATCCCAGGGTAAAACTACAAGGAATTTATATGAGAAACCAATTCGTGCATTTGTCTCAGAGAGTTAAAACTTTCTTTGGATTCAGTAGTTTGGAAACACTGTTTGTGTGCATTTTGTTATTGGACGTTTGGGAGCTCACTGAGGCCAATGGCAAAAAAGTGAATATCCCAGGATTAAAACTAGAAGCAAGCTATCTGAGAAACCACCTTGTGATGTCTGCATTCATCTCCCAGAGTTAAACCTTTCTGCTCATTCAGCAGTTGGGAAACACTGATTTCTTAGAATCTGCAAAGAGACATTTGTAGCTCATTGAGGTCCATGTTGAAGAAAGAAGTATCTTCTGATAAAAACTAGCAGAAAGCTTTCCGAGAAACTACTTTGTGATGTGTTCATTCATCTTACGGAGTTAAACTTTTCCTTTGATTCAGCTGTTTGGAAATACTGTTTTTGTCCATTTTGTGAATGGTCATTTGGGAGCTTCTTGAGGCCAATGGCGAAAAAGCAAATATCCCAGGATAACAAATTGAAGGAAGTTATCTGAGAAATTGATTCATGATGTCTGCTTTTGTCTCACAGGGTTCAATCTTTCTTTTCATTCAGCAGTGTAAAAACACTGTTTTCTTGGAATCCACCAAGAGATATTTAGATATTTGGAAGAGTATGAGGCCAATGGTGAAAAAGGAAATATCTTCAGATAAAAACTATAAAGAAGCTTAATGAGAAACTGGTTTTTAATGTGCACATTTGCCTCAGAGAGTTAAACCTGGCTTTGGATTCAGCAGTTTGGAAATAGAGTTTTTATCCAATCTCGGAATGAACATTTGTGAACTCATTGAGGCCAATGGCAAAAAAGTGAATATCCCAGGATAAAAACAAGAAGGAAGTTATCTGAGAAACCAATTCATGATATTTGGGAGCTCATTGAAGCCAATGGCAAAAAAGCGCAAATATCCCAGGATAAAAAGTAGAAGGAAGTTATTTAAGAAATGGCTTTGTGATGTGTGCATTCATCTACCAGAGTTAAACCTTTTTTTTTCATTCAGCAGTTGGGAAACAGTGTTTTCTTAGAATCTGCAAAGAGATATTTTTAGCACATGCTGGCCCATGGTGAAAAAGGAATATCTTCAGAAAAAAACTAGCAAGAAGCTTTCTGAGAAACTGCTTTGTGATGTGTTCATTCATCCAATGGGGTTAAGCATTTCTTTGGATTCAGCAGTTTGGTAACACTGTTTTTGTCCATTCTGTGAATGGAAGTTTTGGATCTTTCTGAAGCCAATGGAGAAAGAGTGAATATCCCAGGATTAAAACTAGAGGGAAGCTATCTGAGAAATCACTTTGTGATGTGTGCATTAATCTAGCAGAGTTAAACCTTCCTTTTCATTCAGCAGTTGGAAACCAGTTTTTGTAGAAACTGTGAAAGGACATTTGGCAGCACATTGAGGGCCATGGTGAAAAAGGAAATATCTTCAGATAAAAATTAGAAAGAAAGTTTCTGAGAAACTGCCTTGTGATGAGTTCATTCATGTCAGAGAGATAAATCTGTCTTTGGATTCAGCAGTTTGGAAACATAGTTTTTGTCCATTCTTGGAATAGAAATTTGAGAACTCATTGTCAATGGTGAAAAAGTAAATATCCCAGGATAGAAGGAAGTTATCTGAGAAACCAATTCGTGTTGTTTGCATTCACTATGCAGAGTTAGACCTTTCTTTGCATTCAGCAGTATGGAAACACTGTTTCTGTCTATTCTGCAAATGGACTTTTGGGAGCTCATTGAAGCCAACATAAAAAAAGTGAATATCCCAGGCTAAAAACTGGAATTGAAGTTATCTCAGAAACTGCTTTGTGATGTGTGCATTCATCTCACAGAGTTAAACCTTTCTTTGGATTCAGCAGTTTGGAAATATTGTTTTTGTCTATTTTGTGAATGGACATTTTGGAGCTGTTTGAGGCCAATGGTGAAAAAGTGAATATCTCAAGATAAAAACTAGAAGAATGCTATCTGAGAAACTGATTTGAGATCTCACAGAGTTAAATCTTTCTTTACATTCAGCAGTTCAGAAACACGTTTTCTTAGAATCTGCCAAGAGATATTTGGAAGAAAATGGAAGTCAATGGTGAAAAAGGAAATATCTTCTGATAAAAACTAGAAAGAAGCTTAATGATAAACTGGTTTGGGATGTGTGCATTCATCTCCAAGAGTTAAACCTGTCTTTGAATTCAGTGGTGTGGAACCACAGGGTTTGTCCATTCTTGGAATGGACATTTTGGAGCTCATTGAGGCCAATGGCAAAAAAGGAAATATCCCAGGATAAAAACTAGAAGGTAGTTATCTGAGAAACCAGTTCTTGATATGTGAATTCATCTCACAGAGATAAACCTTACTTTTCATTCAGCAGTTTAGAAACACTGATTTCTTAATGTCTGCAAAGAGACATTTTGTAGCGCATTGAGGCCTATGGTGAAAAAGGACATATCTTCAGATAAGAACTAGAAATAAGCTTTCTGATAAACTGCTTTGTGATATGTTCATTTACCCCACCGACTTAAAACTTTCTTTGGATTCAAAAGTTTGGAAACACTGTTTCTGCTGATTCTGTGAATGGACTTTTTTGAGCTCACTGAAGCCAATGGGGAAAGAGTGACTATTACAGGATAAAAACTAGAAGGAAGTTATGTGAGAAACAGATTTGTGATGTGTGCATTCATCTCAGAGGGTTAAAACTTTCTTTGGATTCAGCAGTTTTGAAACACTGTTTGTGTCCATTCTGTGAATGGACATTTGAAGCCAATATCAAAAAAGTGAATGTCCCCATATTAAAACTAGAAAGAAGTTATCTGAGAAACCACTTTGTGATGTGTGCATTCATCTAGCAGAGTTAAACCTTTCTTTTCATTCAACAGTTTGGAAACACTGATTTCTTAGAATCTGCAAAGGGATATTTGGTAGCGCCTTGAGTACCATAGTGAGAAAGGAAATATCTTCAGATAAAATCTAGCAAGAAGATATCTGAGAAACTGTTTTGTGATATGTTCATTCATCCACCAGAGTTAAGCCTTACTTTGGATTCAGCAGTTTGGTAACGCTGTTTTTGTCCATTCTGCAAATGGAAGTTTTGGAACTCATTGAAGACAATGGTGAAAAACCAAACATCCCAGGATTAAAACTAGAAGAAAGCTATCTGAGAAACTGCTTTGTGATATTTGCATTCATCTCATAGAGTTAAACCTTTCTTTTCATTCAGCAGTTTGGAAACACTGTTTTCTTAGAATCTGCAAAAGGATATTTGGCAGTTCATTGTGGTCTATGGTGAAAAAGGAAATATCTTCAGGTAAAAACTAGAAAGAAGATTTCTGAGAAACTGCTCTGTGATGTGTGCTTTGAGGTCACAGGGTTAAACCTTTATTTGAATTCAGCATTTTAGAAACACTGTTTTTGTGCATTCTACAAATGGACATTTGACAGCTCATTGATGACAATGGGGAAAAAGTGAATATCCCAGGGTAAAAACCCAAAGGAAGCTATCTCAGAAACCGCTCTGTGATGTGTGCATTCATCTCACAGAGTTAAACCTTCTTGTCATTCAGCAGTTTGAAAACACTGTTTTCATAGAATCTGCGAAGGGATATTGTGGGACATATCAATGCCTATGGTGAAAAAGAAAATATGTTCAAAGAAAAAGTAGAAAGTAGTATTCTGAGAAACTGCTTTGAGATGTGTGTATTCATCTCACAGTCATAAATGTTTCTTTGGATTTAGTGATTTGGAAATACTGTTTTTGTCGAATCTGCAAAGAGGTAGTTGGGAACTCATTGAGGCCAAAGGTGAAAAAGCAAATATCCTGTGATAAAAACTAGAAGGAAGCTATATGAAAAACATCTTGGTTATGTGTGAGTTCATCTTGCAGAGTTAAACCTTTCTTTTTATTCAGCAATTTGGAAACACTGTATTTGTAGAGTCTGCAAAGGGACATTTGGGAGCTCATTGAGGCCAAAGGCAAAAAATCGAATGCCCAGGATAAATACTAGAAGGAAACTATATGTGAAACTGCTTAGTTATGTGTGCATTCATCTCGCAGAGTTAAACCTTTCTTTTCCTTCAGCAGTTTAGAAACCCTGTTTTGGTGGAATCTGCAATGGGAAATTTCGGGGCACATTGAGGCCTATGGTGAAAAAGGAAATATCTTTAGATGAAAACTGGAAAAATTCTTTCAGAGAAACTGTTTTGTGATGTGTGCATTCATCTCACACAGAAACCTTTCCTTTGATTTATCAGTTTAGAGGCACTCTTTTTGTCCATTTGCAGAATGGACAATTGGGTGCTCATTGAAACCAATGGCAAAAAACTGAACATCACAGGATAAAATGTGGAATAAAGATATCTGACAAACTGCTTTGCTATATGTGCATTCATCTCACAGAGTTAAATTGTTTTTTATTCAGCAGGTTAGAAACACTGTTTTTGTACAACCTGTGAAGGGATATTTGGTAGCTCATTGGGGGCAAAGGCGATAAAGCCAATATCCCAGGATAAAAACTAGAATAAGCTAGCTAAGAATCCGCTTTGTGATGTGTGTATTCATGTCAGAGAGTTAAAGGTTTCTTTTCATTCAGGCGTTTGGAAACACATTTTGGTAGAATCTGCAAAGGGATATATGGAGGCACATTGAAGCCTATGGTGAAAAAGGAAATATCTTCATATAAATACTAGAAAGAAGCCTTCTGAGAAATTGCTTTGTGATGTGTGCCTTCATGTCACAGAGATAAACATTTCTTTGGATACAGCACTTGGGAAACACTGTTTTTGTCCATTCTGTGAATGGATATTTGGCAGCTCATTGAGGCCAATGGTGAAAAAGTGAATATCCGGGATAAAAACTGGAAGGAACCTCTCTGAGAAACCGCACTGCGATGTGTACATCCATCTCACAGAGTTAAACCTTCGTTTTCATTCAGCAGTTCTGAAACACTGTTTTTGTAGAATCTGTGAAGAGATACTGGGGGCACATTGAGGCCTATGGTGAAAAAGAAAGTATTTTCAGCAAAAAATTAGGAAGAATCTTTCTCAGAAACTGCTTTGTGATGTTTACATTCATCTCACAGAGTTAAACATTTCTTTGGATTCAGCAGTATAGAAACACTGTTTTTGTAGAATCTGTGAAGGTGTATTTTCGAGCTCATTGAGGACAAAGGCAAAAATCTAATATTCCAGGATAAAAACTAGAATGAAACTATCTGAGAAACCATTTGATTATCTGTGCATTCATCTTGCAGAGTTAAAATTTCCTTTAAATCAGCAGTTTGGAAACACTGTTTTGTAAAATCTGCGAAGGGGTATTTGTGAGACCATTGAGGCCTGTTGTGAAAAATGAAATATGTCCAGATAAAAACTAGAAAGAAGCTTTATGAGAAACTGCTTTGAGATGTGTGCATTTTTCACACAGAGTTAAACCTTTCTTTTGATTCGACAGTTTAGAAACAATGTTTTTGTCCATTCTGTGAGTGGACATTTGGGAACTCATTGAGGCCAATGGCGAAAAAGTGAATATCCCTGGATAAAAACTAGAAGGAAGCTATATGAGACTGCTTTGTTATGTGTGCATTCATCTCACAGAGTTAAACCTTTTTTTTCATTTGGCAGGTTGGAAACACTGTATTTTAAAATCTGCAAATAGATATATGGGGACACTTTGAGCCCTATAGTGAGAAAGGAAATATCTTCAGATGAAAACTAGAAGGAAGATTTCTGAAAAACAGCTTTGAGATGTGTGCATTCCTCTCACAGAGTTAAACCTTTCCTTGTATTCCCCAGTTTGGAAACACTGTTTTTGTAGAACCTGTGAAGGGATATTTGGGAGGTCATTGAGGCCAAAGGTGAAAAAACAAATATTCTAGGATAAAAACAAGAAGGACACTATCTGAGAAAACTCTGTGTGATGTGTGCCTTGATCTTCCAAAGTTAAAATTTTCTTAACATTCTGCAGTTTGGAAACACTGTTTTGTTTTTGTAGGATCTGCAAAGGTATATTAGGTTTCTTATTGTGGCCCATGGTGAAAAAGAAATATCTTCAGATAAAAACTGCACAGAAGCTTTCTGAGAAACTGCTTTGTGAAAGGTACACTCATTTCACAGAGATATATGTTTCTTTGGATTCAGCAGTTTGGAAACACTGTTTCTGTCCATTCTGCAAATGGACATTTGGGAGTTCATTGAGGACAATGGCAAAAAAGTGAATATCCCAAGAAAAAACCTAGAAGGAAGTTATCTGAAACACTCGCTTTTTTACCTTTGGCCTGAATGAGTTTCCAAATGTCCATTCACAGAATGGACAAAAACAGTGTTTCCCAACTGATGAATCCAAAGCAGTGTTTATCTCTATGAGATGTATTCACACATCACAAAGAAGTTTCTCAGAGAGATTTTTTCTAGTTTTTATCTGACAATATTTCCTTTTACCATAGCCCTAAAAGAGCTTTGAAATTTGTCTCCGCATATTCTAAGAAAACAATGTTTCCACAATGCTGAACGAAAAGAAAGGTTTAACTCTGCTAGATGAATTGATACGTCACAAAGCAGTTTCTCAGATAGCTTCCTTCTAGTTTTTATCCTGGGATATTCACTTTTTCGTCTATGGCCTCAATGAGCTATCAAATATCCCTTCGCAGATTCCAACAAAACAGTGTTTACAAACTCCTCAATCTAAAGAAATGTTGAAATCTGTGAGATGAATGCACACATCATAAACCAATTTCTCAGAAAGCTTCCTTCTAGTTTTCATCTGAAGTTATTTCCTTTTTCACCATAGGCCTCGAAGTGCTCCTTTATATACCTTCACAGACTCTACCAAAACAGTGTTTCCAAACTGCTGCATGAAAAGAAAGTTTTAATTCTGCGAGGTGAATGCACACATGACATAGTGGTTTCTCAGATTGTTTCCTTTTAGTTTTTATCCTGGGATATTCACTTTTTACCGGATGGCCTCAATGAGCTCCCAAGTATCCCTTCACACATTCTACAACAACAGGGCTTCCAAACTACTGAATCCAAAGTAAAGGTTTTACTCTGTGATATGAATGTGCACATCACAAAGAAGTTTCTCAGAAAGCTTGTTTCTAGTTTTCAACTTAAGATATTTCCTTTTTACCATAAGCCTAAATGCGCTCCCAAATATCCCTTTGCAGTTTCTACAAAAAGAGTGTTTACAACCTGCTCCATGAAAATAAAAGTTTAACTCTGCGAGGTGAATGCACACATCAAAAAGTGGTTTCTCAGATAGATTCCTTCTAGTTTTTCTCCAGTGATATTTGCTTTTTTGCCATTGGTGTTAATGAACTAGCAAATGTCCTTTTACAGAATGGATGAAATCAGTGTTTGCAAACTGCTGATTTCACTGAAAGGATTAACTCTGTTAGGTGAATGCACACATCACAAAGCAGTTTCTCAGAAAGCTTCTTTCTAGATTTTTCCTGAATATTTTTCCTCTTTCACCATAGGCCTCAATGCAATAGATTTCTTCTACTTTTTATTATGGGATATTCACTTTTTCACCTTTGAGCTCAATGACCTCCCAAATGTCGACTTGCAGAATTGACAAAAAGAGTGTTTCCAAACTGCTGAATTCACAGAAAAGTTTAACTCAGTGAGATGAAGGCACATGTCACAAAGCAGTTTCTCAGAAAACTTCTTTCTAGTTTTTATTTTTTTTTTTTTATTTTTATTTTTATTTATTATTATTATACTTTAAATTTTAGGGTACTTGTGCACAACATGCAGGTTTGTTACATATGGATACATGAGCCATGTTGGTGTGTTGCACCCACTAACTCATCATTTAACATTAGGTATATATCCTAACGCTATCCCTCTCCCCTCCCCCCACCCCACAACAGGCCCTGGTGTGTGATGTTCCCCTTCCTGTATCCATGTGTTCTCATTTTTCAATTCCCTCCTATGAGTGAGAATATGTGGTGTTTGGTTTTTTTGTCCATGCAGTAGTTTGCTGAGAATGATGGTTTCCAGCTTCATCCATGTCCCTACAAAGCACATTAACTCATCATTTTTTATGTCTGCATAGTATTCCAAGGGGTATATGTGCCACATTTTCTTAATCCATTATATCATTGTTGGACATTTGGCTTGGCTCCCAGTTTTTGCTATTGTGAATAGTGCCACAATAAACACATGTGTGCATGTGTCTTTATAGCAGCATGATTTATAATCCTTTGGGTATACACCCAGTAATGAGATGGCTGGGTCAAATGGTATTTCTGGTTCTAGGTCCCTGTGGAATTGCCACACTGTCTTCCACAATGGTTGAACTAGTTTACAGTCCCACCAACAGTGTGAAAGTGTTCCTATTTCTCCACATCCTCTCCAGAACCTGTTGTATCCTGACGTTTTAATGATCACCATTCTAACTGGTGTGAGATGGTGTCTCATTGTGATTTTGATTTGCATTTCTCTGATGGCCAGTGATGATGAGCATTTTTTCATGTGTCTGTTGGCTGCATAAATGTCTTCTTTTGAGACGTGTCTGTTCATATCCTTCACCCACATGTTGATGGGGTTGTTTGTGTTTTTCTTGTAAATTTGCTTGAGTTCAATGTAGATTCTGGATATTAGCCCTTTGTCAGATGAGTAGATTGCAAAAATTTTCTCCCATTCTGCAGGTTGCCTGTTCACTCTGATGGTATTTTTTTTTTTTTTTTTTTTTTGCTGTGCAGAAGCTCTTTAGTTTAATTAGATCCCATTTGTCAATTTTGGCTTTTGTTACCATTGCTTTTGGTGTTTTAGACATGAAGTCCTTGCCCATGCCTATGTCCTGAAAGGTATCAAACAAATGGAAGCAGATTCCATGCTCATGGATAGGAAAAATCAGTATCATGAAAATGGCCATAATGCCCAAGGTAATTTTAGATTCAATGCCATCCCCATCAAGCTACCAATGACTTTCTTCACAGAATTGAAAAAAACTACTTTAAAGTTCATATGGAACCTAAAAAGAGCCCACATTGCCAAGTCAATCCTAAGCCAATAGAACAAACCTGGAGGCATCACGCTACCTGACTTCAAACTACACTTCATGGCTACGGTAACCAAAACAGCATGGTACTGGTACCAAAACAGAGATATAGACCAATGGAACAGAACAGAGCCCTCAGAAATAATGCTGCATATCTACAACTATCTGATCTTTGACTTACCTGACAAAAACAAGAATTGGGGAAATGATTCCCTATTTAATAAATGGTGCTGGGAGAACTAGCTAGCCATATGTAGAAAGCTGAAACTGGTTCCCTTCCTTACACCTTATACAAAAATTAATTCAAGATGGATTAAAGACTTAAATGTTAGACCTAAAAGCATAAAAACTCTAGAAGAAAACCTAGGCAATGCCATCTAGTTTTTATGTGAATATGTTTCCTTTTTCACCATATGCCTCAATGTGCTCCCAAATATTCCTTCACAGATTTTACAAAAACAGTGTTTCTAAACTGCTGAATGAAAAGAAAGTTTGAACTCTGTGAGTTGAATGCACACATTCTGAAGTGGTTCCTCCGATAGTTTCCTTATAGTTTTTATTCTGGGGTATTCGCTATTTCACCATTGGCCACAATGAGTTCTCAAATGTCCATTCTCAGAATCAACAAAAATAGTGTTTCGAAACTGCAGAATCCAAAGAAATGTTTAACTGTGAGATGAGTGTGCACATCACAAAGCAATTTCTCAGAAAGCCTCCTTCTAGTTTTTATCTGAAGTTGTTTCCTTTTTCACCGTAGGACTTAATGTGCTCCCAAATACCCCTTAGCAGATTCTACAAAAACAGTTTTTCAAACTGTTGAATGAAAAGAAAGGTTTAACTCTGTGAAATGAATGCACCTATCACCAAGCGGTTTCTCAGATAGTTACCTTCTTGTTTTTATTCAGGGATATTTGCTATCCTGCCTTTGGCTTCAATGAGATCCCAAATGTCCATTCACAGAATGGACAAACACAGTGTTTCCAACCTGCAGAATCAAAAGAAAGGTTTAACTCTATGAGATGAATGCACACATCACAAAGTAGTTTCTCAGAAAGCTTCTTTCTAGTTTTATTTGAGTATATTTCCTTTTTCACCATAGGCTTCAATTGGCTCCCAAATACACATTTGCAAACACTAAAAAAACAGGGTTTTGGTACTGCTGAATATAAAGAAATGTTTAACTCTCTGAAATGAGTGCACACATCACAAAGCAGTTTCTCAGAATGCTTCTATCTAGTTTTTATCTGAAAGTATTTTCTCTTTCATCATAGGCCTCAATGCATTCCCAAATATCGTTCCCAGTTTCCACAAAAAGAGTATTTCCAAATTGCTGAATGAACATAAAAGTTTAACTCTGTAAAGTGAATGCAGACATCCCAAAGCTGTTTCTCATGTAGCTTCCTTATAGTTTTTATCCTGGGATATTCACTTTTTTGCTATTCACCTTAATGAGCTCCCAAATGTCCATTAGCAGAATGGACAAAGGCAGCGTTTCCAAACTGCTGAATCAAAAGGAAAATTTAACTCTGTGAGATAAGTGCACAAATCACAAAGCAGTGTCTCAGAAGGATTCTTTCTAGTTTTTATCTGAAGAAATTTCCTTTTTCTCCTTAGAACTCAATGCACTACTAGATATTCTCCCAAAGATTCAACAAAAACAGGGTTTCCAAACTGCTGATGGAAAAGAATGGTTTAACTCTGAAAAATGAATGCACACATCACCAAGTGGTTTCCCAGAGCACTTCCTTCTAGTTTTTATGCTGGGATACTTGTTTTTCTTAATTGGTCTCAATGAACTCCCGAATGTCCATTGGCAGAATAGACAAAAACAGTTTTTTCATTCTGCTAAATTAAAATAAAGATTTAACTCTGCAAGATGAATGCACATATCACAAGCGCTTTTTCAGATAGGTCCCCTCCAGTTTCTATCCTGGGATATTCACTTTTTTGCCAATGGTCTCAATGAGCTCCAAAATGTCCATTCACAGAATGGACAAAAACAGTGTTTTAACACTGCTGAATCAAAAGATAGTTTTAACTCTGTGAGTTGAATGCACCAGTCACAAAGCAGTTTCTCTAAGATTCTTTTTAGTTTTTATCTGAATGTGTTTCCTTTTTCACCATAGGCCTCAATGCATTCCAGAATATCCCTTGGCAAATTCTACAAAAACAGTGTTTCCAAAGTGCTGAATGTAAAGAAAGGTTTTAGTCTGTGAGACGAATGCACACATCCCAAAGCTGCTTTTCAGAGAACTTCTTTCTAGTTTTTACCTTTGTACATTCTCTTTTTCACTATTGGCCTCAATGAGCTCCCAAACGTCCATTTGCAGAATGGACAAAGAGGGTTTCCAAACTGCTGAATCCAAAGAAATGTTTCACTCTGTGAGATGAATGCATATATCACAAAGCAGTTTCTCCGAAAGCTTCTTTGTAGTTATTATCTGAAGATGTTTTCTTTTTCACCATATGCCTCAATGTGCTCCCAAATTTCCCTTAGCAGATTATACAAAATCAGTGTTTCCAAACTGCTGAATGAAGAGAATGGTTTAACTCTGCAAGGTGAATGCATGCATTAGAAAGCAGTTTCTCAGGTTGCTTCCTTCTAGTTTTTCTCCTGGGGTATTCTCTTTTTTGCTATTGTTCTCAATGAGCTCCCAATTGTCCATTCACAAAATGGACAAAAACCGGCTTTCAATACTGCTGAATCCAAAGAAAGGTTTAACTCTGAGAGTTGAATGAACATGTCACAAAGCATTTTCTCAGATAGCTTCTTTCAAGTTTTTATCTGAATATGGTTCCTTTTTCACCATACATCTCAGTGCACTCCTAAATATCCCTTTGCAGATTCTACATAAACTTTGTTTCCAAACTGCTGAATGAACAGAAACTTTTAATTCTGCCACATGAATTCATGCATCCCAAAGCAGTTTCTAAGATCTCTTCCTTTGGCCTTAATGAGCTCAAAGTTGTCAATTCACAGAATGGACAACACGGTGTTTCCAAACTGCAGAATCAAAAGAAAGCTTTCCCTCTGAGAGCTGAATGCACACATCAGAAAGAAGTTTCTCAGAAAGCTTCTTTCTAGTTTTTATCTGCAGAAACTTCCTTTTTCACCATTGGCTTCAATGCACTCACAAACATCCCCTCACAGATACTACAAAAACAGTTTTTCTAAACTGCTGAATGAGAAGAAAGATTTACCTAAGTGAGATGAATGCACATATCACAAAGCAGTTTCTCAGGAAGTTTCTTTCTATTTTTTATCAGAAGATACTTTCTTTTTCACCATAGTCCTCAACGCTCTCCCAAATATGCCTTCACAGACTCTACAAAACAAGTTTTTCCAAACTACTGAATAAAAAGAAAGGTTTAACTCTGTGACATGAATGCACACATTACAAAGCAGTTTATCAGATAGCTTCCTTCTACTTTTATCCAGGGACATTCACTTTTTCACCACTGGCCTCAATGAGCTCCCAAGTGTCCTTTTGTAGAATGGATAAAAATCGTGTTTCCAAACTGCTGAATCCAAAGAAAGTTTGAACTTTGTGAGACGAATTCACATGTCACAAAGCAGTTTCTCAGAAAGCTTCTTTCTAGTTTTTATCTGAAGATAATTTCTTTTTCACCATAAGCCTCAATGCGCTTTCAAATATAACCCCAGATTCTACAAAAATTGTTTCAAAACTGCTGAGTGAAGAGAAAGGTAAACTTTGCAGATGAGTGCACACATCACAAAGCGGTTTCTCAAAGGCTTTCTTCTAGTTTTTATCCTGGAATATTTGATTTTTCACCATTGGCCTCAATAGCTCCCAAATGTTCATTCACAGAATGGACAAAAGCAGTTTTTCCCATCTGGTGAATCAAAAGAAATGTTTCACTCTGAGAGCTTAATGCACACATCATATTGCAGTTACTTAGAAAGCTTCTTTCTAGTTTTCATCTGAAGACATTTTCTTTTTCACTGTAGGCCTCAGTGTGCTCCCAAACATCCCCTTGCAGATTCTACAAAAGCAGTGTTTCCAAATTGCTGAATGAAAAGAAAGGTTTAACTCTGCAAAATGAATGCACACATCACAAAGGAGTTTCTCAGAGAGATCCCTTCTAGTTTTTATCCTGGGATATTTGCTTTTTCGCCATTGGCCTCAATGAGTTCCCACATGTCCACTGGCAGAATGGACAAAAACAATGTTTTCATTTTCTTGAAAGAAAATAAAGTTTAAATCTGTGAGATGAATGCACACATCACAATATGGTTTCTCAGATAGCTTAATTCTAGTGTTTATAATGGGATATCCTTTTTTTTGCCTTGGCCTCTAAGAGCTCCCAAATTTCCATTTGCAGAATGGACAAAATCAGTGTTTTCAAACTGCTGTATCAAAAGAAAGTTTTAATTATTTGAGATGAATGCACACATCACAAAGTAGTTTCTCAAAAACTGCAAATATCCCAGGATAAAAGCTAGAAAAAAGCTATCTGTGAAACTGCTTTGTGATGTGATCATTCATCTTGCAGAAATAAACTTTCTTTTCATTCAGAAGTTTGAAAACACTCGTTTTGTAGAATCTGTGGAGGGATATTTGGGAACACATTGTGGCATAAGGTGAAAAAGAAAATATCTTCAGATAAAAACTAGAAGTAATCTTTCTTAGAACCTGCTTTGTGATGTGTGCATTCAACTCAAAGATGTAAAATTTTCTTTTGATTCAGCAATTTGGAAACACTGTTTTTGTTCATTCTGCAAAAGGACATTTGGCAGCTCTTTGAGGCCAATGGTGAAAAATTGAATATACCAGGAAAAAAACTAGGAGTTATCTGAGAAACCTCTTTGTGATGTGTGCATTCATCTCACATAGTTAAACCTTCCTTTTGATTCAGCAGTTTGGAAACACTGTATTTGTCAATTCTGTGCACAGAAATTTGGGAGCACATTGAGGTTTAATGCAAAAAGCAAATATCCCAGGATAAAAAAGAAGGAAGCTACCTTAGTAAAAGCTTTGTGACATGTGCCTTCATCTCACAGAGTGAAACCTTTCTTTTAATTCGGCATTTTTGAAACTCTGTTTTTGTCCATTCTACGAATGGACATTTGGGATATCACTAACACTTAACACGAAAAAAGCAAATATTCCAGGAGAAAAACTATAAGGAAGCCATCTGAGGAAGAGCTTTGTCATATGTGCATTCATCTTGCTAAGTTAAAGCTTTCATTCAGCAGTTTGGAAACACTGTTTTTGTAGTATCTGCAAAGGGATATTTGGGAGCACGTTGAGGCCTGTGGTGAAAAAGAAAATATCTTCAGATAAAAACTAGAAAGAAGCATTGTGAGAAACTGCTTTGTGATGTGTTCTTTCATCTCACAGAGTTAAACTTTTCTTTTGATTCAGCAGTTGGAAACACTGTTTTTGTAGGATCTCCAAAGGTATTTTTGGGAGCACATTGAGGAGTATGGTGAAAAAGAAAATATCTTCCAATAAAAAGTGGAGAGAAGATTTCTCAGAAACTGCTTTGTGATGTGTGCATTCATCTCCCAGAGTTAAACCTTTGTTTTGATTCAGCAGTTTGGAAACACTGTTTTTTTTCATTCTGTGAATGGACATTTGGAAGCTCACGTATTAAAATAGTGAAAAAGAGAATATGAAATGATAAAAACTAGAAAGAATCTACCTGAAAAACCACTTTGTGATGTGTGCATTCATCTCACAGAGTTTAACGTTTCTTTTGATTCAGCAGTTTGGAAACACTGTTTTTGTCCATTCTACCAATGGACATTAAGGATCTCATTGAGGCCAATGGTGAAAAAGGGAATATCCCTGGATAAAAATTAGAAGGAAGCTATTTGAGAAACCACTTTTTGATGTGTACATTCATCTCACAGAATTAAATCTTTTTTTCATTCAGTAGTTTGGAAACACTTTTTTGTAGAATCTGTGAAGGGATATTTGGTAACACTTTGAGGCCTTTTTTGAAAAAGGAAATATCTTCAGATACAAACTAGTAGGAAGCTTTCTAAGAAACTGCTTTGTGATATGTGCATTCAACACACCTAGTTAAAACTTTTTTTGGATTCAGCCATTTGGAAACACTGTTTTTGTCCATTCTGTAAACGGACATTTGGGAGCTCATTGAGGCCAATGGGAAAAAAGTGAATATTCCAGGATAAAAACTAGAAGGAAGGTACCTGAGAAACCAGTTTGTGATGTGCACATTCATCATAAAGAGTTAAAACTTTCTTTTCATTCAACAGTTTGGAAAAACTGTTTTTGTAAATCTGCAAATGATAATTGGGAGTGCATTGAGGCCAATGATGAAAAAGGGACATCTTAAGATAAAAATTGGAAAGAAGCTTTCTAAGAAACAGCTTTGAGATGTGGGCATTAATCTCACAGAGTATAATGTTTCTTTGGATTCAGCAGTTTGGAAATACTGTTTTTGTCCATTCTTTGAAATGACATTTGTTAGCTCTTTGGGGACAATGGTGAAAAAGTGTGTATCCCAGGATAAAAGCTAGAAGGAAGCTCTCTGAGAGACTTATTTATGATGTGTGGATTGTTCTCACAGTGTTAAACCTTTCTTTTCATTCAGCAATTTGGAAACAGTGTTTTTGTAGAATCTATGCAGGGATGTTTGGGAGCTCATTAAGGCCTATGGCGAAAATGGAAAAATCTAAAGACAATAAATGGAAAGAAGCTGCCTATGAAACTGCTTTGAGATGTGCACATTCATCTCACAGATTTAAACCTTTCTTTGGATTCAGCAGTTTGGAAACAGTTTTGTTGTCCATTCTGTGAGTGGACATTTGGGAGCTCTTTGAGGCCATTTTCAAAAAAGCATATAAGCTAGGATAAAAACTTGAAGGAAGCTACCTGAGAAACCACTTTGTGATTTGTACATTCATCTTCAGACTTAAAATTTTCTTTTCATTCAGCAGTATGGAAACACAGGTTTTGTAGAATCCATCAAGGGATTCTGTCAAGGGAGTAAATTGAGGCTTATGGTGAAAAGAAAACATCTTCAGGTAAAAACTAGAAAGAAGCTTTCTGAGAAACAACTTTATGATGCATGCAATCATCTCACAAAGATAAACTTTCTTTGGATTCAGCAGTTTGCAAACACTGTTTTTGTCCAATCAGCGAATAGACATTTTGGTGATCCTTGAGGCCAATGGTGAAAAAGTGAAAACTGTAGGATAAAAACTAGCAGAAAGCTATCCGAGAAACAACTTTGTGATTTGTGCATTCAACATGCAACGTTAACACTTTCTTTTCAGAAGGACACTATCTGAGAAACTACTTTGTGATGTGTGCATTCATATCATAGAGCTAAACCTTTCTTTTCATTCAGCAGTTGGGAAACACTGTTATTGTAGAATCTGTGAAGGGATATTTCAGAATGCATTGATGCCTATGTTGAAAAGGAAATATCTTCAAATAAAAACTTGAATGAAGCTTTCTGAGAAACTTCTTTGTAATGTGTGCATTCATCTCACAGAGATCAACCTTTCTGTGTATTCAGCCGTTTGCAAACACTCTTTTAGTCCATTCTGCAAATGGACATTTGGGATCTCATTGAGGCCAAAGGCAAAAAAGGAAATATCATCAGTTAAAAACTAGAAAGAAGCACTCTGAGAAAGTGCTTTGTGATGTGTGCATTCATCTCACAGTGTTAAAACATTCTTTTCATTCAGCAGTTTGGAAACACTGTTTTGGTAGAATCCATGAAGGGATATTTCGGAGCACATTGAGACCTATGGTGAAAAATGAAGTATCTTCAGATAAAAACTAGAAAGAAGATTTGTCAGAAACTGCTTCGCATTGTGAGCATTCATCTCACAGAGTTAAATCTTTCTTTGGATTCAGCAGTTTGGAAACATTGTTTTTGTAGAATTTGTGAAGGGATATTTGATAGCTCATTGAGGCTATAGGCAAAAAAGCGTGTATCCCAGAATAATACCTAGAAGGAAGCTATCTGAGAAACTGCTTCATGATGTGTTCATTCTTCTCTCAGAGTTAAACATGACTCTTAATTCAGCACCTTGTAAACTCATTTTGTAGAATCTGTGAAAGGATATTTGGGAAGACATTGAGGCCTATACTGAAAAACAAAATATCTTTAGATAAAATCTAGAAAGAAAGTTTCTGAGAAACTGACTTGTGATGTGTGCATTCATCTCACAGAGATAAACCTTTCTTTGGATTCAGCATTTTGGAAACACTGTTTTTGTAAAATCTGTGAAGGGATATTTGGGAGCTCATTGATGATAAAGGTGAAAAAGCAAATATCCCACGATAAAAACTACAAGGAAGCTATCTGAGAAACTGCTTTGTGATGTGTACTTTGATCTCTCAGAGTTAAGCCTTCTTCTCATTCAGCAGTTTGGAAACACTGTTTTTGTATGATCTGGGAAGGCATATTTGGGAGCACTTTGAGGCCAATGGTTAAAAAAGAAATACCTTCAGATAAAAACGAGAAAGAAGCTTTCTGAGAAACTGCTTTGTGATGTGTGCATTCATTTCACGGAGCTAAACTTTTCTTTGGATTCAGCATTTTGGAAACTCTGTTTTTCTCCATTGTGCAAATGGACACTTGGGATCTAATTGTGTCCAATG
This sequence comes from Homo sapiens, assembly GCF_000001405.40. Taxonomy (NCBI): domain Eukaryota; kingdom Metazoa; phylum Chordata; class Mammalia; order Primates; family Hominidae; genus Homo; species Homo sapiens. The sequence continues at coordinate 62,705,601 of NC_000007.14, forward strand.
GTAAAAAAGCATATATCCCAGGATAAAAACTAGAAGGAAGATATCTGACCAACTGCTTTGTGATGTGTGCATTTGTCTCACAGAGTTAAATGTTTCTTTTCATTCAGCAGTTTGAAAACACTGTTTTGGTGGGAACTGTGAAGGGATATTTGGTAGTGCATTGAGGCCTAAGGTGAAAAAGGAAATATCTTTGAATAAAAACTAGAAAGAAGCTTTCTGGGAAACTGTTTTTTGATGTGTGCATTCATCTCACACAGGTAAACCGTTCTTTGGATTCAGCAGTTTGGAGTCACAGTTTTGATAGAATCTGTGAAGGGATATTTGGGAGCTCATTGAAGCCAAATATGAAAAAGTGAGTATCTGAGGATAAAAACTAAAAGGAAGCAATCTGAGAAACTGCTTTGTGATCAGTGCATTCATCTCACAAAGTTAAACCTTTCTTTTCATTCAGCAGTTTGGAAACACTGTTTTGATAGAATCCACAAAGTGATATATGAGAGTGCAATTAGTCCTATGGTGTAAAAGGAAATATCTTCAGATAAAAAATAGAAAGATGCTTTCTGAGAAACAACTTTGTGTTGTGTGCATTCATCTCACAGAGTTAAAACTTTCTCTCGATTCAGCAGTTTGGAAACACTGTTTTTGTCCATTCAGTGAATGGATGTTCAGAGCTCATTAAGGACAATGGCAAAAAGATGAATGGCCCAGGATAAAAACAAAATGAATGCACATATCACAAAGCAAGTTCTCAGATAGCTTTCTTCTTGTTTTTATGTCGAAGTGTTCGCTTATTCACCATTGACCTCAATGAGCTCTGAAAATGTCCATTGGTAGAATGGACAAAAACAGTGTTTCCAAACTGCTGAATCCAATGAAAGGTTTAACTCTGTGCAATGAATGCACACATCACAAAGCAGTTTCTCAGAAAACTTGTTTCTAGTTTTTATCTGAAGATATTTCCTTTCTCACCATAGGCCTCAAAGGGCTCTCAAATATCCCTTCACAGATTCTGCCTAAACACTGTTTCCAAAGTGCCAAATTAAAAGAAAGGTTTAATTCTGTGAGTTGAATACAAACATCACAAAGTGGTTTCTCAGAAAGCTTCATTCTAGTCTTTATCTGAAGATGTTTCCTTTTTCACCATAAGCCTCAATGTGTTCCCCAATAGCCCTTCATGGATTCTGCCAAAACAGTGTTTCCAGACTGCTGAATGAAAATAAAGATTTAACTCTGTGAGGTGAATGCATGCATCACAGAGCGATTTCTGAAATAGCTTTCTTCCAAATTTTATCGTGGGATATTCACTTTTTCACCATTTGCCTCAATGAGCATCCAAATATCCATTTGCAGAATGGACAAAAGCAGTGTTTCCAAATACCTGAAACCAAAATAATGTTTACTTCTGTTAGGTGAATGCGCACATCACAAAACGATTTCTCAGAAAGCTTCTTTCTTGTTTTTATCTGAAAATATTTCCTTTTTCACCATAGGCCTGAATGCAGTCTGAAATATCCCTTCGCAGATTCTACCAAAATTGTGTCTCAAAACTGCTGAATGAGAAGAAATGTTTAAATCGGTGAGATAAATGTACACATCACAAGGAGGTTTCTCAGAAAGCTTCTTTCTAGTTTTTATCTACAGATATTTCCTTTATAACCATAGGTCTCAAAGTGCTTCTAAGTAGTGCTTCACAGATTCTATCAAAACAGAGTTTCCAAACTACTGAATAAAAAGAATGGTTTAACCCTGTGAAATGAATGCAGACATCACAAAGTGGTTACTCAAAGAGCTTCCTTCTAGTTTATATCCTGGTATATTTCCTTTTTTGCCATTGGCCTCAATGAGCTTCCAAATGGCCATTTTCAGAATGCATAAAAACAGTGTTTGCAAACTGCTGAATCCACAGAAAGCTTTAACTCTGTGAGATGATTGCACACATAACAAAGCATTTCTCAGATACCTTCTTTCTAGTTTTTATCTGAAGATATTTCCTTTATAACCATAGGTCTCAAAGCGCTTCCAAGTAGCACTTCACAGATTCTACCAAAACAGGATTTCCAAACTGCTGAATGAAAAGAATGGTTTAACTCTCTGAGATGAATGCAGACATCACAAAGTGGTTTCTCAAAGAGCTTCCTTCTAGTTTATATCCTGGTATACTTCCTTTTATGCCATTGGCGTTAATGAGCTTCCAAATGTCCATTTTCAGAATGGATAAAAGCAGTGTTTGCAAACTGCTGAATCCACAGAAAGCTTTAACTCTGTGAGATGAATGCACACATAAGAAAGCATTTCTCAGATAGCTTCTTTCTAGTTTTTATCTGAAGATATTTCCTTTTTTGCCACAGGCCTCAATGTGCTCCCAAATATCCCTTTGCAAATTCTACCAAAACTGTGTATCTAAATTGCTGAATGAGAAGAAATGTTTAAATCTGTGAGATGGATGTTCACATCACATGAAAGTTTCTCAGAAAGCTTCTTTGTAGCTTTTATCTACAGATATTTCCTTTGTAACTGTAGGTCACAAAACATTTCCAAGTATCACTTCACAGATTCTACCAAAATAGAGTTTCCAAACTGCTGAATGAAAAGAATGGTTTAACTCTGTGAGATGAATGCAGACGTCACAAAGTGGTTTCTCAAAGAGCTTCCTTCTAGTTTATATCCTGGTATATTCCCTTTTTTGCCTTTGGCCTCAATGATCTTCAAAATGTTCATCTTCAGAATGGATAAAAACAGTGTGTGCAAACCACTGAATCCACAGAAAACTATCCTTAACTCTGTGAGAAGAATGCACACATAACAAAGCATTTCTCAGATAGCTTCTTTCTAGTTTTTCTGAAGGTATTTCCTTTTTCACCTTAGGCCTCAATGCTCTCGCAAATATAACTTTGCAGATTCTACAAAAACAGTGTATACACACTGCTGAATGAAAAGAATCATTTAAATCTTAGAGGCGAATGCACACCTCACAAAGCAGTTTCTCAGATAGCTTTCTTCTAGTTTTTTTCCTGGGATATTCGCTTTTTCAAATTTGGCCTCAATGATCTCCCAAATATCCCTTTGTGGATTCTACAACAACAGTGTTTCCAAACTGCTGAATCCAAAGAAATGTTTAACTCTGTGAGATGAATGCACACATCACAAAGCAGTTTCTCAGAAAGCTTCCTTCTAATTTTTATCTGAATATATTTCCTTTTTCACCATATTCCCCAATACACTCCCAGATATCCCTTTGCAGATGCTTCAAAAACAGTATTTCCAAACTGCTGAATGAAAAAGAAAGATTTAACTCTGTGAGTTGAATGTACACATCACAAAGTGGTTTCTCATATAGCTTCCTTGTAGTTTTTATCCTGTGATATTCCCCTTTTTGCCTTTGGCCTCAATGAGATCCCAAATGTCCATTTGCAGAATGGACTAAAAGAGTGTTTGCAAACGGCTGAATACACAGAAAGGTTGATCTCTGTGAGATGAATGCACACATTACAAAGAAGTTTCTCAGAAAGCTTCATTCAAGTTTTTATTTGAAGATATTTCCTTTTTCACAATAGGCCTCAATGCGCTCCCAAATATAACCTTGCAGATTCTACAAAAACTGTGTGTACAAACTGCTGAATTAAAAGGATGGTTTACCTCTGAGAGATGGATGCACACATCACAAAGTGGTTTCTCAGATACCTTTCTTCTAGTTTTTATCCTCGGATATTCACTTTTTCACCATTGACCTCAATGAGATACCAAACGTCCATTTGTAGAATGCACAAAAAGAGTCTTTCCAAAGTGCTGAATCCAGCGAAAGGTTTCACTCCACGAGATGAATGCACACATGGGAAAGCAGTTTCTCAGAAATCTTCTTTCTAGTTTTTATCTGAAGTTATTTCTTTTTCCACCATTGGCCTCAATGCACTCCCAAATATAACTTCACAGATTCTACAAAAACAGTGTTTCCAAACTTCTGAGTGAAAAGAATGGTTTACCTCTGATACTTGAATCCACACATCACAAAGCAGTTTCTCAGATATCTTCCTTTTATTTTTTTTCCTGGGATGCTCACTTTTTCACCTTTTGCTGCAATGAGCTTACCACATATCCCTTCGCAGATTCTACAATAACAGTTTTCCCAAACTGCTGAATCTGCAGAAAGGTTAAACTCTGTCAGCTGAATGCACACATCACAAAGCAGTTTCTTATATATCTTTCCAGTTTCTATCTGAAGATATTTCCTTTTTCACCCAAGGCCCCAATGGGCTCCCAATATCCTTTTGCAGCTTCTGCCAAAACAGTGTTTGCAGAGTACTGAATGAAAAGAAAGGTTTATCTCTGTGAGATGAAAGCTCACATCACAATGTGGCTTCTTTATGTCTTCCTTCTAGTTTTCATCCTGGGATTCTCACTTTAATGGCATTGGCTTCAATGAACTCCCAAATGTTCATTCACAGAATGGACAAAAACAGTGTTTGCAAACTGCTGAATCCACAGAAAGTTTCATCTCTGTGAGATGAATGCACACATCCAAAGCAGTTTCTCAGAAATCTTCTTTCTAGTTTTTATCTGAAGGTATTTCCTTTTTAAAAATAGGCCTCAATGCACTCCAAATTATAACTTCATAGATTCTATAAAAATGGTGTTTCCAAACTGTTGAATGAATAGAAAGTTTTAATCTGTGAGAAGAATGCACACATTACAAAGATGTTTCCTAAATAGCTTCTTTCTAATTTTTATCCAGGGATATTTGTTTTTTCTCCATTGGCCTCCACAACCTTCCAAATATTCCTTCACAAACTCTACAACAACAGTGGTTCCAAACTGCTGAATTAAAAGAAAGGTTTAATTCTGCAAGGTGAATGCACATCTCACAAAGCTGTTTGTCAAATAGCTTCCTTCTAGATTTTATCCTGAGATATTCGCTTTTTTGCCTTTGGCTTCAATGAGTTCCCAAATGTCCATTTGAAGAATGGACTAAAAGAGTTTTTGCAAACTGCTGAATCCACAGAAATGTTCATCTCTGTGAGATGAATGCACACATAACAAAGCAGTTTCTCAGAAAGCATATTTCTAGTTGATATCTGAAGGTATTTCCTTTTTCATCATAGGCCTCAATGCACTCCCAAATATAACTTCACAGATTCTACAAAAACAGTGTTTACAAACTGCAGAATGAAAAGAAGAGTTTAACTCTGAGAGATTAATCCACACATCACAAAGCATTTTCTCAGATAGGTTTCTTCTAGTTTTTTTTCCTAGGACATTTGCTTTTTCATCTTGGCCTCAATGAGCTCCTGAATACCCCTTCACAGATTCTACAACAACAGTGTTTCCAAACTGCTGAATCCAAAGAAATGTTTCACTCTCTCAGCTGAATGGATACATCACAAAGCAGTTTATCAGAATGCTTCTTTGCAGTTTCTATCTGAAGATATTTACTTTTTCACCCTAGGCGTCAATGTACTCCCAAATATCCCTTCACAGATTCTCCCAAAAAATTGTTTACAGACTGCTGAATGAAAAGAAATTTTATCTCTGTGAGGTAAATGCACACATCAAAAAGCAGTTTCTCAGATAGCTTCATTCCAGTTTTTATAACAAAGCAGTTTCTCAGAAAGCTTCTTTCTACTTTGTATCTGAAGATATTTCCTTTTTCTCCATAAGCTTCAGTGCACTCCCAGATATCCCTTCACAGTTTCTATGAAAACAGTGTTCACAAACCATTGAATGAAAAGAAACGTTTAACTCTGTGAGATGAATGCATACATCACAAAGCGGCTTCTTAGACATCTTCCTTCTAGTTTTTATCCTGGGATATTCCCTTTTTTGACATTGGCCTCAATGAGCTCCCAAATGTCCATTTGCAGAATGGACAAAAACAGTGTTTCCAAACTGTTGAGTCAAAAGAAAGTTTTAACTCTGTTAGGAGAATGCACACTTCTCAAAGCAGGTTCTTAGGAAGCTTCTTTCTAGTTTTCAACTTCACATGTTTCCTTTTTCACCTTAGGCCTCAATGTGCTCCCAAAGATCCCTTCACAGATTCTAGAAAAACAGTGTCTCCAAACTTCTGAATGAAAAGAAAGTTTTACCTCTGTGAGATCAATGCACACATCACAAAGTGCTTTCTTGGATAGCTTCCTTCTAGTTTTTACCCTGGGATATTTGCTTTATCACTATTGGCCTAAATGGGCTCCCACATATGCATTGGCCAAATGGACAAAAACAGTGTTTCCAAACTGCTGAATAAAAGAAAGATTTAATGCTGTGAGATGAATACACACATCACAAAGCAGATTCTCAGAAAGATTCTTTCTATTTTTTATCTAAAATATCTTTTTTCACCGTAGGCATAAATGGGCCCCAAATATTGCTTCACTGGTTCTACAAAAACAGTGTTTAGAAACTGCTGAAGGAACAGTGAGGTTTAACTCTGTGAGATGAATGCACATATCACAAAGTGGTTTCTCAGATAGCTTCCTTCTAGTTTTTATTCAGGGATATTCACTTTTTGGCCATTGGCCTCAATGAGCTCCCAAATGTCCTTTCGCAGAATGGACAACAACAGTGTTCCAAACAGTTGAATCCAAAGAAAAGTTTAACTCTGTGAGATGAGCAGATCACAAAGCAGTTTCTCAGAAAGCTTCTTTCTTGTTTTTAACTGAAGATATTTCCTTTTTCAACATAGGCCTCAAAGTGCTCCCAAATATCCCTTTGCAGATTCTACAATAACAGTGTTTCCAAAGAGCTGAAACAAAACAAAGGTGTAACTTTGTGATATAAATGCCCACATCACAAATCGGTTTCTCAAGTAGCTTCCTTGTAGTTTTTTTCTCTGGGATATTTGCTTTTTCACCATAGGCCTCAATGAGCTGCTGAATGTCCATTCACAGAATGGACAATAAGAGTGTTTCCAAACTGCTGAATCCAAGAAAGGTTTAACTCTGTGAAATGAATGTACACTTCCAAAGCAGTCTCTCAGAAAGCTTCTTACTTGTTTTTATCTGAAGATATTTTCCCTTTCACCCTAAGCTGCACTGCTCTCCCATATATCCCTTTGCAGATTCTACAAAAACAGAGTTAGCAAACTCCTGAATTAAAACATAAGTTTAACTCTACGAGATGAATGCACACATCACAAAGCAGTTTCTCAGATAGCTTCCTTCTAGTTTTTATCCTGGGATATTTGCTTTTTTGCCATTGGTCTCAATGATCTCCCAAATGTCCATTCGCAGAATGGACAAAAACAGTGTTTCCAAACTGCTGAATCATAAGACAGTTTTACCACTGTGAGATGGATGTACACATCACAAGGAGGTTACTCAGATAGCTTTCTTCTAGTTTTTTCCTGGGATATTAACTTTTTTGCCATTGGCCTCAAATTGCTCACAAATATTCATTTGCAGAATGGAGAAAAACAGCATTTCCAAACTCCTGAATCAAAAGAAACGTTTAACTCTGTGAGAAGACTGCTCACACTGAAAGCAGTTTTTCAGAAAGCTTCTTTCTAGTTTTATCTGAAGATATTTTCTTTTTCAATATAGACCTCAATGTGCTCTCAATATCCCTTTGCAGATCCTACAAAAACAGTTTTTCCAACCTGCTGAATGAAAAGAAACGTTTAATTCTGAGAGATGAATACTCACATCACAAAGTGGTTACTCAGATCACTTTCTTATAGTTTTTATCCTGGGATAAAAACTATTATTTATCCTGGGATAAAAAACTCCTTGCCATTTACCTCAAAGAGTTCTGAAATGCCAATTCACGGAATGGAAAAAAAAAACAGTGTTCCAAACTGCTGAATCAAAAGAAAGGTTTAACTCTGTGACATGAAAGCACACATCACAAAGCAGTTTCTGACAAAGCTTCTTTTCACTTTTTATTAGAAAATATTTTCTTTTTCACCATAGTCTACAATGCACTCCCAAACATCCCTTTGCTAATCCTACAAAAACAGTGTTTCCAAACTGCTGAATCAAAATAAATGTTTAACTCAGTGAGATGAAGGCACATATCAAAAAGCAATTTCTCAGATTGCTTCCTTATAGTTTTTATCCTGGAATATTTGCTTTTTCAGCCTTGGCATTAATGATCCCCCAAATGTCCATTCGTAGAATGGACAAAAACAGAGTTTCAAAATTGCAGAATTAAAAGAAGGGATTTGTTCTGCAAAATGAAGGCACATGTCACAAAGCTTTTACTCAGATAGCTTCCTTCTTTTTTATCCTGGGATATTCACTTTTTGCATTAAACCTCAAAGTGTTCCCAAATGTCCATGTGCAGAATGGACAAACACAGTGTTTCCAGACTGCTGAATCAAAAGGAAGGTTTAACTATGTGAGATGAATGCACACATCACAAAGACATTTCTCAGATAGGTTCCCTCTAGTTTTTATCCTGGTATATTTGATTTTTTGCCATTGGCCTCAATGAGTTGCCAAATGTCCTTTCACAGAATGAACAAAAACAGTGTTTCCAAATTGCTGAATCAAAGGAGACTTTTAAGTCTTTGAGATGAATGCACACATCAGAAAGCAGTTTCTCAGATTCTTTGTAGTTCTTATCTGAAGATATTTTCTTTTTCACCTTATGCATAAATGTGGTCCCAAATATCCCTTTGCAGATTCTACAAAAAGAGGGTTTCCAAACTGCTGGATGAAAAGAAAGTTTAAATCTGCAAGATGAATGTGCACATCAGAAAGCAGTTTCACAGATAGCCATTTTCTAGCTTTTATCCTGGGATATTTGTGGTTTCTGCGAAACTGCTTTGTGATGTGTGCATTCATCACACAGAATTAAAACTTCCTTTTCATTCAGCAGTATGGAAACACTGCTTTTGTCCATTCTGTGAATGAACATTTGTGAGCTTATTGAGGCCAATAGTGAAAAATAGAATATCCCAGGATAAAAAGTAGAAGAAAGCCATCTAAGGAACTGCTTTGTGATGTGTGTATTCATCTGCAAAGTTTGCCTTTCTCTTCTTCCAGGAGTTTGGAAGCACTGTTTTTGCAGAATCTGCGAAGTGATATTTGAGAGCTCATTGAGGCTTAGGATGAAAATGAAATTATCTTCAGATAAAAACTGGAAAGAAGCTTTCTGAGAAACTGCTTCATGATGTGTGCATTCATCTCATAGTTAAACCTTTCTTTGGATTCACCCGATTGGAAACATTGGTTTTATCCATTCTATGAAAGGACATTTGGGAGTTCATTGAGGACAATGGCGAAAAACTGAATACCCCAGATAAAACTAGAAAGAAGCTATCTGAGAAACTGCTTTGTAATGTGTGCATTCAAGTCACAGAGTTAAACCTTTCTTTTCATTATGCATTTTGGAAAAACTATTTTTGTAGAATCTGAGAAGGCATATTTTGGAATTCATTGAGGACTATGGTGAAAAACAAAGTATCTTCTGATAAAAAATAGAAAGAAACTTTCTGAGAAACTTCTTTGAGATGCATGCATTCATCTCACCTAGGTAAAACTTTCTTCTCATTCAGAAGATTGGAAGCACTGTTTGTATAGAATCTGTGAGGGGATATTTGGGGCACATTGAGGTCAGTGTTTAAAAACGAAATTTCTGCAGTTAAAAACAAGAAAGAAGTTTTCTGAGAAACCGCTTTGTATTGTGTGCATTCACCTCAGAGTTCATCCTTTCTTTTGATTATGCACTTTGGAAACACTGTTTGTTTTCATGGGGAAAAAGAAAATATCTTCAGAGAAAAACTACAAAGAAGACTTCTGAGAAACTGCTTTATGTTATGTGCATATATCTTATAGAGTTAAACTTTTCTTTTGATTCATCCATTTGTAAAACCTGTGTTTGCTCATTCTGCAGATTTACATTTGGGAGCTCATTGAGGCCAATGGTGAAAATGCAAATGTTCCAGGATAAAAACAAGAAGGAAGCTATCTGAGGAACTGCCTTGTCATACTTGCATTCATCTCGCAGAGTTAAACCATTCCTTTCATTCAGCATATTGGAAACATTGTTTTTGTAGTATCTGCAAAGAGATATTTGGGAGCACATGGATGTCTATGATGAAAAAGTAAATATATTCAGATAAAAACCAGAAAGAAGCTTTCTGGGAAACTGCTTTGTGATGTGTTCATTCATCTTGCAGAGTTAAACCATTCTTTGGATTCAGCAGTTTGTTAACACTGTTTTTGTCCATTCTGTGAATGGACATTTTGGAGCTCATTGAGGTCAATGGTGAAAAAGGAATATCCCAGCATAAAAAACTGGGAAGAAATTCTCTGAGAAACCAATTTGTGAAGTGTGCATTCATCTCACAGAGTTGAACCTTTCTTTTTCATTTAGCAGTTTTGAACACTGTTTCTGTAGAATCGGCATATAGATATTTGGCAGTGTATGGAAGGCTGTGGTGCAAAAGTAATTTTCTTCAGAGAAAAACTAGAAAGAAACTTTCTGGGAAATTGTTTTGTGATGTTTTCATTCAGCTCTCAGAGTTAAAACTTTCTGTGGATTCAGCAGAAGCACATTATCTGAGAAACTGATTTGTGATGTGTGTATTCAAGTCAACAGATTTAAATCTTTCTTTTCATTCAGCTATTTTGAAACACTGCTTTCTTAAAATCTGTGAAGAGATATTTGATAGTGCAATGAGGCCCATAGTGACAAAGGAAATATGTGCAGTAAAAAACTAGAAAGAACATTTCTGAGAGACTGCTTTGTGATGTGTGCATACTTCTCACAGAGGTAAAATTTTCTTTTCATTCAGCAGTTTGGAAAAACTGTTGTCTAAGAATCTGTGAAAAGATATTTGGTAGTGTAGTGAGGCCTATAGTGAAAAAGGAAATATCTTCAGATAAAAACTAGAAGAAGCTTAATGAAAAACTGCTTTTGGATATGTGCATTCATCTCACAGAATTAAACCTTTCTTCAGATTCAGCACTTCATTAACACCATTTTTGTCTGTTCTGTGAATGGACAATTAGGAGCTCTTTGAGGCCAATGGTGAAAAAGCAAATGTCACAGGATAAACACTAGAAGGAATCTATCTGAGAAACTGCTTTCAGATGTGTGTATCCATCTCATGGAATTTAACCTTTCTTTTCATTCAGCAGTTTGGAAAAACTGTTTTTGTAGAATCTACGTAGGGATATATGGACATGCATGGAGGCCTATGGTGAAAAAGGAAATATCCTCAGAGAAAAACTAGAAAGAAACTTTCTGAGAAATTGCTTTGTGATGTTTTCATTCACCTCACAGAGGTAAACCTTTCTTTGGATTCAGCAGTTTGGTAACACTCTTTTTGTCCATTCTGCAAATGGACATTTGGGAGCTCATTAAGGCCAAAGGTGAATAAGAGATTATCCCAGGATAAAAATTTGAAGGAGCTCTCATAGACACTGCTTTGTGTTATGTGCATTTATTTCACAGAGGTAAACCTTTATTTTCATTCAGCAGTTTGGAAACACTGTTTTCTTAGAATCTGAAAAGAGATATTTGGTAGCGCTTTAAGGCTTAGGGTGGAAAAGGGAATAATTACAGACAAAAATTAGAAAGAAGCTTAATGAGAAACTGCTTTGTGATGTGTGCATTCATCTCACAGAGTCCAACCTTACTTTTCTTTCAGAAGTTTGGAAACACTGTTTTTGTAGAATCTGCAAAGGGTTATTTTGCAGCACATTGAGGCCAATGTGAAAAAGGAAATATCTTCAGATTAAAAACAAGAAAGAAGCCTTCTGTGAAGCTGCTTTGTGATACTTGTATGCAATTCACACAGGTAAACCTTCCTTTTCATTCAGTAGTTTGGAAACACTGTTTTTATAGAAGCTACAAAGGGATATTAGGGTGCACTTTGAGGCCTATGGTTAAAAGGGAAGTATCTTCAGATAAAAACTAGAAAGAAGCTTTCTGAGAAACTGGTTTGTGACGTGTTCATTCACCTTACAGAGTCAAACCTTTCTTTGGATTCAGCAGTTTTCAAACACTGTTTTTGTCCATTCTGTAGTGGACATATTGGAACTCATTAAGTCCAATGGCGAGAAAGTGAATATCCCAGGATAAAAGCTAAAATGAAGTTATCTGAGAAAGCCTTTTGTGATGTGTGCATTCAATTCGCAGAGTTAAATGTTTCTTTTCATGCAGCAGTTTGGAAACATTGTTTTTGCAGTATCTGCAATTGAATATTTGGTAGCGCATTGAGGCTTATGGTGAAAAAGTAAATATATTCAATAAAAATGAAAAAGAACCTTAATAAGAAACTGCTTTGTGATGTGTTCATTCTTCCTAACGAGTTAAAACTTTTTTTGGATTCAGCAGTATGGAAACTGTTTTTGCCCATTCTGTGAATGGACATTCGGGAGCACATAGAGGCCAATGGCAAAAAAGCAAATATACCAGGTAAAAACAGGAAGCACATTATCCGTGAAACCGAATTTTGATGTGGGCATTTATCTCAGAGACTTAAACCTTTCTTTTCATTCAGCTGTTTGCAAACACTGTTTTCTTAGAATCTGAGAAGAGATATTTGGTAGTGCAATGAGGCCCATGATGAAAAAGTAAATATCTTCAGATAAAAACTAGAAAGAACCTTTCTGAGAGACAACTGTGGGAGTAATGCATTCATCTCACAGAATTAAAACGTTCTTTTGACTCAGCAGTTTGGAAACACTGTTTTCTAAGAATCTGCAAAGAGATATTTGGTAGCATAGTGAAAATATCTTCAGTTAAAAACTAGAAAGAAATTTAAAGAGAAACAGCTTCAGTATGTAAGCATTCATCTCACAGAAGTAAACTGTTCTTTAGATTCAGCACTTTGGTAACACTGTTTTTGTGCATTCTGCAAATTGATATTTGGGAGCTCATTAAGGCCAATGGTGAAAAAGAAAATATCAGAGGACTAAAACTATAAGGAAGCTATTTGATAAACCAGTTTGTGATGTGTGCATTCATCTCACAGAATTAAACCTTTCTGTTCATTCAGCAGTTTGGAAACACTCTTTTTGAAGAATCTCTGTAGGGATATTTTGCAGCACATGGAGACCTATGGTGAAAAAGGGATTTTCTACAGTAAAAAAAAAAAACTAGAAAGAAGCATTCTGAAAAACTCCTTTGTGATGTTTTCATTCATCTCAGAGAGATAAACCTTTCTTTGGATTCAGCAGCTTGGAAGCACTGTTTTTGTCTATTCTGTGAATGGACATTTGGGAGCTCATTGAAGTCAATGGTGAAAATGTGAATATCACAAGATAAAAAACAGAAGCACTTTATCTGAGAAACTGATTTGTGATGTGTGCATTCATCTCACAGAGTTAAACCTTTCTTTTCATTCTGAAGTTTGGAAACACTGTGTTTTTGGAATCTGCAAATAGATATTTGGTATCACAATGAGGCCTACGGTGAAAAAGGAAATGTCTTCAAATAAAAACTAAAAAGAAGCTTTCTGAGAAACTGCTGTGTGATGTGTTCATTAATTTCACAGAGTTAAACCTTTCTTCAGATTCAGCAGTTCAGAAACACTGTTTCTGTCCATTCTGCGATGGACATTTAGTAACTCATTAGGCCAAAGGCGAAAAAAGAGAATATCCCAGGATAAAAACCAGAAGGAAGTTATCTGAGAAACTGATTTGTGATGTGCGCATTAGTCTAGTGGAGTTAAACCTTTCTTTTCATTCAGCAGCTTGGAAATACTGTTTTCTTAGAATCTGTGAAGAGATATTTGGTAGGGAATTGAGGCCTATGGTGAAAAAGAAAATATATTCAGATAAACTCTAGAAAGAAGCTTAATGAGAAACTGCTTTGGGATGTGTGCATTCATCTCACAGAGTTAAACGTTTCTTTGGATTCAGCAATTTTGTAACACTAGTTTCTTTCCTTTCTAGAAATGTACATTTGGGAACTCATTGAGGCCAATGGTGAAAAAGTGAATATCCCAGGATGAAAACTAGAACGAGGCCTCTGAGTAACTGCTTTGTGATGTGCACATTCATCTCGCACAGGTAAACATTCTTTTCATTCAGCAGTTTGGACACACTGTTTTTGAAGAATCTTTGAAGGAATATTGGGCAGCTCATGGAGACCTATGGTGAAAAAGGGATTTTCTACAGACAAAAACTAGAAAGAAGCGTCCTGAAAAACTGCTTTGTTATGTTTTCATTCATCTCAGAGACTTAAACCTTTCTTTGGATTCAGCAGCTTGGAAGCACAGTTTTTGTCTATTCTGCAAATGGACACTTGGGAGCTCATTGAGATCAATGGCAAAAATGTGAATATCCCAAGATAAAAAATAGAAGCACTTTTTCTGAGAAACTGATTTGTGATGTGTGCATTCATCTCACAGAATGAAACCTTTCTTTTCATTCTGAAGTTTGGAAACACTGTTTTTTTAGAATCTGCAAATAGATATTTGGTATCACAATGAGGCCTATGGTGAAAAAGGAAGTGTCTTCAAATAAAAACTAAAAAGAAGCTTTCTGAGAAATTGCTTTGTGATGTGTTCATTCATTTCACAGAGTTAAATCTTTCTTTGAATTCAGCAGTTCAGAAACCCTGTTTTTGTCCATTCTGCAATGGCTGTTTGGTAGCTCATGGAGGCCAAAGGCAAAAAAGAGAATATCCCAGGATAAAAACTAGAAGGAAGTTATCTGAGAAACTGATTTGTGATTTGAGATATACCTAATGCTAAATGATGAGTTAATGGGTGCAGCACACCAACATAGCAAATGTATACATGTGCAACAAACCTGCACATTGTGCACATGTACTCTAAAACTTAAAGTATAATAATAAAAAATTTTTTAAAAACTAGAAAGAAGCATTCTGGGAAACTATTTTATGATGTGTGCATTCATCTCACATAGTTAAAAATTTCAGTGGATTCAGACGTTTACAGACATTGTTTTTGTCCATTCTGCAAATGGACATTTGAGGACTCAATGAGGCCAATGGAAGAAAAGTGAATATTCCACAATAAAAACTGGAAGGAAACTATCTGAGAAACCACTTTGTGATGTGTGCATTCATCTCACAGAGTTAAACATTTCTTTTCATTCAACAGTTCGGAAAAAATGTTTTCGTCAAATATGTGAAAGGATATCTGTGAGTGCATTGAGGCCTACGGTGAAAAAGGAAATATCTTCAGAAAAAAACTAGAAAGAAACTTTCTGAGGAACCTCTTTGTAATGTGTTCATTCATCTCACAGAGTTAAACCTTTCTTTGGATTCAGCATTTTAGAAACACTGTTTTTGTCCATTTTGCAAAGAGACATTTTGGAGCTCTTTGAGGCCAATGGCAAAAAAGTGAATATCCCAGGATAAAAACTTGCATGAAGTTAGCTGAGAAATCGAATTGACATGTGAGCATTCATCTCACAGAGTTAAATATCTTTCTTTTCATTCAGCAGGTTAGAAACACTGTTTTCTTAGAATCTGACAAGAGATATTTCAAACAGTATGAAGGCCAATGGAACTACCATTAGAGTGAACAGGTAACCTACAGAATGGGAGAAAATTTTTGCAACATACTCATCTGACAAAGGGCTAATTTCGAGAATCTACAATGAACTCAAAGAAATTTACAAGAAAAAAACAAACAACCCCATCAAAAATTGGGCGAAGGACATGAACAGACACTTCTCAAAAGAAGACATTTATGCAGCCAAAAAACACATGAAAAAATGCTCATCATCACTGGCCATCAGAGAAGTGCAAATCAAAACCACAGTGAGATACCATCTCACACCAGTTAGAATGGCGATCATTAAAAAGGCAGGAAACAACAGGTGCTGGAGAGGATGTGGATAAATAGGAACACTTTTACACTGTTGGTGGGACTGTAAACTAGTTCAACCATTGTGGAAGTCAGTGTGGCGATTCCTCAGGGATCTAGAACTAGAAATACCATTTGACCCAGCCATCCCATTACTGGGTATATACCCAAAGGACTATAAATCATGCCGCTATAAAGACATATGCACACATATGTTTATTGCGGCACTATTCACAATAGCAAAGACTTGGAACCAACCCAAATGTCCAACAATGATTGACTGGATTAAGAAAATGTGGCACATATACACCATGGAATACTATGCAGCCATAAAAAATGATGAATGCATGTCCTTTGTAGGGACATGGATGAAATTGGAAATCATCATTCTCAGTAAACTATCACAAGGACAAAAAACCAAATGCCACATGTTCTCCCTCATAGGTGGGAATTGAACAATGAGAACACATGGACACAGGAAGGGGAACATCACACTCCGGGGACTGTTGGGGGGGTGGGGGGAGGGGGCAGGGATAGCATTAGGAGATATACCTAATGCTAAATGACGAGTTAATGGCTGCAGCACACCAGCAGGCACATGTATACATACTTAACTAAGTTGCACATTGTGCACATGTACCCTAAAACTTAAAGTGTAATAATAAAAAAATAAAATAAAATAAAATAAGAAAAAAGGAACTATCTTCAGATAAAAACTAGAAAGAAACTTAATAAGAAACTGGTTTGGGATGTGTGCTTTCACCTCAGAGAGCTAAATCTGTCTTTGGATTCAACAGTTTGGAAACAAAGTTTTTGTCCATTCTGGGAATGGACATTTGGGAGCTCATTGTGGCCAATGGTGAAAAGCGAATATCCCAGGATAAAAACTAGAAGGAAGCTATCTGAGAAACCACTTTGTGATGCATGCATTCATCTCACAGAGTTAAAGCTTTCTTTTTATTCAGCAGTTTGGAAATACTGATTTCTTAGATTGTGCAAAGAGATATCTGGGGGTGCATTTAAGCCAATGGAGAAAAAGGAAATATCTTCAGATAAAAACGGGTAAGAAGCTTATTGAGAAACTACTTTGTGATGTTTTCATTCATCTCATAGAGTTAAACTTTTCCTTGGACTCAGCAGTTTGGAAATACTGTTTTTCCATTCTGCAAATGGACATGTGGGATCTCACTGAGGCCAATAGTGAAAAAGTGAATATCCCAGAATTAAAACTTGAAGGAAGTTATCTGATAAACTGATTCATGATGTGTGCATTTTTCTCACAGAGGTCAATCTTTCTTTTCATTCAGCCATTTAGAAACACTGTTTTTGAAGAATCTGCCAAGAGATATTTGGAAGAGTATGGAGGTTGATGGTGAAAAAGGAAATATCTTCAGACGAAAACTGGAAGGAAGCTTAATGAGAAACTGATTTGGGATGGGTGCATTCACCTCAGACAGTGAAATCTGTCTTTATTTGAGAAACTGCTTTGTAATGTGTGCATTCATCTCACAGAGTTAAACCTTTCATTTCACTCAGCAGTTTGGAAATACTGCTTTTGTAGAAACTGTGAAAAGATATTTGGCAGCACATTGAGGCCTAAATGTGAAAAAGGAATTATCTTCAGAGAAAAATAGAAATAAACTTTCTGAGAAAGTGCTTTGTGATGTGTCCATTCCTCTCACAGAATTAAACCGATCTTTTGATTCAGCAGTTTGGAAATACTGCTTTTGTCCTTTTTGTGAATGGACATTTGGGAGCTCATTGAGGACAATGGTGAAAAAGGAAACATCCCAGGATAAAAATGAGAAGTAAGTTATCTGAGAAACCAATTCATGATATGTGCATTCATATCACAGAATTAAACCTTTCTTTGCTTTCAGCAGTTTGGAAACACTGTTTGTGTCCATTCTGTGAATGGACGTTTGGGAGCTCATTTTGGCCAATTGCGTTAAAGTGAATATCCCAGGACTAAACCCAGAAGGAAGCTATCTGAGAAACCACTTTATGATGTGTGCATTCATCTCACAGAGTTAAACTTTTCTTTTCATTTGGCAGTTTGGAAACACTGATGTCTTAGAATGTGTGAAGAGATATTCGATAGTGCATTGAGGACCATGGTGAAAAAGGAAATATCCTCAGATAAAAACTAGCAAGAGGCTTTCTCAGAAGGTACTTCAGGATGATTTCATTCAATTCACAGAGTTAAACTTTTCCTTTGATTCAGCACTTTGGAAATACTGTTTTTGTCCATTCTACAGCTGGACATTTCAGAGCTCATTGAGGCCAGTGGCAAAAAAATGAATATCCCAGGATAAAAACCTGAAGGAAGTTATCTGAGAAACTGGCTCATGATTTCATGATGTGTGCCTTCATTTCACAGAGTTAAATCTTTCTTTTCATTCTGCAGTTTAGAAACACTGTTTTCTTAGCAACTGCCAAGAGATTTTTGGAAGACATGGTAGGCCAATGGTGAAAAAGGAAATATCTTCAGATAAAAACTAGAAGGAAGCTTCATGAGAAAATGGTTTGTGATGTGTAAATTCACATCAGAGAGTTAAATCTGTCTTTGAATTCAGCAGTTTGAAAAAACAGTTTTTGTCCATTCTTGGAATGGACATTTGGGAAGTCATTGAGGACAATGGTGAAAAAGTGAATACCCCAGGATAAAAACCTGAAGGAAGTTATCTGAGAAACCAATTCATGAGATGTGCAATAATCTCACAGAGTGAAACCTTTCTTTTCATTCAGCAGTTTGGAAACACTGTTTCCATCCATTCTGTGAATGGACGTTTGGGAGCTCATTGATGCCAATGTTGACAAAGCGAATATCCCAGGATTAAAACTAGAAGGAAGTTATCTGAGAAACTGCTTTGTGAATTGTGCATTCATCTAGCAGAGTTAAACCTTTCTTATCACTCAGTAGTTTGGAAACACTGTTTTTTTAGAAACTGTGAAAACATATTTGGCTATGCATTGATACTTATTGTGAGAAAGGAATTATCTTCAGAGAAAAAATAGAAGGAAGCTTTCTGAGAAACTGCTTTGTGTGTGTTCATTCACCTCACAGAGTTAAACCTTCCTTTGGATTCAGCAGTTTGGAAACACAGTTTTTGTCCATTTTGAGAGTGGAAATTTGGGGGTTCATTGAGGCCAATAGTGAAAAAGCCAATATCCCAGGATAAAAAGTAGAAGGAAGTTATCTGAGAAATTGATTTTTGATGTGTACATTCAACTCATGGAGTTAAATTTTTCTTTTCATTCAGCAGTGTGGTAGCATTGTTTTCTTAGAGCCTGTGGATTGATATTTGGTAAAGCATTGAGGCCTACAGTGAAAAAGGAAATATCATCAGAAAAAACTTGAAAGAAGCTTAATGAGAAACTGGTTTGGGTTGTGTGCATTCATCTTCCAGGGTTAAACCTTTCTTTGGATTCAGCAGTTTGGTAACACTGTTTTTGTCCATTCGGTGAATGGACGTTTTGATGCTCATTGAGCCCAATGGTGAAAAAGTGAATATCCCAGGATTAAAACTAGAAGGATGTTATCTGAGAAACTTCTGTTTGATATGTACATTCATCTAGCAGAGTTAAACCTTTCTTTTCATCCAGCAGTTTGGAAAGACTGTTTTTGTAAGAACTCTGAGAGAATATTTGGCAGCACATTGATGCCTATGGTGAAAAATGAAATATCTTCAGATAAAACTAGAAAGAAGCTTTCTGAAAAAGTGCTTTGTGATGTGTCCATTCTCTCATAGATTTAAACCTTTCCTTTGATTCAGCAGTTTGGAAACACTGTTTTTCTCCATTCTGCAACTGGACATTTGGGAGCTTGTTGAGGCCAATGGTGTAAAAGCAAATATCCCGGGATAAAAACGAGAAGGATGTTATCTGAGAAACCGATTCATAATGTGTGCATTCATCTCACAGAGTTAAATATTTCTTTTCATTCAGCAGTTTGGAAACACTGTTTTCCTAGAATCTTCAAAGAGATATTTGGTAGCACATGGAGGTCTATACTGAAAAACGAAATGTCTTCAAATAAAAACTAGAAAGAAGCTGAATGAGAAATTTGTTTGGGAGGTGTGCATTCAACTCAGAGAGATCAACCTTTCTTTGGATTCAGCAGTTTGGTAACACTGTTTTTGTCCATTATGTGAATGGACATCTGGGAGCTCATTGAGGCCATTGGTGTAAAACAGAATATCCCAAGTTGAAAACTAGAAGGAAGTTATCTGAGAAACCGATTCATGATGTGTGCATTCATCTCAGAGTGAAATCTTTTTTTTCATTCAGCTGTTTAGAAACACTGTTATCTTAGAATCTGCAGAGTGATATTTGGAAGAGTATGGAGCCCAATGATTAAAAAGGAAATATCTCCAGATAAAAACTAGAAAGAAGCTTAATGAGAAACAGTTTTGGGATGTGTGCCTTCATCTCAGAGAGTTAAATCTTTTCATTCTGCAGTTTGGAGCTACTGATTTCTTAGAATCTGTGAAGAGATATTTGGTAACACATTGAGGCCCATGGCAAAAAAGGAAATATCTTCAGATAGAAAGTAGAAATAAGCTTAATGAGAAACTGGTTTCAGTTGTGTGCATTCATCTCACAGAGTTAAATCTTTATTTGGTTTCAGCAGTGTGATAACACTGTTTATGTCCATTCTGTGAATGGACGTTTTGGAGCTCTTTTAGGCCAATGGCAAAAAAGTGAATATCCCGGGATTAAAACTAGAAGGGAGCTATCTGATAAACTGCTTTGTGAGGTGTGCATTCATCTAGCAGAGTTAAACCTTTCCTTTCAGTCAGCACTTTGGAAACACTGTTTTTGTAGAAACTGAGAAAGGATATTTGGCAGCACATTGAGGCCCAAGGTGAGAAAAGAAATATCTTCAGATAAAAAGTAGCAAGAAGCTTTCTGAGAAATGGCTTTGTGATGTGCTCATTCCTCTAACAGAGTTAAGCATTTCTTTGGATTCAACAGTTTGATAACACAGTTTTTGTTCATTCTTTGAAAGGAAGTTTGGTAGCTCTTTGTGGCCAATGGCAAAAAAGGGAATATCCCAGGATTAAAACTAGAAGGAAGCTATCAGAGAAACCGTTTTGTGGTGTTTGCATTCATCTAGTAGAGTTAAAACTTTCTTTTCATTCAGCAGTTTGGAAACACTGTTTTTGTAGAAACTGCTAAAGGATATTTGGCAGTGCATTATGCTTATGCTGAAAAAGGAAATATCTTCTTCTAAAAAATAGGAAAAACCTTTCTGAAAAACTACTCTGTGATGTGTTCATTCATCTCACAGATTTAAACCTTTCTTTCGATTCAGCTGTTTGGAAACACTGTTTTTGTCCATTCTGCGAATGGACGTTTGGGAGCTCATTGAGGCCAGTGGTGATAAAATGAATATCCCAGGATAAAAACTGGAAGGAATTTATCAGAGAAAGCAATTTGTGATGTGGGAATTCATCTCACAGAGTTAAACCTTTCTTTTCATTCAGCAGTTTGGAAACACTGATATCTTAGAATCTGCAAAGAGATATTTGGTAGCACCTTGAGGTCTACGGAGAAAAAGGTAACAACTTCAGATAAAAACTAGAAGGAAGCATCGATGAGAAACTGTTTTGGTATGTGTGCATTCATCACACAGAGTTAAACCTTTCTTTGGATTCAGCAGTTTCAAAACACTGTTTTTATCAATTCTGCGAATGGACATTTGGGACCTCATTGAGGCCAATGGTGAAAAAGTGAATATCCCAGGATAAAAACTACAAGAAGTTATGTGAGAAACGGATTTATGATGTGTGCATTCATCTCACAGAGACAAAACTGTTTTTATCTTTCAGCAGTTTGGAAACACTCTTATCTTAGAATCTGCAGAGAGATATTTGGAAGAGTATGGAGGCCTATGGTGAAAAAGGAAATATCTTCAGATAAAAACGAGAAAGAAGCTTTCTGAGAAACTGCTTTGTGATGTCTTCATTCACCTCACAGAGTTAAGTGTTTCTTTGGATTCAGAAGTTTGGAAACACTGTTTGTGTCCATTTTGCGAATGGATACTTGGTAGCTCATTGAGGCCAATGATGAAAGAGTGAATATCCCTGGATAAAAACTAGAAGGAAGTTATCAGAGAAACCGATTTGTGATGTTTGCATTAATCTCACAGAGTTAAACCTTTCTTTTCATTCAGCAGTTTGGAAACACTGTTTTCTTAGAATCTGCGAAGAAATATTTGGTAGTGCATTGAGGCTTATGGTGACTAAGAAATATGTTCAGATAAAAACTACAAAGAATCTTTCTGAGAAACTTCTTTGTGATGTATTCTTTCATCTTACAGGCTTAAACCTTTGTCTGAAGAGAGTTAAAACTTTCTTTGGATTCAGTATTTTGGAAACACTGTTTTTCTCCACTCTGTGTATGGACATTTGGGAGCTCATTGAGGCCAATGGCAAAAAAAAAGAATATACCAGGATAAAAACTGGAAAGAAGGTATCAGAGAAACCATTTTGTGATGTGTGCATTCATCTCACAGTGTTAAATATTTCTTTTCATTCAGGAGTTTGGAAACACTAGTTTCTGAGAATCTGCAAAGAGATATTTGGAAGAGTAATGAGGCCAATGGTGAAAAAGGAAATATCTTCAATTAAAAACTGGAAAGAAGTTTAATGAGAAACTGGTTTGGGATGTGTGTATTCATCTCAGAGAGTTAAACTTTTCCTTGGAATGAGCAGTTTGATAACACAGTTTTTGTCCATTCTGTGAATGGACCTTGGGAGCTCATTGACACCAAGGGCAAATAAGTGAATATCTCAGGATTAAAACTGGAAGGAAATGACCTGAGAAACTGCTTTGTGAAGTGTGCACTCATCTTGCAGAGATAAACTTTTCGTTTCATTCAGGAGTTTGGAAACACTGTATTTTAGAAAGTGTGAAAGGATATTTGGCAGAGCGTTGAGGCCCATGGTGAAAAAGGAATTATCTTAAGAAAAAACTAGAAAGAACATTTCTGAGAAACTGCTTTCTGATGTGTGCATTCATTTCAAGAGTGAAATGTTTCTTTGGATTCAGCATTTTGGAAACACTCTTTTTGTAGAATCTGTAAAAGGATATTTGGGAGTTCTTTGAGGTCAATGGTGGAAAAGTGAGTATCCCAGGATAAAAACTAGAAGGAAGGTATTTGAGATAGTGCTTTGTGATGTGTGCATTTATCTCACCCAATTAAACCTTTCTTTTCATTCAGCAGTTTGGAACTGCTGGAACTCCAGGATCAAAACTAGATGGAATCTATTTTTTTTATTATACTTTAAGTTTTAGGGTACATGTGCACATTGTGCAGGTTAGTTACATATGTATACATGTGTCATGCTGGTGCGCTGCACCCACTAACTCGTCATCTAGCATTAGGTATATCTCCCGATGCTATCCCTCCCCCCTCCCCCCACCCCCCCAACAGTCCCCAGAGTGTGATATTTCCCTTCTTGTGTCCATGTGATCTCATTGTTCAATTCCCACCTATGAGTGAGAATATGCGGGGTTTGGTTTTTTGTTCTTGTGATAGTTTACTGAGAATGATGATTTCCAATTTCATCCATGTCCCTACAAAGGACATGAACTCATCATTTTTTATGGCTGCATAGTATTCCATGGTGTATATGTGCCACATTTTCTTAATCCAGTCTATCATTGTTGGACATTTGGGTTGGTTCCAAGTCTTTGCTATTGTGAATAATGCCGCAATAAACATATGTGTGCATGTGTCTTTATAGCAGCATGATTTATAGTCCTTTGGGTATATATCCAGTAATGGGATGGCTGGGTCAAATGGTATTTCCAGTTCTAGATCCCTGAGGAATCGCCACACTGACTTCCAGAATGGTTGAACTAGTTTACAGTCCCACCAACAGTGTAAAAGTGTTCCTATTTCTCCACGGAATCTATTTGAGCAACTGATATCGATGTGGGCATTCTTCTCGCTGAGTTAAAACCTTCTTTTCATTCAACAGTCTGGAAACAGTGCTTTGGCAGAATCTGCTAAGGGATATTTAGGAGGGCATTGAGACCTATGGCAAAAAGTGAAATACCTTCTGATAAAAACTAGAAAGAAACTTTCCAAGAAACTGCATTGTGATCTGTGCATTCATATCACAGAGTTAAAGCTTTCTGTGGATTCAGCAGTTTGAAACACTATTGTAGAATTTGCAAATGGATATTTGGGAGCTTATTGAGTCCAATGGTGAAAAAGGGTATATCCCAGTATAAAAACTTGAAAGAAGCTATCTGAATAACTGCTTTGTGATGTGTGCATTCACCTTGTAAAGTTAAAATGTTCTATTCATGCAGCAGTCTGGAAACACTGTCTTGGCAGAATCTGCAAAGGGATATTTTGAGCACATTGAGGCTTATGGTGAAAAAGGAAATATCTTCAGATAAAAACCATGAAGATGCTTTCTGAGAAACTGCTTTATGATGTGTGCATTCATTTCACAGAGTTAAACCTTTCTTTGGAATCAGCTATTTGGAAACGCTGTTGATGTAGAATCTTTGAAGGGATATTTCAGAGCTCTTTGAGACCAATTGTGAAAAAGTGAATATTCTATGATAAAAATTAGAAGAAAGCTATTTGAGAAACTGCTTTGTGATGTGTGCCTTCATCTTGCAGAGTTAAATCTTTCTTTTCATTCAGCAATTTGGAAACAGTGTTTTCATAGAATCTGTGAAGGGATATCTGGGAGTGCATGGAGACCTACGGAGAAGAAGGAGACTGGGTGCCGTGGCTCATGCCTGTAATCCCAGCACTTTGGGAGGCTGAGGCAGCAGATCTCAAGGTCAGGAGATCGAGACCATCCTGGCTAACATGGTGAAACCCCGTCTCTACTAAAAATAGAAAAAATTAGCCAAGCATGGTTGTGGGAACATGCAGTCCCAGCTACACGGGAGGCTGAGGCAGGAGAATGGCATGAACTGGGGAAGTGGAGATTGCACTGAGTCAAGATCACCCCCTGTACTCCAGGCTGGGTGACAGAGCAAGACTCCATCTCAAAAAAAAAGAAAAAAGAAAAAGGAAATAATCTTCAGATAAACACTAGAAAGAAACTTTCTGAGAAACTGCTTTGTGATCTGTGCATTCATATCACAGAGTTAAAACTCTCTGTGGATTCAGCAGTGTTCAGACACTGTAGTAGAATATGCAAATGGATATTTGGGAGCTCATTGAGGCCAATTGCAAAAAAGGGGATATCCCAGGATAAAAACTAGAAAGAATCTATTGGAGAAACTGGTTTGTGATGTGTGCATTCACCTCGCAGACTTAAAATATTCTTTTCTAACAGCAGTCTGGACACACTGTGTTGGCAGAATCTGTGAAGGGATATTTGGGCATGCATAGGGGCTTATGTTGAAAAAGGAAATTTCCTCAGATAAAAACAAGAAAGAAGCTTTCTGAGAAACTGCTTTGTGATGTGTGCATTCATCTCACAGAGTTAAATATTTCTTTGGATTCAGTAATTTGGAAACACTGTTGTTGTAGAATCTGTTAAGGGATATTTCAGAGCTCATTGAAGCCAATGGTGAAAAAGTGAATGTCCCAATATAAAGACCAGAATGAAGCCATTTGAGAAACTGTTTTGTGATGTGTGCAATATTCTCGCATACTTAAACCTTTCTTTTCATTCAGCAGGTTGGATACACTGTTTTCGTAGAATCTGCAAAGAGCTATCTGGGAGTGCATTCAGACCTATTGTGAAAAACGAGGCCAGGCACAGTGGCTCACACCTGTAATCCCAGCACTTTGGGAGGCTGAGTGGAAGGATCACAAAGTCAGGAGATCAAGACCATCCTGACTAACTCAGTGAAACCCCATCTGTACTAAAAATAGTAAAAAATAGCCGAGCTTGCTCACGGGTGCCTGCAGTCCCAGCTACACAGAAGTCTGAGGCAGGAGAATGCCCTGTACCAGTGAAGTAGAGCTTGCAGTGAGCCGAGATTACCCCACTGCACTCCAGCCTGGGTGACAGAGCAAGACTCCATCTCAAAAAAAAAGAAGAAAGAAATATCTTCAGATAAACACTAGAAAGAAGCTTTCAGAGAAACTACTTTGTGATCTTTGCTTTCATGTCACAGAGTTACAACTTTCTGCGGAGTCAGCAATTTGAAAACACTGTTTTTTTCCATTCTGCAAATGAACATTTTGGAGCTCATCAGGGTCAATGGCAAAAAAGAGAATATCCAGGATAAAAACTAGAAGGAAGCTATCTGAGAAACCGCTTCATGATGTGTGCATTCATCTCACAAAGTTAAAACATTTTTTTTTTTTCTGACAGCAGTCAGGAAACACTGTTTTGGCAGAACCCATGAAGGGATGTTTGGGAGCACATTGAGGCCCATGGTGAAAAACAAAATATCTTCAGATAAAAACTACAAAGAAGCATTCTGAGAAACAGCTTTGTGACGTGTGCATTCATCTCACAGAGTTTAACCTGTTTTTGGATTCAGCATTTTGAAAACACAGTTGTTGTAGAATCTGCGAATGGACATTTGGGAGCTATTTGAGGTCAATGGTGAAAAGGCGAATATCCCAGGTTAAAAACTAGAAGGAATCTATGTGAGAAACTGCTTTGTGATGTGTGAATTAATCTCACATAATTAAACCTTTCTTTGATACAGCACTCTGGAAACACTGTTTTCGTAGAATTTGTGAAGGGATATCAGGGAATGCATTGAAGCCTGTGGTGAAAAAGGAAATGTCTTCAGATAAAAACTAGAAAGAAATTTCTCAAAAACTCCTTACTGATGTGTGCATTCATTTCACAGAGTGACTTTTTTTTTATTCAGCAGTTTGGAATCACTGTTGTTGTAGAATCTGAGAAAGGGTATTTGGGAGCTCTTTGAGGTCAATGGTGAAAAAACCAATATCCCAATATGAAAACTAGAATGAAGGTATTTGAGAAACTGCTTTGTGATGTGTGCATTCACCTTGCAAAATTAAACCTTTATTTTCATTCAGCAGTTTGTGAACAGTGTTTTCCTAGAAGCTGCAAAATGATATATGGGAGTAATTTGAGGCCTATGGTAAAAAACAAAATATCTTCAGAAAAAAAGTAGAAAGATTTCTGATAAACTGCTTTGTGATAAGTGCATTCACCTCACAGAGTTAAATGATTCTGTGAATTCAGCAGTTTGAAAACACTGTTGTAGAATCTGTGAAGGAATATTTGGGAGCTCTTTGGAACCAATGGCCAAAAAGCCAGTATCCAAGAATAAAAACTGGAAGGAAGCCATCTGAGAAACACCTTTGTGATGTGTGCATTCACCTCACAGAGTAAAACTTACTTTTCATTCAGCAATCTGGAACCACTGTTCTGGAAGAATCCCTGAAGGGATATTTGGGAGCACAATGAGGCCTATGGTGAAAAAGGAAACACCTTCAGATAAAAACTAGAAAGAAGCTTTCTGTGAAACTGCTTTGTGATGTGTGCATTGAAATCACAGAGTTAAACATTTCTGTGTATTCAGCAGTTTGCAATTGATGTTTCTGTACTTTTTGCAAATGGACATTTGGGAGCTCATTGAAGTCAATGGCAAAAAAAAATCCCAGGATAAAAACTAGAAGGAAGCTATTTGAGAAACAGCTTTATGATGTGTTCATTTATCTCACGGGGTTAACCCTTTCTGTGGAATCAGCAGTTTGGAAACACTGTGTTTGTCCATACTGCAAATGGACAATTGGGATCTCATTGAAGCCAAAGGCAAAAAAGGAAATATCCCAGGATAAAAACTAGAAAGAAGCTATCTGAGAAACTGCTTTGTGATGTGTGCATTCAGCTTGCAGAGTTAACACTTTCTTTTCATACAGCTGTCTGGAAACACTGTTTTGGCAGAATCCATGAAGGGATATTTGGGAGCACATTGAGACCTATGGTGAAAAAGGAAATATCTTCATATAAAAACTAGAAAGAATTTTCTGAGAAACAGCTTTGTGATGTGCGCATTCATCTCACAGAGTTAAACCTTTCTTTTGATTCAGCAGTTTGGAAACACTGTTATTGTTGAATCTGTGAAGGGATATTTGAGAGCTCATTTAGACCAATGTTGAAAAAGTCAATATTCCAGGATAAAAACTAGAAGCAAGCCATCTGAGAAACAGCTTTTTGTTGTATGCATTCACCTCACCAAAGTAAAAGTTACTTTTCTTTCAACAATCTGGAAACACAGTTCTGGGAGAATCCCCGAAGGGTTATTTGGAAGCGCATTGAGGCCTATGTTGAAAAAGGAAGTATCTTCAGATAAAAACTATAAAGAAACTTTCTGAGAAACGGCTTTGTGATATGTGCATCCATCTCAAAGAGTTAAGCCTTTCTTTGGATTCAGCATTTTGGAAATGCTGTTGTTGTAGAATCTGTGAAGGGATATGCGGGAGTTCATTGAAGCCAATGGCGAAGAAGTGAATATCCAAGGATAAAAACTAGAAGAAAGCTTTTGAGAAACTGGTTTGCGATGTGTGCATTCATCTCATAGAGTTAAACCTTTCTTTTCATTGAGCACCTTGGAAACACTGTTTTTGTGGAATCTGTGAAGTGATATTTGGGAGTGGTTTGAGGCCTATGGTGAAAAAGGAAGTACCTTCAGAAAAAAATTAGAAAGAAGCTTTCTGAGAAACTGCTTTGTGAGGCATGCACTCACCTCACAGAGATAAACCATTCTGCAGATTCAGCAGTTTGAAAACACTGTTGTTGTAGAATCTGTGAAGGAATATTTGGGAGCCCTTTGAGGCCAATGGCAAAAAAGCCAGCATCCCAGGATAAAAACTAGAAGGAAGCTAACTGAGAAACAGCTACATGATGTGTGCATTCACCTCACAGAAGTAAAACTTACTTTTCCTTCAGAAATCTGGAAACACTGTTCTGGCAGAATCCCTGAAGTGATATTCAGGAGTGCATTGAGGCCTATGGTGAAAAAGGAAATATCTTCCAATAAAAACTAGAAATAAGCCTTCTGAGAAACTACTTTGTGATGTGTGCATTCATCGCAAAGAGATAAACGTTTCATTGGTTTCAGCAG
The DNA here is from genome assembly GCF_000001405.40 of Homo sapiens. NCBI lineage: Eukaryota > Metazoa > Chordata > Mammalia > Primates > Hominidae > Homo > Homo sapiens. Next base: position 62,734,369 of record NC_000007.14, read on the forward strand.
TTGGAAAAACACTGTTGTTGTAGAATCTACATAGGGACGTTTGGGAGCTCATTGAGGCTAATGGCAAAAAAGCGAATATCCCAGGATAAAAACCAGAAGGAAGCTATTTGAGAAAGCATCTTGTGATGGGTGCATTCAACTTGCAGAGATAAACATTTCTTTTTATTCAGCAGATTGGAAACACTCTTTTGGCAGAAACCCCAAAGTGAATATCTTGGAGGACATTGAGGCCTATGGTGAAAAAGGAAATACCTTCAGATGAAGACAAGAAAGAAGCATTCTGAGGAACTGCTTTGTGATGTGTGCATTCATCTCACAGAGTTAAACATTTGTTTTGATTCAGCAGTTTGGAAAATACTCTTTTTGTGGAATCTACAAAGGAATATTTGATAGCTCATTGATACCATAGGTGAAAAGCGAATATCACAGAAAAAAAAAACTAGAAAGAAGCCATCTGAGAAACTGCTTTGTGATGTGTGCAGTCATCTCACAGAGGTAAACCTTTCTTTTCATTTAGCACTTTGGAAACACTGTTTTTGTGAATCTGCGAAGAGATATTTAGGATCGCATTGAGGCCTATGGTGAAAAAGGAAATATCTTCAGATAAGAAAGAAGCTTTCTGAGAAACTCCTTTTTGATGTGTGCATTCATCTTACAGTGTTAAACCTCTTTGCATTCAGCAGTTTGGAGATACTGTTTTTGTAGAATCTGCTAAGGGATATTTCATAGCTCAATGAGGCCATAAGGGAAAAAGTGAATATCCCAGTATACAAACTAGAAGGAAGCTATCTGAGAAACCACTCTGTGATGTGTGCATTCATCTCGTAGAGTTAAACGTTTCTTTTTCTTCAGCAGTTTGGAAACACGATTTTTATAGAATCTGAGAAGGGATATTTGGGAACGTATTGAGGCCTATGGTGAAAAAGGAAATATCTTCAGATAAAAACTAGAAAGAAGCTTTCTGAAAAACAGCTTTGTGTTGTGCACATTCATAACACAGAGGTAAACGATTCTTTGGATTCAGCAGTTTGGAAAGACTGTTTTTGTCCTTTCTGCAAATGGACATTTCAGAGCTCATTGAGGCCACTGAGAAAAACATATATCCCAGGATAAAAACTAGAAGGAAGCTCTCTGAGAAACTGGTTTGTGATTTGTGCATTCTTCTCACAGAGTTAAAGCTATCTTTTCATTCAGCAGTTTGGAAACACGTTTTTGTAGAATTTAATAAGGTATATTGGGAGCTCATTGAGGCCAACACGGAAAAAGCATATATCCCAGGATAAAAACTAGAAGAAAGTTCCTAGAAACCCATTTGTGATGTGTGCATTCACCGTGCACAGTTACACCTTTCCTTTCATTCATCAGCTTGGAAACACTGTTTTGTTAGAGTCTGTGAAGAGATATTTGGGAGCACATTGAGTCCTATGGTGAAAAAGGAAATATTGTCAGATAAAAACAATAAATAAGCTTTCTCAGAATCTGCTTTGTGACGTGTGAATTCTTCTCACAGAGTTAAACCTTTCTTTATATTTAGCAGTTTGGAAACACTGTTTTTGTCCACTTTGCTAATGGACATTTGTGAGCTCATTAAGGCCAATGGTGAAAAAGCCAATATTCCAGGATAAAAAACAGAAGGAAGCTATTGGAGAAACTGCTTTGTGATGTGTGCGTTCATCTTGCAGAGTTAAATATTTCTTTACTTTTTTGATTTATTTATTCGGTTTATTTCATTCATTTATTCATTCATATATTCATTTAATCAACAAATGTATATTGAGCACTTACTATGTGCCAGGCTCTCTGTAAGTGTTGGGTTGCTGCTGGGTCTCACTTCTACCACAAAGTTGGAAAACACAAAAACTCTGGTAGAGAAGTATTCTACCTCAGCCTGTCTCTGTAATAGTAGACATAACAGAAGCTAAATTTAAAAAGAGAACTCTAGAGATATTCTCTACCTACTATTCTCATGCTCTGAAGCCCAGGAAGAACAAGGGACAACATCTAAAAATTTTCTATGTCCCTGAGAAAAAGGTGTGATAGTGGCTGATTGTAGGAGATGGCCCCTGGAGTAGCATCATAATAAGGATGAATGGAGAGGCTATTGTAAACAGTATGAATTTAGTTAGCAGAGTACGAAAGGGGAAGAGGACATTTTAGTGTACTGCAGTAAGTGTCAGTTCCAGTCACCAAAGATGTTAATGGTGACTATATTTTTCAACAGAAGTCAGCATGCATGGATGCAATAAACCATGGACACATTAACCTCTTCCCTGAAGCCAGAATGACAAGGCTCTACCCCTGTGGAATTTAGATCAAAGGTCTGAGGAGAAGAAAATAAGTGAAAAGGAAGGACCTTGAAGTCACTAAGTAGAAACGTAGAATTGAGCAAACTTAAATCATAAAGTGAATGATTGCTCTGAAAGTGACAGTGTTTTTTTTTTATTATACTTTAAGTTCTAGGGTACATGTGCACAATATGCAGGTTTGTTACATATGTATACATGAGTCATGATGGTGTGCTGCACCTATTAACTCGTCATTTTCATTAGGCATATCTCCTAATGCTATCCCTCCACCCTCCCCCCACCCCATGACAGGCCTGCATTGTGATGTTCCCCTTCCTGTGCCCAAGTGTTCTCATTGTTCAATTCCCACCTATGAGTGAGAACATGCGGTGTTGGGTTTTTTGTCCTTGTGATAGCTTGCTGAGAATGATGGTTTCCAGCTTCATCCATGTCCCTACAAAGGACATGAACTCATCATTTTTTATGGCTGCATAGTATTCCATGGTGTATATGTGCCACATTTTCTTAATCCAGTCTATCATTGTTGGACATTTGGGCTGGTTCCAAGTCTTTGCTATTGTGAATAGTGCCACAATAAACATACGTGTGCATGTGTCTTTATAGCAGCATGATTTACAATCCTTTGGGTATATACCCACTAATGGAATGGCTGGCTCAAATGGTATTTCTAGTTCTAGATCCTTGAGGAATTGCCACACTGTCTTCCACAATGGTTGAACTAGTATACAGTCCCATCAACAGTGTAAAAGTGTTCCTATTTCTCCACATCTTCTCCAGCACCTGTTGTTTCCTGACTTTTTAATGATCGCCATTCTAACTGGTGTGAGATGGTATCTCATTGTGGTTTTGATTTGCATTTCTCTGATGGCCAGTGATGATGAGCATTTTTTCATGTGTCTTTTGGCTGCATAAATGTCTTTTTTTGAGAAGTGTCTTCACCCACTTGTTGATGGGGTTGTTTGGGTTTTTCTTGTAAATTTGTTTGAGTTCTTTGTAGATTCTGGATATTAGCCTTTTGTCAGATGAGTAGATTGCAAAAATTTTCTCCCATTCTGTAGGTTGCCTGTTCACTCTGACCGTAGTTTCTTTTCCTGTGCAGAAGCTCTTGAGTTTAATTAGATCCCATTTGTTAATTTTGGCTTTTGTTGTCATTGCTTTTGGTGTTTTAGACATAAAGTCTTTGCCCATGCCTATGTCCTGAATGGTATTGCCTAGGTTTTCTTCTAGGGTTATGGTTTTAGGTCTAACATGTAAGTCTTTAATCCACCTTGAATTAGCTTTTGTATAAGGCGTAAGGAAAGGATACAGGTTCAGCTTTCTACCTATGGCTAGACAGTTTTCCCAGGACCATTTATTAAATAGGGAATCCTTTCTCCATTGCTTGTTTTTGTCAGGTTTGTCAAAGATCAGATGGTTGTAGATGTGTGGTACTATTTCTGAGGGCTCTGTTCTGTTTCATTGGTCTACATCTCTGTTTTGGTACCAGTACAATGCTGTCTTTGTTACTATAGGCTTGTAGTATAGTTTGAAGTCAGGTAGTGTGATGCCTCCAGCTTTGTTCTTTTGGCTTCAGATTGTCTTGGCAATGCAGGCTGTTTTTTGGTTCCACATGAACTTTAAAGTAGTTTTTTCCAATTCTGTGAAGAAAGTCATTGGTAGCTTGGTGGTGATGGCATTGAATGTATAAATTACCTTGGGCAGTATGGCCATTTTCACGATATTGATTCTTCCTACCCATGAGCATGGAATTTTCTTCCATTTGTTTGTGTCCTCTTTTATTTCGTTGAGCAGTGGTTTGTAGTTCTCCTTGACGAGGTCTTTCACATCCCTTGTAGGTTAGATTCGTAGGTATTTTATTCGCTTTGAAGCAGTTGTGAATGGTAGTTCACTCATGATTTGGCTCTCTGTTTGTCTGTTATTGGTGTATAAGAATGCTTGTGATTTTTGCACATTGATTTTGTATCCTGAGACTTTGCTGAATTTGCTTATCAGCTTAAGAATATTTTGGGCTGAGATGATGGGGTTTTCTAAATATACTATCATGTCATCTGCAGAGGCAATTTGACTTCCTCTTTTGTTAATTGAATACACTTTATTTCTTTCTCCTGTCTGATTGCCCTAGCCAGAACTTCCAACACTATGTTGAATAGGAGTGGTGAGAGAGGGCATCCCTGTCTTGTGCCAGTTTTCAAAGGGAATGATTCCAGTTTCTGCCAATTCAATGTGATATTGGCTGTGGGTTGGTCATGAATAGCTCTTATTATTTTGATATACCTCCCAACAATACATAATTTATTGAGAGTTTTTAGCATGAAGTGTTGCTGAATTTTGTCAAAGGCCTTTTCTGCATCTATTGAGATAATTATGGGATTTTTGTCTTTGGTTCTGTTTATATGCTGGATTAGGTTTCTTGATTTTCATATGCTGAACCAGCCTTGCATCGCAGGGATGAAGTCCACTTGTTCATGTTGGATAAGCTTTTTGATGTTCTGCTGGATTCGGTTTGCCAGTATTATATTGAGGATTTTTGCATCCACATTCATCAGGGATATTGGTCTAAAATTCTCTTTTTTGTTGTGTCTCTGTCAGGCTTTTGTATCATGATGATGCTGGCCACATAAAATGAGTTAGGGAGGATTCACTCTTTTTCTATTGATTGGAATAGTTTCAGAAGGAATGGTACCAACTCCTCCTCTTACCTCTGGTAGAATTTGGCCTTGAATCCATCTGGTCCTAGATTTTTTTTGGTTGGTAGGCTATTAATTATTGCCTGAATTTCAGAGCCTGTTATTGGTCTATTCAGGGATTCAACTTCTTCCTGGTTTATTCTTGGGAAGGTGTGTGTGTCCTGGAATTTATCCATTTCTTCTAGATTTTCTAGTTTATTCGTGCAGAGGTGTTTATACTACCCTCTGATGGTCGTTTGTATTTCTGTGGGATTGGCGGTGATATCCCCTTTATCATTTTTTATTGCATCTATTTATTCTTCCATCTTTCTTCTTTATTAGTCTTACTAGAAGTCTATCAATTTTGTTGATCTTTTCAAAAAACCAGGTCCTGGATTCAATGATTTTTTGAAGGGTTTTTTTCTGTCTCTGCCTCCTTCAGTTCTGCTCTGATCTTAATTATTTCTTGCCTTCTGCTAGTTTTTGAATGTGTTTGCTCCTGCTTCTCTAGTTCTTTTAATTGCAATGTTATAGTGTCAATTTTATAAGTTTCCTGCTTTCTCTTGTGGGCATTTTGTGCTATCAATTTCCCTCTACACACTTCTTTAAATGTGTCCCAGAGATTCTGATATGTTGTGTCTTTGTTCTCGTTGGTTTCAAAGAACATTTTTATTTTTGCCTTCATTTCATTATGTACCCAGTAGTCATTCAGGAGCAGGTTGTTCAGTTTCCATGTAGTTGAGCGGTTTAGAGTGAGTTTCTTAATCCTGAGTTCTAGTTTGATTGTGCTGTGGTCTGAGAGACAGTTTGTTATAATTCCTGTTCTTTTACATTTGCTGAGGAGTGCTTTACTTCCAACTATGTGGCCAATTTTGGAATAAGGGCGATGTGGTGCTGAGAAGAATGTATATTCTGTTGATTTGGGGTGAAGAGTTCTGTAGATGTCTATTAGGTCCACTTGATGCAGAACTGAGTTCAATTCCTAGATATCCTTATCAACTTTCTGTCTCGCTGATCTGTCTAATGTTGTTAGTGGGGTGTTAAAGTCTCCCATTATTATTGTGTGGGAGTCTAAGCTTCTTTGTAGTTCTCTAAGGACTTGCTTTATGAATCTGGGTGCTCCTGTATTGGGTGCATATATATTTAGGATAGTTAGCTCTTCTTGTTGAATTGATCCCTTTACCATTATGTAATGGTCTTCTTTGTCTCTTTTGATCTTTGTGGGTTTAACGTCTGTTTTATCAGAGACTAGGATTGCAACCCTTGCGTTTTTTGTTTCCATTTGCTTAGTAGGTCTTCCTCCATCCCTTTATTTTGAGCCTGTGTGTGTCTCTGCACATGAAATCGGTTTCCTGAATACAGCAGACTGATGGAACTTGATTCTTTATCCAATTTGCCAGTCTGTGTCTTTTAATTGGAGCATTTTGCCCATTTACATTTAATGATAATATTGTTACATGTAAATTTGATCCTGTCCTTATGATGTTATCTGATTATTTTGCTCGTTAGTTGATGCAGTTTCTTCCTAGTACTGATGGTCTTTACAATTTGCCATGTTTTTGCAGTGGCTGGTACCGGTTGTTCCTTTCCATGTTTAGTGCTTCCTTCAGGTGCTCTTGTAGGGCAGGCCTGGTAGTGATGAAGTCTCTCAGCATTTGCTTGTCTGTAAAGGATTTTATTTCTCCTTCACTTATGAAGTTTAGTTTGGCTGGATATGAAATTCTGGTTTGAAAATTCTTTTCTTTAAGAATGTTGACTATTGGCCCCCAGTCTCTTCTGGCTTGTAGAGTTTCTGCCAAGAGATCAGCTCTTAGTCTGATGGGCTTCCCTTTGTGGGTAACACAACCTTTCTCTGTGGCTGACCTTAACACTTTTTCCTTCATTTCAACTTTGAGGAATCTGTCAATTATGTGTCTTGTGGTTGCTCTTCTCGAGGAGTATCTTTGTGGCATTCTCCTTATTTCCTGAATTTGAATGTTGTCCTGCCTTGCTAGGTTGGGGAAATTCTCCTGGATAATATCCTGCAGAGTGTTTTCCAACTTGGTTCCATTCTCTCTGTCACTTTCAGGTACACCAATCAGATGTAGATTTGGTTTTTTCACATAGTCCCATATGTCTTCGAGACTTTGTTCATTTCTTTTCACTCTTTTTTTCTCTAAGGTAATCTTCCTGCTTCATTTCATTCACTTTATCTTCAATCACTGATACCCTTTCTTCCAGTTGATGAAATTGGTTACTGAAGCTTGTGGATTCATCAAGTAGTTCTCGTGCAGTGGTTTTCAGCTCCATCAGGTCGTTTATGGGCTTCTTTACAAGGGTTATTCTGGATAGCCATTCTTCTAATGTTTTTTCAAGGTTTTTAGCTTCTTTGCAATGGGTTCGAACTTCCTCCTTTAGCTCAGAGAAGTGTGATCATCTGAAGCCTTCTTCCAACTCACCAAAGTCATTCTCCATCCAGCTTTGTTCCATTGCTGGCAAGGAGCTGCATTCCTTTGGAGGGGGAGAGGTGCTCTGATTTTTAGAATTTTCAGCTTTTCTGCTCTGTTTTTTCCCCATCTTTGTGATTTTGCTACCTTTTGTCTTTGATGATATTGGTGTACAGATGAGGTGTTTGTGTGGGTGTCCTTTCTCTTTGTTAGTTTTCCTTCTAACAGTCGGGACTGTCAGCTGCAGGTCTGTTGAAGTTAGCTGGAGGTCCACTCCAGACCCTGTTAGCCTGGGTATCAGCAGCAGAGGCTGCAGAAAAGCGAATGTTGCTGAACAGTAAATGTTGCTGCCTGATTGTTCCTCTGGAGCTTTCATCTCAGAGGGGTACCCGGCTGTGTGAGGTGTCAGACTGCCCCTACTTGGTGGTGCCTCCTAGTTATGCTACTTGGGGGTCAGGGACCCATTTGAGGAGGCAGTCTGTCCATTCTCATATCTCAAACTCCATGCTGGGAGAACCTCTACTCTCTTCAAGGCTGCCATACTGGTACATTTAAGTCTGCAGAGGTTTCTGCTGCCTTTTGTTTGGCTATGCCCTGACCCCAGAGGTGGAGTCTACAGAGGCAGGCAGGCCTCCTTAAGCTGTGGTGGGCTCCACCCAGTTCAAGCTTCCTGGCGACTTTGTTTACCTACTCAAACCTCAGCAATGGCGGGCACCCCTCCCCCAGCCTCACTGCTGCCTTGCTGTTTGATCTCAGACTGCTGTGCTAGCAATGAGCGAGGCACCTTCGGCATGGGATCCTCTGAGCCAGGCGCGGGATATAATCTCATGGTGTGTCATTTGCTAAGACCGTTGGAAAAGCACAGAATTAGTGTGGAAGTGAACTGATTTTCCAGGTGCCCTCCATCACAGATTTGCTTGTCTGGGAAAGGGTATTCCCTGACCACTTACACTTCCCCAGTGAGGTGATGCCTTGCTCTGCCTTGGGTCATGATCAGTGGGCTGAACCCACTTTCATACCCCACTCTCCAACAAGCCCCAGTGAGATGAACAAGGTACCTCAGTTTGAGATGCAGAAATCACTGTCTTCTGTGTCGCTCATGCTCGGAGCTGTAGATTGGAGCTGTTCCTATATGGCCATCTTGGAACACCCTCTGAAAGTGAAAACTTTCTTTTCATTCAGCAGTTTGGAAACACTTTTTTTGTAGAATCTGCGAAGGGATATTTGGGAGTGCATTGATGCCTATGGTTAAAAAGAAAATATCTTCAGTTGAAAACTAGAAAGAAGCTTTCAGAGAAACTGCTTTGAGATGTGTGCATTCACCTCACAGAGTTAAACGTTTCTTTTGATTCAGAAGTTTGGCCACACTGTTTTTCTCCACATTGCCAATGGACATTTGGGAGCTTATTGAGGCCGATGGTGAAAAAGCAAATAGGCCTGGTTAAAAACTAGAAGGAATCTATCTGAGAAATTGCTTTGTGATGTGTGCATTCATCTCACAAAGTTAAACTGCTTTTCATTCAGCACTTTGGAAACACTGTTTTGGTAGCATCTGCGAAGGGATATTTGGGAGCTCATTGAGGCCTATGGTGAAAAATATCTTCAGATTAAAAATAAGAAAGAAGATTGCCGAGAAACTGCATTGTGATGTGTGCATTAATCTCACAGGGTTAAGCCTTTCTGTGGTTTCAGCAGTTTGGAAACTGTTTTTATCTGTTCTGCAAATGGACATTTCAGAGCTCATGGAGGACAATGGAGAAAAAGTGAAAATCCCATGATAAAAACTAGAAGGAAGCTATCTGAGAAACGGCTTTTCAATGTGTGATTTCATCTCACAGAGTTAAGCCTTCATTTTCATTCAGCAGTTTGGAAACACTGTTTTGCTAAAATCTGGGAAGTGATATTTGGGAGCTAATTGAGGCCTAAGGTGAAAAAGGAAATAGCTTCAGATAAAAATTAGAAAGAAGCTTTCTGAGAAACTGCTTTGTGATGTGTGCATTCATCTCACAGATTTACAACTTTCTTTGGATTAAGAAGTATGGAAACACTGTTTTTGTAGAATCCGCAAAGGGATATTTGGGAGCTCATTGAGGCCAAAGTTGAAAAAGTGACTATCCCAGGAAAACACTAGAAGGAAGCTATCCGAGAAACCATTTTGTGATGTGTGGTTTCGCCTCACAGAGTTAACCCTGTCTTTGGATTCAGCAGTTTAGAAACATTGTTTCTGTAATATGTGCTGTGGGATATTTGGGAGCTCATTGAAGCCAAAGGTGAAAAAGCGTATATCCCAGGATAAAAACTAGAAGGAAGCTATCTCAGAAACCACTTTCTGATATGAGTATTCGTCTTGCAGACTTAAAACTTTCTTTACATTCAGCAGTTTGGAAACACGGCTTTTGTAGGATCTGCAAAGGGAGATTTGGGAGCACATTGGGTCCTATGGTTAAAAAGGAAATATCATCAGATAAAAACTAGAAGGAAGCTTTCTCAGAAACTGCTTTGTGATTTGTGCATACATCTCACAGAGTTAAACCATTCCTTGCATTCAGAAGTTTAGAAACACTGTTTTTTTGAATCTGTAAAGAGATATTTGATAGCTCATTGAGGCCATAGGGGAAAAAGAAATATCCCAGGATAAAAACTAAAAGGAAGTTATCTGAGAAATTCTTTTGTAATGTGTGCCTTCATCTCACAGAGTTAAACTTTTCTTTCCTTTCAGCAACTGGTAAACACCACTTTGGTAGAATCTACAAGGGATATTTGGGAATGTATTGAAGCCTATGGTGAAAAAAGAAATATCTTCAGATAAAAACTAAAAGGAAGCCTTCTGAGAAACTGCATTGTGATGTGTGCATTCATCACACAGAGTTAAAATTGCTTTGGAAACGGCAGTTTAGAAACAGTGTTTTTGTCCATTCTGCAAATTGACATTTGTTAGCTCATTGACCCAATGACAAAAAAGAGAGTATCCCAGGATAAAAACTAGAAGGAAGCTATCTGAGAAACCACTTTGTGATGTGTGCATTAATCTCACAGAGTTAAATATTTCTTTTCATTCAGTAGTTTCAAAACACTTTTGGGGTAGAATGTGTGAAGGGATATTAGGGAGGGCATTGAGGCCTGTGGTGAAAAAGGAAATATCTTGAGATAAAAAACAAAAGAAGCTTTCCAAGAAACAGCTTTGTGATATGTGCACTCATCACACAGGGTTAAATCATTCTTTCCATTCAGCAGTTTGGAAACACTGTTTTAGGAGAATCTGCACAGGGATATTTTGGAGCTCACTGAGGCCAAAGTCAAGAAGTCAAATATTCAATGATAAAACTTAGAAGAAAGTTATCTGAGAATCCATTTGTGATGTGTGTATTCATCTCACACAGGTAAACTTTCTGTGCATTCAGAATTTTTGAAACACTTTTTTTTAAGAATCTGTGAAGAGGTATTTGGTGCAAATTGAGGCCTATGGTGAAAAAGGAAATATCTAAAGACAAAAACTAGAAAGAAGATTTCATAAAAAGTATTTTGTGATGTCTGCATTCATCTCAAAGAGTTGAACGTTTCTTTGGATTCAGCAGTTTGGAAACACTGTTTTTGTAGTATCTGTAAATTGATATTTGGGAACTCATTGCGGCCAAAGGCGAAAAAGCTAATATCCAAGGATAAAAATTTCAAGGAAGCTATGTGAGGCACGGCTTTGTGATGTGTGCATTCATCTTGCAGAGTTAAACATTTCCTTTCATTTAGCAGTTTGGAAACACTGTTTCGGTAGAATCTACAAAGGGATATTTGGGAGCGCATTGAAGACAATTGTGAAAAAGGAAATATCTTCAGATAAATATGAGAAAGAAGCTTTCTGAGAAACTGCTTTGTGATATGTGCATTCATCTCACAGAGTTAAACATTTCTTTTGATTCAGAAGTTTTGAAACACTGTTTTTGTCCATTCTACAAATGGATATTTCTGATCTCACTGAGGCCAGTGGCGAAAAATCATATATACTCGGAGAAAAACTAGAAGGAAGTCATCTGAGAAACTGCTTTGTGATGTTTGCATTCATCTCACAGAGTTAAACCTTACTTTTCATTCACCGGTTTGGAAACACTGTTTCTTTAGAATCTACAAAGGGATCATTGGCAGTGCATTTAGTCCTAAGGTGAAAAAGGAAATACCTTCAGATAAAAACTAGAAAGAAGCTTTCTGAGAAACTGCTTTGTGATGTGTGCATTCATCTCACAGAGATAAACCTGTCTTTGGATTCAGCAGATTGGAAACACTCCTTTTATAAAATCTTCGAAGGGGTATTTGATAGCTCATTGAGGCCAAAGGTGAAAAAGTGAATATCTCAGGATAAAAACCAGAAGGAACCTATCTGAGAAACTAGTATGAGATATGTGCATTCATCTGGCAGAGCTAAATTTTTCTTTTCATTCAGCAGTTTGGAAACACTGACTTGGTAGACTCTGGGAAGGGAAATTTGGGAGCACCATGAGACCTATAGTGAAAAAGGAAATATCTTCAGATAAAAACTGGAAAGAATCTTTCTGAGAAAGTACTTCTTGATATGTGCATTCATTTCACACACACACAGAGTTGAACCTTCCTTTGGCTTCAGCCGTTTGGAAACATTGTTTTTGTCCCTTCTGCTAATGGACAGTTGGGAGCTCATTGAGGTCAATGGCAAAAAAGCGAACATCCTAGGATAAAAACTACAAGGAAGATATCTGAGAGACCAATTTGTGATGTGTGGATTCATCTCACATTCTTAAACCTTTCTAACCATTAGGCAGTTTGGAAACACAAATTTGGTAGAATCTGTAAAGGGATATTGGGAGCGCATTGGGGCCTACGGTGAAAAAGGAAATATCTTCAGGTAAAACTAGATAGAAGCTTTCTGGGAACTGTTTTGTGATGTGTACATTCATCTCACAGAGTTAAAACTTTCTCTGGATTGCACAGTTTGGAAACACTGTTGTTGTAGAAACTGCATAGGGATATTTGAGAGTGTATTGAGGCCGATGATGAAAAAGGAAATATTCTCAGATAAAAACTAGAAAGAGCTTACTGAGAAACTACTTGGTGATGTGTGCATTCATCTCTCCCTGTTAAACCTTTCTTTTCATTCAGCAATTTGTAAAACTGTTTTTGTACAATCTGTGACATTATATTTGGGGGTGCATTGAGGCCTATAGTGAAAAGGAAATGTCTGCAGATAAAAACTAGAAAGAAGCTTTCTGAGAAATTGCTTTGTAATGTGTGCATTCATCTCACATAGTTAAATTCTTTATTTGGAGTCAGCAGTTTGGACCCACTGTTTTTGTCCATGCTGCAAATGGACATTTGGGAGCTCAATGTGGCTAATGGCAATAAAGTGAATATCCCAGGATAAAACATAGAAGAAAGGTATCTGAGAAACCGTTTCTTGATGTGTGCATTCATCTCTCAGAGTTAAACCTTTCTTTTCATTCAGCAGTGTGGAAACTCTGTTTTCGTAGAATCTGCAAAGAGATATCTGGAAATGCATTGAGGTCAATGATGAAAAAGGAAAAATCTTCAGATGAAAACTAGAAAGAAGATTTCTGAGAAACTGCTTTGTGATGTGTGCATTCACCTCACAGAGTTAAATCTTTCTTTGTTTTCATCAGTTTGGAAACACTGTTTTTGTCAATTTTGCAATTGGACATTTGGGAGATCATTGAGGCCAATGGCAAAAAAGCACATATCCCAGGATAACAACTAGAAGAAAGCTAAAGGAGAAATCACTTTGTCATGTGTGCATTCCTCTCACAGAGTTAAACCTTTCTTTTCATTCTGCAGTGTGGAAACCATGTTTTTGTAGAATCTGTGAAGGGATAACTGAGAGTGCATTGAGGCTTATGGTGACAAAGGAAATACGTTCAGATAAAAACTAGAAAGAAGCTTTCTGAGAAACTGCTTTGTGATGTGTGCATTCACCTCACCGAGTTAAACCTTTCTTTGGATTCAGCAGTTTGGAAACACTGTTTTGGTAGAATCTAAGATGGGATATTTAGGAATGCATTGAGGCTAAAGACAAAAAAGTGAACGTGCCAGGATAAAAACTAGAAGGAAGCTATCTGAGAAACTGCTTTGTGATGTGCACATTCATCTTGCCAAGGTTAACCTTGCTTTTCGTTCAGCAGTTTCAAAACACTGCTTTGGTAGAATATGCAAAGGGAAGTTTGGGAGCACATTGAGGCCTATGGTGAAAAAGGAATTAACATTCAGATAAAAACTACAAAAAAGCTTTCTGGGAAACTTCTTTGTGATGGGTGCATTCATCTGACAGAGTTAAACTTTTCTTTGGATTCAGCAGTTTGGACACACTATTTTTGTCTATTCTGTGAATGGACATTTGAAATCTCATTGAGGCCAATGGTGAAAAATTGAATATGCCAGTATAAAAATTATAAAGACACTATCTGAGAAACTGCTTTGTGATGTGTGCATTCATCTCACACAGTTGAACCTTTCAACCATTAAGCAGATTGGAAACACAATTTTGGTGGAATCTGAAAAGGGATATTTGGGGGCACAGCAAGGACTATGGTGGAAAAAGAAATATCTTCAGATAAAAAATAGAAAGTAACTTTCTGAGAAACTGCTTTGTGACATTTGCATTCATCTCACAGAGTTAAACCTTTCCTTGGACTCCATAGTTTGGAAACACTGTTTTGTAGAATCTGCAAAGGTATATTTTGGACGTCATTGAGGCCAAAGGGAAAAAAGTGAATATCCCAGGATAAAAACTAGAAGGAGGCTATCTGAGTAATCTCTTAGTGATGTGTGCATTCATCTCACAGAGTTAAACTTTCCCTTTCATTCAGCAGTTTGGAAACACTGTTTTTGTAGAATCTATGAAGGGATATTTAGAAGTGCATTGAAGACTATGGTGAAAAAGGAAATATCTTCAGATAAAAATGAGAAAGAAGCTTTCTGAGAAACTACTTTGTGATGTGTGCATTCATCTCACAGAGTTAAACATTTCTTTAGATTCAGAAGTTTGGAAACACTGTTTTTGTCCATTCTATAAATGGATATTTCCAATCACATTGAGGCCAGTGATGAAAAATAATATATCCCCAGATAAAAACTAGAAGGAAGTCATCTGAGAAACCACTTTGTGATGTTTGCATTCATCTTACAGAGTTGAACCTTACTTTCCATTCAGCATTTTGGAAACACTGATTTTTTAGAACCTGTGAAGGGATCATTGGCAGTGCATTGAATCCTAAGGTGAAAAAGGAAATATCTTCAGATAAAAACTAGAAAGAAGCTTTCTGAGGATCTGCTTTTGATGTGTGCATTCATCTCACAGAGATAAACCTGCCTTTGGATTCAGCAGATTGCAAACACTGTTTTCATAGAATCTGCAAAGGGATACTTGGGAGCTCATTGAGGCCAAAGTGAAATAGCAAATATCCCAGGATAAAAACTAGAAGGAAGCTGTCTGAGACACCGCTTTGCAATGAGTGCATTCATCTTCCACAGTTAAACTTGTCTTTTCATTCAGCAGTTTGGAAACACTTTTTTCTGTAGAATATGCAAAGGGATATTTGGGAGTGCATTGAGGCCAATTTTTAAAAGGAATTATCTTCAGATAAATACTAGTAAGAAGCTTTCTGTGAAACTGATTTGTGATGTGTGCTTTCATTACAGGGAGTTAAATCTTAACTTGGACTCTGCAGTTTCAAAAATCTGTTTTTGTGAATTGTGCAAGTGGATGTTTTGAAACTCTTTGAGGCAAATCATGAGAAAGCTAATATCCCAGGACAAAAACTATAGGGAAGTTGAGAAACCACTGTGTGATGTGTGCATTCATCTCACGGTGGTAAACATGTCTTTTCATTCAGCAGTTTGGAAAAAGTAATCTCTTTGTGATGTGTGCATTCACCTCGTGAACTTCTAACTTTCTTTTCATTCAGCAGTTTAGAAACACTGTTTTATTAGAATCTGCAAAGGGGTATTTGGGAGTGCAATTAAGTGTATGGTGCGAAAGGAAATATCTTCAGAAAAAACTAAAAAGAACTTTTCTGAAAAACTGCTTTGTGATGTGTGCATTCTTCTCACAGAGTTAAAACTTTCTGTGGATTCAGCAGTTTGCAAACAGTTTTTTTTGCATACTGTAAATGGACATTTTGGAGCTCATTGAGACCAATGGCAAAAAAAGGGAATATCCAAGGATAAAAACTAGAAGGAAGCTACCTAAGAAAACTCTTTGCGTTGCTTTCCTTCATCTCTAAGAGTTAAATTTTTCTTTTCACTCAGCAGTTTGTGAACACTGTTTTGGTAGAATCTGCTAAGGGACATTTTGGAGGGCATTGAGGCTTATGGTGAAAAAGGAAATATCATCAGATAAGTAGAAAGAAGCTTTATGACAAACTGTTTTGTGATGTGTGCATTCAACTCACAGGGTTAAACTTTTCTTTGAATCAGCAGCCTGAAAACACAGTCCTTGTGCATTCTGTGAATGGACATTTGGGAGCTCATTGAGGCCGTAGGTGAAAAAGCAAATATCCCAGGATAAAAACTAGAAGAAAGGTATCTGAGGAACCGCTTTGTGAAATGTGCATTCATCTCACAGTGTTAAATCTTTCTTTTCATTCAACAGTTTGGAAACACTATTTTGGTAGGCTCTGCGATGAGATATATGGGAGCACATGGATGCCTAGGGTGAAAAAGGAAGTATCTTCAGATAAAAAGTAGAAAGAAGCTTTCTGTGAAACTGCTTTGTGATGTGTGCATTCATCTCACAGAGTTAAACCTTTCTTTGGATTAAGCAGGTTGGAAACACAGTTTTTGTAGAATCCACGAAGGGATATTATATATCTCATTGACGCTATAGGTGAAAAAGGTTATATCCCAGGATCAAAAATAAAAGGAAGCTATCTGTGAAACTGCTTTGGAAGTGTGAATTCGCCACACAGAGATAAACCTTTCTTCTCATTCATCAGTTTGAAAACACTGTTTTGGTAGAATCTGCAAAGGGATATTTGAGAGTGCATTGAGGCCTATCATGAAAAAGGAAATATTTTCAGATAAAAACTAAAAAGAAGCTTTCTTAGAAACTTCTTTGTGATGTGTACATTCATCTCACAGAGTTATACCATTCTTTTGATTCAGCATTTTGGAAATATTGTTTTTGTCCATTCTGCAAATAGACATTTGGGAACTCTTTGAGGCCAATGGCGAAAATGCTAATATCCCAGCAAAAAAACTGGTAGGAGACTATTGGAGAAACCCCTGTGTGATGTGTCCATTCAAGTCACAGAGTTAACACTTTCCTCTCATTCAGCAGTTTGGAAACATTGTTTTGGTAGAATCTGTGAAGGGATATTTGGTAGCTTTTTGATGTTTACGAGGAAAAAGAAAATATCTTCAAATAAAACAAGAAAGAAGATTCCACATACACTGCTTTGTGATGTGTGCATTCATGTTGCAGAGTTAAAACTTTCTTTGTATTCAGTAGTTTGGAAACACTGTTTTTGTAGAATCTGTGAAGGGATATTTGATAGCTCATTGAGGCCATATGGGAAAAAAGGATTACTCCAGGTTAAAAAATACAAGAAGCTAAATGAGAAACTTCCTTGTGATGTGTGCATTCATCTCACAGTGTTAATCTTTTCTTTGGATTCAACAGTTTGGAAAAGCTGTTTTTGTAGAATTTGCAAAGGGATATTTGGTAGCACATTGAGGCCAAAGGTGATAAAGGGAATATCCCAGGATAAAAACTAGGAGGATGTTATCTGAGAAACCACTTTGTGATGTGTGCATTCATCTCACAGAGTTACACCTTTCTTTTCGTTCAACAGTTTGAAAACTCTGCTTCTATAGAATGTGCAAATGGATATTTGGGAGCCCATTGAGGCCTATGATGAAAAAGGGGACATCTTCAGATAAAAACTAGAAAGAAGATTTCTGAGAAACCGCTTTGTGATGTGTGGATTGATCTAATAGAGTTAAACCTTTGTTTGTATTCAGCAGATTGGAAACACTGTTTTTGTCAATTCTTTGAATGGACACTCCAGAGCTCCTAGTGGACAATGGAGAAAAAGTGAATATCCTAGGGAAAAAAAAAACTAGAAGGAAGCTATCTGAAAAACTTCTTTTTGATGTGTGCATTCATCTCTCAGAGTTAAAAATTCTTTTCATTCAGCAGTTTGAAAACACTGTTTCTGTAGAATATGAGAGTGGTTATTTGGGAGTGTATTGAGGCCTATGGTGAAAAGGAAATATCTTCAGGTTAAAAACTAGAAAGAAGATTTCTGAGAACCTGCTTTGTGATGTTTGCTTTAAGCTCATAGAGTTACACCTTTATTTGGAATAAGCAGCTTGGAAACACTCTTTTTGTAGAATCAGCAAAGAGATATTTGGGAGCTCACTGTGGCCAAAGGTGAAAAAGCAAATATACCAGGATAGAAACTAGATGGATTACATTTGACAAACTGCTTTGTGATGTATGCATTCATTACAGAGAGTTAAAACTTTCTGTGGACTGAGCAGTTTTCAAACACAATTTTTGTCCATTCTGTGAATGAACACTTTGGAGCTCACTGAGGCCAAGAGCAATAAAGGGAATATACCAGGATAAAAACTAGAAGGAAGCTATCTGAGAAAATGCTTTGTGATGCATGCATTCATCTCATAGAGTTAAAACTTTCTACTCATTTAGCATTTTGGGAACACTGTTATGGAAGAATCTGCAAAGGGATATTTGGGAGCACATGTAGGCCTATGGTGAAAAAGGAAATATCCTCAGATAAAAAATAGTGATAAGCTTTCTGAGAAACTGCTTTGTGATGTGTGCATTCACTTTACAGAGTTAAACATTTCTTTGGATTCAGGAGTTTGGAAACACGGCTTTTGTAGAATCTATGAAGGGATATTTGGGAGATCATTGAGGCCAAAGGTGAAAAAGTGAATATCCCAGGGTAAAAAACAGAAGGAACCTATCTGAGTAACCAGTTTGTGATGTTTGCATTCATCTCGCAAAGTTAAACCTTTTTTTCATTTCAGCAGTTTGGAAACACTCTTTTTATAGAATCTGTGAAGGGATATTTGGGAGCACTTTGAGGCCTATGGTGAAGAAGAAAATATTTTAAGATAAAAACTAGAAAGAAGCTTTCTAAGAAACTGCTTTGTGATGTGTGCACTCAACTCACAGAGTTATACCTTTCTTCAGATTCAGTAGTTTGTAAGCACTGTTTTTGTCCATTCTATGAATGGACATTTGGGAGCTCATTGAGGGCAAAGGCAAAAAATTGAAAATCCCAGTATAAAAACTAGAAGGAACCTGTCTGAGAAAGAGCTTTGTGATGTGTGCATTCATCTAGCACAGATAAACATTTCTTTTTTATTCAGTAGTTTGGAGGCCCTGTTTTGGTAGAATCTTTTAAGAGATACTTGGGAGTGCTTTGATGTCTACGGTGAAAAGGAAATATTTTTCTATGAAAACTAGAAAAAAGCTTTCTTATAAACAGCTTTGTGATGTGTCCATTCTTCTCACAAAGTTAAATCTTTCTTTTCATTCAGCAGTGTGGAAACACTGTTTATGTAGAACCTGCAAGGTGATACTTGGGAGTGCTTTGAGGCCTATGGTGAAAAAGGAAATATCTTCAGATAAAAACTTGAAACAAGCTCTCTGTGAAACTGTTTTGTGATGTGTATTCATCTCAGAGAGTTAAACCTTTCTTTGCGTTCAGCTGTTTGGAAACACTGTCTTTGTCAATTCTGCAAATGGACATTTGGGAGTTCATTGAGGTCAATGGTGAACAAGTGAATATTCCAGTATAAAAACTAGAAGGAAGCCATTTGAGAAACTGCTTTGTGATGTGTGCATTCATCTCGTGGAGTTAAATTTTTTTTCATTCATCAGTTTGGAAACATTATTTTTGTAGAATATGCAAAGGGATATTTTGGAGCGCATTGAAGCCTATGGTGAAAAAGGAAATATTTTCAGAAAAAAACTAGAAAAAATCTTTCTGAGAAACTACTTTTTGGTGTGTACATTCATCTCACAGAGTTAAACATTTTTTTGGATTCAGAAGTTTGGAAACACTGTTTTTGTAGAATCTGCAAAAGGATATTTAGGAGCACATTTAAGCCAAAGATGAAAAAGTGAATATCTGAAGATAAAAACTAGAAGGAAGCTATCTGAGAAACTGCTTTGTGATGCATGCATTCATCTCACTGATTTAAACTTTCTTGGAATTCAGAAATTTGGAAACACTGTTTTTGTGGAATCTGTGAAGGACTATTTGGGAGCTCTTTGAGGCCAATCACAAAAGAGAGGGTATCCCAGAATAAAAACTAGAAGGAAGCTATTTGAGAAACCACTTTATGATGTGCACATTCATCTCAGAGAGTTAAACCTGTCTTTTGATTCAGCAGTTGGAAACACTGTTTTGGTAGAAACTGAGAAAGTATTATAGGGAGTGCATTGAGGCCAATGGTGAAAAAGGAAATACCTTCAGATAAAACTAGAAAGAAGCTTTCTGAGAACCTGCTTTGTGATGTGTTCATTCACCTCACAGAGTTAAACCTTTCTTTAAAGTCAGCAGTTTGGCAACACTGTTTGTGTAGAATCTGAAAAGGGATATTTGATAGTTTATTGAGGCCAAAGGCAAAAAAGCGAATATCACAGCATAAATACTAGTAGGAAGCAATCTAAGAAACCTCTTCATGATGTGTGCAATCATTTCACAGAACTAAAAGTTTCTTTTCAATTCAGCAATTTGGAAACACTGTTTTGGTAGAATCTGTGAGGGGATTTTTAGGAGCCCATGGAGGGCTACAGTGAAAAAGGAAATATCTACAGATAAAAACTAGAAAGAAAGGCTCTGAGCAACCGCTTTGTGATGTGCACATTCATCTCACAGAGTTAAAACTTTCTTGGATTCAGCAGATTGGAAAAACTGTTTTTGTACAATCTGTGAAAGCACATTTGATAGCTCATTGAGGCCAAAGTCTTAAATGCAAATATCCCATGATAAAAACTAGAAGGAAGCTATCTGAGAAACTGCTTTGTGTTGTGTGCACGCATCTCACAGAGTTAAACCTTTCTTTTCATTCAGCAGTTTGCAAATATTGTTTTGGTAGAATCTGTGAAGGGATATTTGTGAGTGCATAGAGGCCTCTGGTGAAAAAGGAAATACCTTCAGATAACAGCGAGAAAGAAGCTTTCTGAGAAACTGCTTTGTCATGTGTGCATTCATCTCACAGAGTTAAACCTTTCTTTGGTTTCAGCAGTTTGGAAACACTGTTTCTGTCCATTCTGCAAATGGACATTTGGGAGCTATTTGAGGCCAATGGTGAAAAAGTGAATATCCCAGGACAAAAACTAAAAGGAAACTATCTGAGAAACTGTTTTGTAATGTATTCATTCATCTGGCAGTGTTAAACATTTCTTTTCATTCAGCAGTTTGGAAATACTGTTTTGTTAGAATCTGTGAAGGGATATTTGATAGCTCATTGAGGCCATAGGCGAAAAAGCTTATATCTCAGGATAAAAAATAGAAGGAAGTTATCTGAGAAACTGCTTTGTGATGTGTGCATTCATCTCACATAGTTAAAGCTTTCTTGTGATTCAGCAGTTTAGAAACACTGTTTTTGTAGAATTTGTGAAGGGATATTTGATAGCTCATTGAGGCCACTGGTGAAAACGTTAACATCCCATGATAAAAACTGGAAAGAAACTAATTGAGAAACTACTTAGTGATGTATGAATTCATCTCGCAGAGTTAAACCTTTCTTTTCATTCAGTAGTTTGCAAACACCATTTTGGTGGAATCTGTGAAGGGATATTTGGGAGTGCATTGAGGCCGATGGTGAAAAGGGAAATATCTTCAGATAACAGCAAGAAAGAAGCTTTCTGAGAAACTGCTTTGTGTTGTGTGCCTTCGTCTCACAGAGTTAAACCTTTCTTTGGATTCAACAGTGTGGGACACTGTTTTTGCAGAATCTGCAAAGGTATATTTGGGAGCTAATTGAGGTCAAAGAGGAAAAAGCGAATATCCCAAGATAAAAACTGGAAGAAGGTGTGTAAGAAACCACTTTGTGATGAATGCATTCATTGCAGAGTTAAACATTGCTTTTCATTCAGCAGTTTGGAATCACTGTTTTTGTAGAATCTGCAAAGGGATATTTGGGAGCGCATTGAGTTCTATGGTTAAAAAGGAAATATATTTGGATAAAAACAGAGAAATTGCTTTGTGATGTGTGCATTCATCTCACAGATTTAAACCTTTCTTTGGTTTCAGCAGTTTGGAAACACTGTTTTTGTCCATACTGAGAATGGACATTTGGGAGCTCTTTGAGGCCAATGGTGAAAAAGTCAATATCCCAGGATAAAAACTAGAAGGAAACTATCTGAGAAACCATTTTCTGATGTATTCATTCATCTTGCAGTGTTAAATACTTCTTTTCATTCAGCAGTTTAGAAACACTGTTTTGTTGTGTGCATTCGAGTCACCAAATTAAACCTTTCTTTGTATTCAGTAGTTTGCAAACACAGTTTTTGTAGAATCTGCGAACAGATATTAGACAGCTTATTGAAGCCCTAGGTGAAAGAGTGAATTTCCCAGGAGAAAAACTAGAAGGAAACTATCTGAGAAACCATTTTGTGATGTGCATTCATCTCACAGAGTTAAACCTTTCTTTTCATTCAGCAGTGTGGAAACTGTTTTTGTAAAATCTGCATAGGGATATATGACAGTGCATTGAGGCCTATGGTGAAAATGGAATTCTCTTCAGAGAAAAACTAGAAAGAAGCTTTCTGAGAAACTGTTTTGTGATGTGTTCATTCAGCTCACAAATTTGAACCTTACTTTGGAATTAGCAGTTTGGAAATACTGTTTTTGTCCTTTCTGTGAAAGGACATTTGGGAGCTCCTAGAGGCCAATGGTGAAAAAGCAAATATCTCAAGATAAAAACTAGAAACACATTATCTGAGAAAGCAATTTGCTATGTGTGCATTCATTTCACAGAGTAAAATTTTGCTTTCATTCAGCAATTTGGAAACACTGTTTTCTTAGAATCCATTAAGAGATATTTTGTAGCACAATGAGGCCTATGGTGAAAAGGAAATGTCTTCAGATAAAAACCCAAAGGAAGCATTCTCAGAAACTACTTTGTGATGTGCACATTCATCTTACAGTGTTAAAACGTTCTTTGGATTCAGCAGTTTAGAAACACTGGTTTTGGTCATTCTGCAAAAGGAAATTTGGGAGCTCATTGAGTCCAATGGCAAAAAACGTATATCCCAGGGTAAAAACTAGAAGGAAGCTATCTGAGAAAACTCTTTGTGATGTGTGCATTCATCTCACAGAGTTAAAACTGTTTTCATTCAGCTGTTTGGATACAGTGTTTTTTTTTTTTTAATCTGCGAAGGGATATTTGGGAGTGCATTGAGGCCTATGGTGAAAAAGGAAATATCTTCAGATAAAAACTAGAATCTTTCTGAGAAACTGCTTTGTGATGTGTGCATTCATCTCACAAAGATAAACCTTTCTTTAGATTGAGCAGTTTGGAAATGCTGTTTTGTAGAATCTGCAAAGGGATATTTGGGAGCCATTGAGGCCTATGGTGAAAAAGGAAATATCTTGAGATAAAAACTAGAAAGAAACTTTCCAAGACCCTTCTTTGTGATGTGTCCATTCATCTCACAGAATTAAACCTTTCTTTGGATTCAGCAGTTTGGGAACACTGTTTTTGTAGAATCTGTGAAGGGATATTTGGGAGCTGATTGAGGCTATAGGAGAAAAAGTGAATATCCCAGGATAAAAACTAGAAGGAAGCTAATTGAGAAACTACCTTATGATGCATGCTTTCAACCCACAGAGCTAAATCTTTCTTTGAATACTGTATTTTCGAAACACTGTCTTTGTAGAATCTGTGAATGGATATTTTGGAGCTCATAGAGGCCAAATGGGAAAAAGCGAATGTCCCTGGATAAAAATTCAAAGGAATCTGTCTGAGAAGCCACTTTGTGACGTCATCTCAGAGATATAAGCCTTTATTTTCATTCAGCAATTTGGAAACACTGTTTTGGTAGAATCTGTGAAGGGATATTTGGAAGCACATTGAGGCTTATGTTGAAAAAAGAAATATCTTCCGATAAAAATTTGAAAGAAAGTTTCAGAGAAACTGCTTTGAGATGTGGACATTCATCTTACAGAGTAAACATTTGTTTGGATTCAGCAGTTTGGAACACTGCTTTTATAGAATATGTGAAGAGATATTAGATAGCTAATTGAGGCAATTGGCAAAAAAGTAAATAGCCCAGGACAAAAACTAGAAGGAAGTTATCTGAGAAACCACTTTGTGATGTGTGCATTCATCTCACAGAGATAAACACTTCTTTTGATTCAGCACATTGGAAACCATGTTTTGGTAGAATCTGTGAATGAATATTTGGGAGCACACTGAAGCCTATGATGAAAAAGAAAATACCTTCAGAAAGATATGTGAAACCACTAGAAGAAAGATATGTGAGACACCACTTTGTGATGTGCTCATTCACTTCACAGAGTCAAACCTTTCTTTTCATTCAGCAATTTGGAAACACTGTTTTGATAGGATCTGTGAAGGGATATTTGGGAGCGCCTTTAGGCTTATGGAGAAAAAGGAAATACCTTCAGATAAAAACTAGAAAGAAGCTTTCTGAGAAACTGCTTTATGATGTGTGCATTCATCTCACAGAGTTAAACTTTTCTATCAATTCTGCAGTTTGGAATCACTGTTTTTGTCCATTCTACTCATGTATATTTTTACCTCATTGAGGCCAAAAGTGAAAAAGCATATAGCCAAGGATAAAAACCAGAAGACAGCCATCTGATGGACTGCTTTGTGACGTGTGCATTCATCTTACACAGTTAAACCTGTCTTTTCACTCAGCAGTTTGGAACCTCTGTTTTGGTAGAATCTTTGAAGGGATAATTTCCAGCGCAATGAGGCTTATGGAAAAAAAGGTAATATCTCCAGATAAAAACTAGAAAGAAAGTTTCTGAGAAACTTCTTTCTGATGTTTGCATTCATCTCAAAGAGTTAAACATTTCCTTGTATTCAGTAGTTTGGAATCACTGTTTTTGTCCATTCTATGAATTTACATTTTGGAGCTCATTGAGACCAAAGGTGAAAAATTGATTATCCAAGGATAAAAACTAGAAGAAATCTGTTTGAGAAACTGCTCTGTGATGTGTGCATTCATCTCGCACAGATAAACTTTTATTTTCATTCAGCCTTTTGGAAAATCTGTTTGGTAGAATCTGTGAAGGGATAATGGGGAACGCAATGAGGCCTATAGAAAAATAGGTAATATTTTCAGATAAAAACTAGAAAGAAGCTTTCTCAGGAAATGCCTTATGATATGTATATTCATCTCACAGAGTTAAATATTTTTTTGGATTCTGCAGCTTGGAAAAAATGTTTTGTAGAATTTGCAAATGGATATCAGATCATTGAGGTGATAGGCAAAAAAGTGAATATCCCAGGATAAAAACTAGAAGGAAGCTATCTGAAAAACCACCTTGTGATGTGTGCATTCATCTCATGGAGTTAAAACTTCTTTTTCATTCAGCAGTTTGGAAACCCTGTTTTTGTAGAATCTGCAAATGGATATTTGGGAACACATTGAGGCCTAAGGTGAAAAAGGTAATATCGTCAGATAAAAACTCAAAAAAAGCTTTCTGAGAAACTGCTATGTGATGTGTGAATACCTATAAGTGATTTAAAACTTTCTTTGGATTCAGCAGTTTGGAAACACCGTTTTTGTCCATTCTGTGAATGGACATTTGGGAACTCATTAAGGCTAATCACGAAAAAATGAATATCCCAGCATAAAAACTAGAAGGAAGCTCTCTGTATGAAAAGTCGAATTTAATTCTGTAAGATGAATGCATGCATCTCAAAGTGGTTTCTCAGATAGCTTCCTTATATTTTCACCTTTGGCCTCCATGATCTTCCAAATATTCCTTTGTAGATTCTTCCAGAACAGTGTTTACAAACTAATGAATCCAAAGACAGGATTAACTTTTTGAGATGAATGTACACATCACAAATTTGTTACTCATATAGCTTCTTTCCAGTTTTTATCCTGGGATATTCACTTTTTTGCCTTTGGCCTCAGTGTGCTCCCAAGTATCCCTTTGCAGATTCTACCAAAACAGTGCTTCCAAACTGCTAAATGAAAAGAATGATTTAACTTTGTGAGATGAATGCACACATCACAAAGCTTTTTCTCAGATAGTTTCCTTGTAGTTTTTATCCTGGGATACTCTTTTTTTGCCTATGGCCTCAATGAGCTACCAAATATCCCTTTGTAGAATCATCTAATACAGTGTTTCCAAACTGCTGAATGAAAGAAAAGTTTAATTCTGTGAGATGAATGCACACATCTCAACGAAGTTTCTCAGAAAGTTTCTTTCTGTTTTTTATCTGAAGATATTTCCTTTTTCACCATAGGCCTCAATGGGCTCCCAAATATCCCATCACAAATTATACCAAAACTGTGTTTACAAACTGCTGAATGAAAAAAAAGTTTTTACTCTGTGAGATGTATGCATATATCACAAAGCAGTTTTTCAGGTAACTTTCTTATAGTTTTTATCCTGGGATATTCACATTTTCCTTATTGGCCTCAATGACCTCCAAAATGTCCATTCACAGAAAGACAAAAACAGTGTTTTCAAATTGCTAAATCCAAATAAAAGTTTACCTCTGTGAGACGAGTGCAGACATCATCAACAGTTCCTCAGAAAGCTTCTTTCTAGTTGTTATATGAAGATATTTCCTCTTTCACCATATGCTTCAAAGAGTTGCTGAATATCCCATAGTGGATTTTACAAAAACCGTGTTTCCAAACTGCTGAATCCAAAAAAAGGTTTACTGTGAGAGATGAATGCACACATCACAAAGCAGTTTCTCAGAATGCTTCTTTCTAGTTTTTATCTGAAGATATTTATTTTTCACCGTAGGCCTCAATTCGCTCCCAAATATCCCTTCACAGATTATACCAAAAGAATGTTTCCAAACGGCTTAATGAAAATAAAGTTTTAACTCTGTGAAATAAATGTGCCCATCACAAACACTTTTTCAGAAAGCTTCTTTCTAGTTTTTATCTGAAGTTGTTTTGTTTTTCACCATAGGCCACAAAGCTCTCCCAAATATCCCATAGGAGATTCTACAAAAACAGGGTTTCCAAACTGCTGAATGAAAAGGAAGGTTTAACCCTGTGAGTTGAATGAACACATCAGAAACTGGTTTCTCAGATAAATTCCTTCTAATTTTCATCATGGGATATTCACAATTTTGCAACTGACCTCGATGACCTCCAAAATGTCCATTCGTAGAGTGGCAAAAACAGTGCTTCCACAATGCTGAATGCAAAGAAAGGTTTAACTCTGTGAGATGGATGCTCATATCACAAACCAGTTTTTCAGAGAACTTCTTTCTAGTTTTATCTTAAGATATTATCTTTTTCACTGTAGGCCTCTATGAGCTCCCAAATATCCCTTTGCATATTCTACAAAATCAGTGTTTAAAACTGCTGAATGAAAAGAAAGGTTTAATGCTGTGAGATGAAAGCACATTTCACAGAGTGGTTTCTCGGACAGCTTCCTTCTAGTTTTTATGCTTGGATATTCACTTTTTCGTCTATGGACTCAATGAACTATCTAATATCCCTTCACAGATCCTACAAAAGCAGTGTTCCCAAACTGGTGAATCCTAAGATACATTTAACTCTGTGAGATGAATGCACACATCACAGAGGGGTTTCTCAGAACACTTCTTTCCAGTATTTATCTGAAAATATTTCTTTTTTCGTCATAGAAAAATGCATCCCCAATATCCCTTTGCAGATTCTACAAAAGCAGATTTTCCAAAATGCTGAATGAAAATAAATTTTTATATCTGCAAGATGAACGCACACATCACAAAGCAGTTTCTCAGGAAGCATCCTTTGAGTTTTTATTAAGGGATATTCACTTTTCTTCACCACTGGCCTCGATGAGCTCCCAAATATCCCTTCACAGATTCTATAAAAACAGTGTTACAAAATTACTGAATCCAAAGAATGGCTTACCTCTGTGAGATGAATGCACACATGACAAAGCAGTTTCTCAGAAAACTTTTTTCTAGTTTTCATCTGAAGATATTTCCTTTTTCACCATACTCCTCAATTTACTCCCAAATGTCACCTCACAGATTCTACCAAAACAGCGTTTCCAAACTGTTGAATGAAAAGAAAAGTTTACCTCTGCCAAATGACTTCACACATCACAAAACATTTTCTCAGATAGCTTGCTACTTGTTTTTATCCTGGGATATATGCTTTTTTGCCATTGACCTCAATGAGGTCCCGAATGTCCATCTGCAGAATGGACAAAAACAGTGTTTCTAAACTGCTTAATTCAAAGAAAGGTTTAACTTTTTGAGAAGAAAGCACACATCACAAAGCGGTTTTTCTGATAGCTTCCTTGTAGTTTTTATCCTGGGATATTTGCAATTTCACAATTGGCCTCAATGATCTCCAAATTCTCCTTTTGCAGAATGGACAGAAACTGTGCTTCCAATCTGCCTAATCCAAAGAAAGGTTTAACTCTGTGAGAAGAATGCATACAAAACAAAGCAGTTTCTCAGCAAAAATCTTTCTAATTTTTATATGACTATATTTAGTTTTTCACCATGGACCCCAAAGCACCCCCAAATATCCCTTCACAGATTCCACTGAATCAGTGTTTCCAAATTGCTGAATTAAAAGAAAGTTTAACTCTGTGAATGAATGCACACAACACAAACCAGCTTCTCAAATAGCTTCCTTCTAGATTTTATCCTGGGATATTAATTTTTTCACCATTGACCTAAACAAGGTCCCAAATGCCCATTTGCAGAATGGACAAAAACAGTGGTTCCAAACTGCTGAATCCAAAGAAAGGTTTAAGTTTGTGAGATGAATGCACACATCACAGATCAGTTTCTAAGAAAGTTTCTTTCTAGTTTTATCTGAAGATATTTCCTTTTTCATAGAGGCCTCAATGCACTTCCAAATATCTTTTTGCAGATTGTACAAAAACTGTGTTTCCAAGCTGCTTAATGAAAGGAAAGTTTTAACTCTGTGAGATGAATGCAACACATCACAAGGCGGTTTCTCAGATAGATTCCTTCTAGTTTTTATCCTGGGATATTTGCTTTTTTGCCTGTGGCTTCAATGAGCTATTTAATATCCCTTGGCAGATTCTACAAAAACAGCGTTTCCAACTGCTGAACCCAAGGAAAAGTTTAACTCTGTGAGACGAATGCACACATCACAAAGCTGTGTCTCTGAAAGATTCTTTCTAGTTTTTAGCAGAAAGTATTTCCTTCTTCAGCATAGGCCTCAATGCGCTCCCAAATATCCCTTCACAGATACTGCAAAAATAGTGTTTCCAAACAGCTGAATGAAAAGAAAATTGTATGTCAATGAGATGAATGCACCCTTCATGATGCAGTTTCTCACATAGCTTCTTTCTAGTTTTTAATTCAGGGCTATTTGCTTTTTTGCCTTTTGCCTCAATTACCTCCCAAATATCCCATCACAGATTCTACAAAAGCAGTGTTTCCAAATGGATGAATCCAAAGAAAGTTTTAACTCTCTGAGATGTATGCACACCTCAAAAAGCAGTTTCTCAGAAAGCATTTTTCTAGTTTTCATCTGAAGATATTTCCTTTTTCACCATAGGACTCAATGCCCTCCCAAATATCCCTTCACAGATTCTAGTAAAACAGTGTTTCCAGTCTGCTAAATGAAAAGAAACGTTTGACTCTGCAGAATGAATGCACACATCACAAAGCAGCTTCTCTGATAGCTTTCTTCTTGTTTTTATCCTAAGATATTCACTTTTTTCCTCTGGCCTCAATGAGCTACAAAATGTCGACCTGCAGAATGGAGAAAAACAGTATTTCCAAACTGCTGAATCCAAAGAAAGTTTTAACTCTGTGAGATGAATGTAGACATCACTAAGCAGTTTCTCAGAATGCCTCTTGCTAGTTTTTATCTGAAGATATTTCCTTTTTCACCATACGCATCAAAGCGCTCCCAAATATCCCTTCGCAGATTCTACAAAAAAGTGTTTCCAAACTGCTGAATGAAAAGAAAGGTTTAACTCTGTGAAATGAATGCACACATCAAAGAGTGGTTTCTCAGATAGCTTTCTTAAAGTTTTTATCCTGGGATATTCACTTTTTTGCCTATGGCCTCAATGAACTATCAAATATCCCTTTGCAGATTCTACAAAAACAGTGTTCCCCAACAGGTGAATCCTAAGAAATATTTAACTCTATGAGACGAATGCACACATCACAAAGCAGTTCCTCAGAAAGCTTCCTTTGAATTTTTATCTGAAGATATTTCCTTTTTCACCATAGGCCTTAAAGCATCCCAAATATCCCTTTGCAGATTCTACAAAAGCTGTTTTTCCAAAATGCTTAATGAAAAGAAAGGTTTATGTCTGCATGGTGAATAAACACATCACTAAGCAGTTTCTCAGATAGCATCCTTCAAGTTTTTATCCAGGAGTTTTTCCTTTTTCAGCATAGGCCTCAATGAGCTCTGAAATATCCCTTCACAGATGCTACAAAAACAGTTTTACAAAATTACTGAATCCAAAGAAAGGTTTAACTCTGTGAGATGAATGCAGACATGACAAAACAGTTTCTCAGAAAGCTTTTATTTTAGTTTTCTTCTGAAGACATTTCATTTTCCACCATACCCTCCATGCACTCCCAAATATCCCCTCATAGATTCTATCAAAACAGTGTTTCCAAACTGCTGAATGAAAAGAAAGTTTTAACACTGTGAAATGAATTCACACATCCAAACACTTTCTCAGATAGCTTGCTTCTTGTTTTTATCCTGAGATAAACACTTTTTCACCATTGACCTCAATAGGGTCCCAAATATCCATTCACAGAATGGACAAAAGCAATGTTTTCAAACTGCTGAATTCAAAGAAAGGTTTAACTCTGCGAGATGAATGCACACATCATGAAGCAGGTTCTCAGAAACTTTTCTACTCTATATCTGAAGATATTTCTTTTTTGACCTTAGGCCTCATGTGCTCCCAAATATCCCTTCGCAGATTCTATGAAAACAGTGTTTCCAAATTGCTTAATTAAAAGAAAGTTTAACTCTGTGAGATGAATGCCCACATCAAAAAGCAGTTTCTCAGAAAGCTTCTTTCTAGTTTTCTTCTGAAGATATTTCCTTTTTCACCATAGGTCTCAAAGCACTCCCAAATATCCATTCGCAGATTCTACCAAAACAGTGTTTCCAAACTGCTGAATGAAAAGAAAGGTTTAAGTCTTCGAGATGAACACACACGTCATAAATCGGTTTCCCAGTTAGCTTCCTTCTAGTTTTTATCCTGAGACATTCATTTTTTCACCTATGACCTTAACGTGCTATTTTATATCCCTTTGCAGATTATGTAAAAACAGTGTTTCCAACCTTCTGAATCCAAAGAAAGGTTTAATTCTGTGAAATGAGTGCACACATCACAAAGCAGTTTCTCAGAAAGCTTCCTTCTAGTTTTTCCTCTGAAGATATTTCCTTTGTCAACAAAGGCCTCACTGCACTCCAAAATACCCCTTCGAGGATTCTACCAAAATAGTTTTCAAACTGCTGAATGAAAAAGAAAGGTTTAACTGTGAGATGAATGAACTCATCACAAGCCAGTTTCTCAGAGAATTTCCTTCTAGTTTTCTTTCTGGGATATTCCCTTTTTCCCCGATGGCCTCAATGAGAACCCAACTATCCATCGTCAGCTTGCACAAAAACAGTGTTTCCAAACTTCTGAATCCAAATAAAGGTTTAACTCCATTGGATAAATGTGCACATCACAAAGCAGTTTCTAAGAAAGCTTCTTTCTACTTTTTCTCTGAAGATATTTCCTTTTTCATCACAGTCTTCAATGCGCTCCCAAATATCCCTTCAAAAATTCTACCATAACAGTGTTTCCAAACTTCTGAATGAAAAGAAAGGTTTAACTCTGTGAGATGAAAGCACACATTACAAAGCAGTTTCTCAGAAAGCTGCTTTCTAGTTTTTATCTGAAGATATTTACTTTTTCACCATAGGCCTCAGTGTGCTCTGAAATATTCATTCACATATTCTACCCAAACAGTGTTTCCAAACTGCTGAATGAAAATAAAGGTTTAACTCTTCGTGATGAATGCACACATCACAAAGCCATTTCTCTGATAGCTTCCTTCTAGTTTTTATCCTGGGATTTTGGCTTTTTCACATATAACCTCAGTGATCTACAACATATCCTTTCACAGATTCTACAAAAACAGTATTTCCAACTGCTGATTCCACAAAAAAGTTTAACTCTGTGAGATGAATGCACACATTGCAAAGCACTTTCTAAGAAAGCCTCTTTCCAGTTTTTATCTGAAGATATTTCCTTTTTCACCAGAGGCCTCAATGGGCTCCTAAATATCCCTTTGCAGATTATAGTAATACAGTGTTTCCAAACTGCTGAATGAAAAGAAAGGCTTAACTCTGTGAGATGAATGCACACATCACAAAGCAGTTTCTCAGAAAGATTCTTTCTAGTTTTTATCGGAATATATTTCTTTTTTTCCATAAGCCTCAATGCTCTCCTGTATATAACTTTGCAGATTCTACCAAAACAATGTTTCCAAAGTGCTGAATGAAAAGAAAGTTTTACCTCTGTGAGACGAAGGCAAACTTCATAAAGTTGTTTCTCATCTAGCTTCCTTCTAGTTTTTATCCTGGGATTTTCTCTTTTCTGCCTATGGCCTCTATGAGCAATTAAATATCCCTTCCCAAATTCTACAAAAACAGGGTTTCCTAACTGCTGAATGAAGAGAAATGCTTTTCTCTCATTGGTGAATGCACAGATCACAAAGTTGTTTCTCAGAAAGCTTTCTTGTAGTTTTTCTCCTGGAATGTTCACTTTTTTGCATTTGGCCTCAATGACCTCCCAAATGTCCCTTTGCAGATTCTACCAAAACAGTGTTTCCACACTGCTGAATGAAAAGAAAGTTTTAACTCTGTGAGATGACGGCACACATCACAGAGTGGTTTCTCAGATAGCTTCCTTTGGGTTTTTATCCTTGGATATTCGCTTTTTCACCTATGGCCTCAAAGAGCTATCTAATATCCCTTCGTAAATTCTAAAAAAGCAGT
The DNA here is from genome assembly GCF_000001405.40 of Homo sapiens. Classification (NCBI taxonomy): domain Eukaryota; kingdom Metazoa; phylum Chordata; class Mammalia; order Primates; family Hominidae; genus Homo; species Homo sapiens. Next base: position 62,766,971 of record NC_000007.14, read on the forward strand.
GTTCCCAAAACGGTGAATCCTAAGAAACTTTTAACTCTGTGAGAGGAATGCACACATCACAAAGCAGTTTCTCAGAAAGCTTCTTTCGAGTTTTTATTGAAGATATTTCCTTTTTAACCATAGCCCTCAATGCATCCCAAATATCCCTTTGCAGATTCTACAAAAGTAGTTTTTCCAAAATGCTTAATGAAAAGAAAGGTTTATGTCTGCATGATGAATGAACACATCACAAAGCAGTTTCTCAGGTAGCATCCTTCAAGTTTTTATCTGGGGTATTCACTTTTTCACCTTTGGCCTTGATGAGCTCCCAAATATCCCTTCGCAGATTCTACAAAAACAGTGTTACAAAATTACTGAAACCAAAGAAAGGTTTAACTCTGTGAGATGAATGCACACATGGCAAAGCAGTTTCTCAGAAAGCCTTTTTTTAGTTTTCATCTGAAGATATTTCCTTTTTCAACTTACCCTTCAATGTGCTCCCAAATATCCCATTGCATATTCCACCAAAACAGCGTTTCCAACCTGCTGGATGAAAGGAAAGGTTTGGCACTGCGAAATTAATTCACACATCACAAAGCATTTTCTCAGATGGCTTGCTACTTCTTTTTATCCTGGTATATATGCTTTTTTGCCTTTGACCTCAATGAGGTCCCAAGGGTCCATTCACAGAATGGACAAAAACAGTGTTTCTAAACTGCTGAATTCAAAGAAAGGTTTAACTATGTGAGATGAATGCACACATCACAAAGTAGTTTCTCAGAAACCTTCTTTCTAGTTTTTATGTGAAGATATTTGCTTTCTAACCATAGGCCTCAATGTGCTCCCAAATATCCCTTCCCAGATTCTACGAAAACAGTGTTTCCAAATGGCTGAATGAAAGGAAAGGTTTAACTCGTTGAGATGAATGCATGGATCACAAAGAGGTTTCTCAGATATCTTCCTTCTAGTTTTTATCCTGTGATATTCTCTTTTTTGCCTGTGACCTCAATGAGTTGTCTAATATTCCTTCACAGATTCTACAAAAACAGTGTCTACAAACTGCTGAATCCAAAGAAAGGTGTAATTCTTTGTTATGAATGCATAAATCACAAAGTCGTTTTTCAGAAAGCTTCTTTCTAGTTTTTATATGAAGATATTTTCTTTTTCACCACAAGCCTCAATGTGCAATGAAATATCCCTTTGCAGATTCCACAAAAACTGTTTCCAAACTACTGAAAGAAAAGTAAGGTTTAACTCAGCAGCATGAATGCATAAATCCCAAAGTGGTTTCTCAGATGGCTTTCTTCTAGTATTTATCCTGGGATATTCGCTTTTTCACTTTTCACCTCGATGACCTCCAAAATGTCCATTTGCAGAATGGACAAAAACAGTGTTTCCAAACTGTTGAATCCAAAGACAGTTTTAACTCTGCAAGATGAATGCAGACATCACAAAGTGATTTCTCAGGTAGCTTCTTTTCAGCTTTTATCCTGGGGTATTCATTTTTTCACCATTAGCCTCAAGGAGTTCCCAAATGTCCATTCCCAGAATGGACAAAAACAGTGTTTCCAAACTGCAAACTGCGAACACAAAAAAAGGTTTAACCCTGTGACATGAAAGCACACATCACAAAGCCATTTCTCAGATAGCATCTTTGTATTTTTTATCTGAAGATACATCCTTTTCACTATAGGACCTAAGGCAGTCCCAAATATACCTTCACAGATTCTACAAAAATACTGTTTACAAACTGCTGAATGAAAAGTAATATTTAATTCTGCTAGACAGATGCAAGCAGCACAATTTGGTTTCTCGGATAGGATCCTTCTAGTTTTTATCCTGGGATATTCACTTTTTTGACTTTGGCCTCAATGAGCACTCAAATACCCCTTACAGATTCTGCAACAACAGTGTTTCCACACCTCTGAATCCAAGAAAGGTTTAACTCTTTGAGATGAATGGACATTTGGGAAATCGTTTTCTTGGATAACTTCCTTATAGTTTTTATCCTGGGATATTTGCTTTTTCTCCTATGGCCACAATGAGCTATCTAATATCCCTTTGCAGATTCTACAAAAACAGTGTTTCCAAACTGCTGTATCCTAAGATAGGTTTTCCTTTTTCTAAATAGGCCTCATTATGTGCTCCCTTCACAGATTCTGCAAAACTAGTGATTCCAAAAGACTGATTCGAAAGAAAGTTTTAACTCTGTGAGATAAATGCACACATCACAAACCAGTTTCTCAGAGTTTTTTTGTAGTTTTCCTCTGAAGATACTTTCTCTTTCACCATAGGCCTCAATGCACTCCCAAATATCCCTTCACAGATTTTGCCAAAACAGAGTTTCCAAACTGCTGAATGAAAACAAAAGCTTAACTGTGCGAGATGAATGCACACATCTCAAAGTTGTTTCCCAGAGAGGTTCATTCTACTTTTTATCCTCGGATATTTGCTTTTTCTCAGTTGGCCTCAATAAGGTCCCAAATGTCCATTCACAGAATGGACAAAAACAGTGTTTCCAAACTGCTGAAAAAAAGAAAGGTTTAACTCTGTGAGATGAAGGCACACATCACAAAGCAGTTTCTCAGAAAGTTCTTTCCAGTTTTTTTCTTAAGATATTTCCTTTTTCAACATAGGCCTCAATGTGTACCTAAATATCCCCATGCAGGTTCTACCAAAACAGTGTTTCCAAATTGATGAATGAAAAGAAAGGTATAAATCTGTGAGATGAATGCACAAATCCCAAAGCCATATCTCAGATAGCTTCCTTCTAGTTTTTATCCTGGGATATTAGCTTTTTCACCATTGGCCTCAATGAGTGCTCAAATGTCCATTCACAGAATGGACAAAAACAGTGTTTCCAAACTGCTGAATCCAAAGAAAGGTTTAACTCTGTGAGATGAATGCATGCATCGTGAAACTGTTTCTCAGAATGCTTCTTTCTAGTTTTTATCTGAAGGTATTTCCTTTTGCACCATAGGCCTCAATGCGCTCCCAAATAACCTGTCGCAGATTCTACCAAAACAGAGTTTCCAAAGTGTTGAATGAAAACAAATGTTTATCTCTGTGAGGTGAATGCACACATCACAAAACAGTTTCTCATGTAGCTTCCTTCTAGTTTTTATCCTGGAATATTCTTTTTATTGGCTTTGTCCTCAATGAGCTCCCAAATTCTCCTTCACAGATGCTACTAAAATAGTGTTTCCAAACTGATGAATCCAAAGAAAAGTTTAAGTATGCAAGGTGAGTGAACACATCACATAGCGATTTCTCAGATAGCTTTCTTCTAGTTTTTGTCCTGGGATATTGGCTTTTTCGCCATTGGCCTCAATGAGCTCCCAAATGCCCACTCGCAGAATGGACAAAAACAGTGTTTCCAAAGTGATGAATCCAAATAAATGTTTAACTCTCTGAGATGAATGGACACATAACAAAGCAGTTTCTCAGAAAGTTTCTTTCTAGTTTTATTCTGAATATATTTCCGTTTTCACCAAAGACCTCAATATGCTCCCAAATATCCCTTTGCAGATTCTTCAAAAACAGAGTTTACAACTGGCTGAATGAAGAGAAAGGTTTAACTCTGCAAGACAAATGCATACATCACAAAGTTGTTTCTCAGATAGCTTCTGTCTAGTTTTTGTCCTGGGACATGCACTTTTTTGCCTTTGGCCTCATTGAGCTCCCAAATACTCCTTCTCAGATTCCAGAAAAATAGAGTTTCCAAACTGCTGAATAATAAGAAAGGTTTAAGTCTGTGAGATGAATGCACACATCTAAATTGGTTTCTCAAATAACTTCCTTCTGGTTTTTATAAAGGGATATTCACTTTTTCGTCATTGGCCTCATTGACTTCCAAAATGTCCATTTGCAGAATGGAGAAAAACAGTGTTTCCAAACTGCTGAATCCAAAGAAAGGTTTAATTCTGTGAGATGAATGGATGCATCACAAAGCAGTTTCCCAGAAAGCTTCTTTCTAGTTTTTATCTGAAGATATTTCCTTTTTCACCATAGGCCTCAATGCTCTCCCAAATATCCTTTCACAAATTCTACCAAAAAAGTGTTTCCTAACTGCTGAATGAAAAGAAAGGTTTAAATCTGCGAGGTGAATGCACACCTCACAAAGCGGTTTCTCCAATAGCTTCCTTCTAATTTTTATCCTGGGATATTCACTTTTTCACTTTTGGCCTCAATGAGCTCCCCAATATCCGTTCACAGATTCTAAAACAACAGTGTTTCCAAACTGCTGAATCCAATGAAAGGTTTATCTCTATGAGAGGAATGAACACATCACAAAGCAGTTTCTCAGAAAAATTCTTTCTGGTTTGTATCTGAAGATATTTCCTTTTGCATAAGCATCAATGAGTTTCAAAACATCCCTTCACAGATTGTACCAAAAGAGTGTTTCCAAAGTGCTGAATGAAAAGAAAGGTTTAACTCTGCGAGCTGAATGCCCTCACCACAAAGCGGTTTTGCAGATAGCTTCCTTCTAGTTTTTATAATGCAATATTCACTTTTTTCATCTTTGGTGTCAATGAGCTCCCAATTATTCCTTTGCAGATGCTACAAAAACATTGTTTCTAAACTGCTGAATCTAAAGAACGTCTTAATTCAGTGAAATGAATGCACACATCACAAGCAGTTTCTCAGAAGGCATCTTTTTAATTTTTATCTGAAGATATTTCCTTTTTAACCATAGGCCTCAATGCACCCCCAAATATCCCTTTGCAGATTCTACAAAAACAGTGTTTCCAAACTGCTATAAGATAACAAATGTTTAACTCTGCAAGCTGAATGCACACATCAGAAAGTGGTTTCTCAACTAACTTCCTTCTAGTTTTTATTCAGTTATATTTGCTTTTTTGCCATTGGCCTCATTGAGCTCCCAAATGTCCATTTGCAGAATGGACAAAAACAATGTTTCCAAACTGCTGAATCCAAAGAAAGGTCTAACTCTGTGAGGTGATTTCACAAACCACGAGGCACTTTCTCAGAAAGCTTCTTTCTAGTTTTTATCTGGAGCTATTTCCATTTTCAACATAGGCCTCACTGCTCTCCATATACATCTTTGCAGATTCTACCAAAACAGTGTTTCCAAACTGCTGAATGGAAAAGAAAGTTTTAACTGAGAGTTGAATGCACACATCACAAATGGGTTTCGCAGATAGCTGCCTTCTAGTTTTTATCCTGGAATATTCACTTTTTCACCATTGACCTCAATGAGCTCCCAAATATCCATTCACAGAATGGACAAAACAATGTTTCCAAACTGCCAAATCCAAAGAAAGTTTTAACTCTGTGAGATGATTGCACAAATCACCAAGTAGTTTCTCAGAAAGCTTCTGTCTAGTCTAGTTTTTCTCTGAAGTTATTTCTGTTTTCAACACAGGCCTCAATGAGCTCCTGAATATCCCTTTGCAGATTCTACCAAAACAGTGTTTACAAACTGCTGAATGAAAAGAAAGCTTTAACTCTCTGAGATGAATGCACACATCACAAAATGGTTTCAAAAATAGCTTCCTTCTAGTTATTATCAAGGGATATTCACTTTTTCACCTTTGTCATCACTTATCTATCTAATATCCCATGGTAGATCCTCTACAAACAGTGTTTCCAAGCAGCTGGTTCCAAAGAAAGTTTTAACTCTGTGATATGGATGTACACATCACAAAGCAGTTTTTCAGAAAGATTCCTACTAGTTTTCATCTGAAGATATTTTCTTTTTCAAAATATGCCTCTATGTGATCCCACATATCCCTTCACAGATTCTACCAAAACAGTGTTTCCAAACTGCTGAATGAAAAGAAAAGTTTAAACTTGTGAGGTGAATGCACACATAACAAAGTGGTTTCTCAGATAGCTTCCTTCTAGTTTTTGTCCTGGGATATTCCTTTTTTTGCCATTGGCCTCAATGAGCTCCCAAATGTCCATTCGCAGAATGGACAAAAACAGTGTTTGCAAACTACTGAATCTAAAGAAAAGTTTAAAACTGTGAGATGACTGACACATCAAAAAGCAGTTTCTGAGAAAGCTTCTTTCTAGTTTTTATCTGCAGATCTGAAGATATTTCCTTTTTCACCATAGGCCTCAATGTGGTTCCTAATAACCCTATGCAGATTTGTCAAACACAGTTTTTCCAAACTGCTGAATGAAAAGGAAGTTTTAGTTCTGCAAGATGAATGCACACTACACAAAGTGGTTCCTCAGATAGCTGCCTTTTAGTTTTTATCCTGGTATATTTTCCTTTAGCGTCAATGAGCTCCCAAATATCTCTTCACAGTTTCTACAAAACAGTGTTTCCAAACTGCTGAATCCAAAGAAAGGTTTAACTCTGTGAGATGAATGCACACATTACAAGGCCGTTTCTCAGAAGACTTCTTTAGAGTTTTTATTAGAAAATATTTCCTTTTTCACCCTAGGCTTCAATGTGCTCCCAAATTTCTCTTCACAGATTCTACCAAAACTGTGTTTACAAACTGCTGAATGAAAAAAATGGTTTAAATCTGCAAGATGAATGCACACATCACAAGGCGGCTTTACAGATAGCTTCCTTCTAGTTTTTATAATGGAATGTTCTCTTTATCATTTTTGGCCTCAATGAGCTCCCAAATATCCCTTCGCATATTCTACAAAAACAGTGTTTCCAAACTGCTGAATGGAAGGAAAGGTATATCTCTGTGAGTTGAATGCACACATCACAAAGCAGTTTCTCAGAAAACTTCCTCCTATTTATTATGTGAAGTTATTTCATTTTTCACCATAGAACTCAATGCACTTCCAAATATCTCATCACAGATTCTACAAACACAGTGTTTCCAAACTGCTGAATGAAAAGAAAGATTTAAATTTGTGAAATGAGTGCACATATCACAAAACAGTTTCTCAGTTAGCTTCCTTCTAGTTTTAATCCTGGGATATTTGATTATTTGTCTTTGGCTTCAATGAGCTCCCTAATATCCCTTCACAGATTCTAAAAAAACAGAGTTTTGAAACTTCTTAATGAAAAGAAAGGTTTAACTCAGTGAGATGGGTGCACACATAACACAGAAGTTACTCAGAAAGATTCTTCCTATTTTTATCTGAAGATATTTCATTTTTCATCGTAAAAGCAGTTTGTCAGATAGCTTCTTTCTAGTTTTTTTCCTGGAATATGTGCAGTTTCGCCATTGGCCTCAATGATCCCCCAAATGTCCATTCGTAGAATGGATAAAAAGACTGTTTCCAGACTGTTGAAACCAAAGAAAGGTTTAACCCTGTGACACGAATGCACACATTACAAAGCAGTTTCTCAGAAGTCTTCTTTCCAGTTACTATCTGAAGATATTTCCTTTTCCACCATAGGCCTCAATGCGCTCCCAAATATCCCTTCATGGATTCTACCAAAGCTGTGTTTCCTAGCTGCTGAATTAAAAGAAAGGTTTATCTCTGTGAGTTGAGTGCACACATCACAAAGCGATTTCTCAGATAAACTCCTTCTAGTTTTTATCCTGGGGTGTTCACTTTTTCTCCATTATCCTCAGTAAGCTCCCAAATATCCATTCACAGGATGGACAAAACAGTGTTTCCAAACTACTAAATCCAAGGAAAGATTTAACTCTGTGAGATGAATACAAACATCACAAAGCAGTTTCTCAGAAGTCTGCTTTCTAGTTTTTATCTGAAGTTATTTCCTTTTTCACTGTAGGCCAAAATGCACTCCCTAATATTCCTTCATAGATTCTACAAAATCAGTGTTTCCAAACTGCTGAGAAAGGCATGGTTTACTTCTGTGAGATGACTGCACACATCACAAGTGATTTCTTATATAACTTCCTTCTAGTTTTATGCTGGATATTGGCTTTTTCACCTTTGGCCTCAATGAGTTCCCAAATATCCCTTCACAGATCCTACAAGAACATTGTTACCAATCTGCTGAATCCAAAGAAAGGCTTAACTCTGTGAGATGAATGGACACATCACAATGCAGTTTCTCAGAAAGTTTCTTTCTAGTTTTTATCTGAAGATATTTCCTTTTTAACCACAGGCCTCAATGCTCTCCCAAATATGCATTCACAGATTCCACTAAAACAGATGTTTCCAAACTGCTGAATGAAAATAAAATTTTAACTCTGCAAGACTAATACACACATTGCAAACCAGTTTATCAGATAGCTTCCTTGAAGTTTTTATCCTTGGGTATTTACTTTTTCACCACTGACCTCATTGAGCTCCCAAATATTTATTTGCTTATCCTACAAAAACCGTGTTTACAAACTGCTGAATTGAAAGAAGTTTTAAATCTGTGAGATGAATGAACATCACAAAGCAGTTTCTCATAAAGCTTCTTTTAGTGTTAATCTGAAGTTACTTTCTCTTTCACCATAGGCCTCAATGCACTTCCAAATATCCCTTTGCAGATACTACAAAAACAGTGCCTCCAAACTGAGAACTGAAAAGGATGGTTTACCTCTGCAAGATGAATGCACACATCACAAAGCTGTTTCTCAGATAGCTTCCTTCCAGTTTTTATCCTGGTATATTTGCTTTATCGCCTTTGGCCTCAATGAGCTCCCAAATATCTGTTTTTGTCCATTCTGCGAATGGACATATGGGAGCTCTTTGAGGCCAATGGTGAAAAAGTGAACATTGCAGCATAAAATCTAGAAAGTATTTTTCAGAGACACTGCTTTGTGATGTGTGCATTGGTCACACAGAGTTAAAGCTTTCTTTGGTTTCAGCAATTTGGAAATACTGTTTTTGTAGAATCTGCAAAGGGATATTTGGGAGCTCATTGAGGAGAAATGTGATAAAGTGAATATCCCAGTATAAAAACTAGAAGGAAGCTATCTGAGAAACTGCTTTGTGATGTGTGCATTCATATCACAGAGTTAAACATTGCTCTTCTTTCAGAAGTTTGGAAACAGTATTTTTTGTAGGATCTGAGAAGGGATATTTGAGAAGGCATTGAGGCATATGGTGAAAAAAGAAATATCTTCAGACAAATCCTAGAAAGAAGCTTTCTGAGCAACTGTTTTTGATGTATGCATTCATCTCACAGAGTTAAAACTATTTTAGGATTAAGCAGTTTGGAAAAACTGTTTTTGTCCATTCTGCAAATGGACATTTTGGAGCTCATTTAGGCCAATGTCAAAAAAGTGAATAACCCTGGATAAAAAATAGAAGAAAGCTATCGCAGAAACTGCTTTGTGATGTGTGCATTCTTCTCGAAGAGTTAAAATTTTCTTTTCATTCAAAAGTTTGGAAACACTGTTTGTGTTTTGGTGTAATCTATGAAGGGAAATTTGGGAGCACATTGAGGCCTAAGGCGAAAAAGGAAATATCTTCAGATAAAAACTAGATAGAAGTTGTCTAGGAAACTGCTTTGTGATGTATATATTCGTCTCAAAGAGTTAAACCTTTCTTTGGATTCAGCAGTTTGGAAACACTGTTTTTGTAGAGTCTACAAAGGGGTCTTTTGGAGCTCATTGAGTCTAAAGGTGAAAAAGTGAATATCCCAACATCAAAACTAGAAGGAAGCTATCTGAGAAACTGCTTTGTGATGGGTGCATTCATCTCGCAGAGTTAAAACTTTCTTTGGATTCAGCAATTTGGAAACACTGTTTTTGTAGAGTCTGCAAAGGGGTCTTTTGGAGCTCATTGAGTTTAAAGGTGAAAAAGTGAATATCCCAGCATCAAAACTAGAAGGAAGCTATCTGAGAAACTGCTTTGTGATGGGTGCATTCATCTCGCAGAATTAAAACTTTCTTTTCATTCAGCAATTTGGAAACAAAGTTTTGGTAGAATCTGCAAAGGGATTCTTCCACATGGAAGTGCTTCCATTCTTCCAGATGGAAGTGCTTTGAGGCCTAAGGTAGAAAGGGAAATATATTCAGATAAAAACTAGAAAGAAGCTTTCTGAGAAACTTTTTTGTGATGTGTGCAATCAAATGAGGGACTTAAACCTTCCTTTGGATTCAGCAGTTTGGAACCACTGTTTTTTTCCATTCTGTGAATGGACCTTTGGGATCTCATTGTGGTCAATGGTCAAAATGTGAATACCCCAGGTAAACACTAGAAGAAAGCTGTCTGAGAAAGTGCTTTGTGATATGTGATTTCATCTCACAGAGTTAAACCTTTCTTTTCATTCAGGAGTTTGGAACCACTGTTTTTGACCCTTCCGCGAATGGACATTTGGGTGCTCATTGTGGCCAATGGTGAAAATGCGAATATCCCAGGTAAAAACTAGAAGAAATCTGTCTGAGAAACTCCTTTGTGTTGTGTGCATTCATCTCACAGAGTTAAACAATTCTTTGCATTAAGCAGTTTGGAAATACTGTTTTTGTAGAAAGGGCGAAGGGATATTTGGGAGTTCATTGAAGCTGAAGGTGATAAAGCAAATATCCCAGGATAAAAACTAAAAGGAAGCTATCTGAGAAATCGCTTTGTGATGCATGCATTCATCTGGCACAGGTAAACCATCCTTTTCAGTCAGCAATTTGGAAACACTCTTTTTGTAGAATCTGTGAAGGGTTATTTGGGAGCAGTCTGTGGCCTATGGTGAAAAAGGAAATACCTTCAGATAAAAACTAGAAAGAAGCTTTCTGAGAAACTGCTTTGTGATGTGTGCATTCAACTCAACTTGCAGAGCTAAACCTTTCTTTGGTGTCAGCAGTTTGGAAACACTATTTTTGTAGAATTTGCAAAGGGATATTTTGTAGCTGATTGAAGCCAAAGGCAATAAAGCAAATATCCCATCATAAAATCTAGAAGGAAACTATGTAAGAAACCACTTTGTGATGTGTGCATTCATCTCGCCATTTTAAACTTCTCTTTTTATTCAGCGCTTTGGAAACACTGTTTTTGTCCATTCTGTGAAAGGAAGTTTGGGAGCTTCTTCAGGCCAATGGGGAAAAAGAGAACATCCAAGGATAAAAACCCTAAGGAAGCTAGCTGAGAAACAGCTTTGTGATGTGGACATTCATCTTGCAGATTTAAACCTTTGTGTTCATTCAGCAGTTTGGAAACACTGTTCTTGTAGAATCTTTGAAGGGATATTTTGGAACGCATGGAGGCCTATGGTGAAAAAGAAAATGTCTTCAGGTAAAAACCATAAAAAAGGTTTCTGAGAAACTGCTTTGTGATCGGTGCATTCATCTCACAGAGCTAAACCTTTCTTTGGATTCAGCAGTTTGGAAACACCGTTTTTATCCATTCTGCAAATGTACATTTGGGAGCTCATTGAGGCCAAATGCAAAAAAGCAAATATCCCAGGATCTAAAGTAGAAGGAAGCTATCTGAGAAACTGCTTTGTTATGTGTGCATTCATCTCACAGAGTTAAACCTTTCTTCAGATTCAGCAGTTTGGAAACACTGTTTTTGTTCATTCTGCAAATGGACATTTGAGAGCTCATTGAGGACAATGGGGAAAAAGCAAATATCCCAGGATAAAAACTAGGAGAAAAATATCTTAGAAACAACTTTGTGGTGTGTGCATTCATCTCACAGAGGTAAAGCATTCTTCCATTCAGCAGTTTGGAAACACTGTTTTGGTATAATCTGTGAAGGGACATTCTGGAGCACATTGAAGCGTATGGTGAAAAATGAATTATCTGCAGACAAAAACTAAAAAGAAGCTCTCTGTGAAACCGATTTGTGATGTGTGCATTCATCCCACAGAGTTAAACTATACTTTTCATTCAGCTTTTTGGAAAACCCGTTTTGGTAGAATTTGTGAATGGATATTTCAGAACCCTTTGAGGCCTATGGTGAAAAAGGAAATATCTTCAGATAAAAACTAGAATGATGTTTTCTGAGAAACTGGTTTGGGATGTATGCATCCATCTCAGAGAGTTAAAAATTTCTTTGGATTCAGCAGTTTGGCAACACTGTTTTTGTCCATTCTGCGAATGGACATTTGGGAGCTCATTGAGGCCAATGGCAAAAAAAGCAAATATCCCAAGACAAAAACTAGAAGGAAGCTATTTGAGAAACCACATTGCGATGTGTGCATTCATCTAACAAAGTTAAAATTTCTTTTGATTCAGCAATTTGGCAACACTGTTTTTCTAGAATGTGTGAAGGGATATTTGGCAGTGCATTGAGGCCTGAAGTGAAAAAAGAAATACCTTCAGATAAAAACTAGAAAGAAGCTTTCTGACAAACTGCTTTGTGATGTGTTCATTCATCTCACAGAGTTAAAACTTTGCTTGGATTCAGCAGTTTGGAAATACTGTTTTTGTCCATTCTGCGAATTGACACTTGGGAGTTTATTGAGTCCAATGGCAAAAAAGTGAATACACCTGGATAAAAACTAGAAGAAAGTTTTCTGAGAATCTTATTTGTGATGTTTGCATTCATCTCACAGAGTTAAACCATTCTTTTCATTCAGCAGTTTGGAAACACTGTTTTCTTAGAATCTGTGAAGATATATGTGGTAGTGCATTGGGGCCTATGGTGAATATGAAATATGTTCAGATAAAAACTAGAAAGAATGTTTCTGAGAAAGTTCTTTGTGATGTGTTCTTTCACCTCACAGAGTTAAACCTTTGTTTGAATTCTGCAGTTTGTAAACACTATTTTTGTCCATTCTGCATATGGACATTTGGGAGCTCATTGAGGCCAATGGCAAAAAAAAGGAATATACCTGGATAAAAACTGGAAAGAAGTCCTCAGAGAAACCGATTTGTGATGTGTGCATTCATTTCACAGAGTTATACCTTTCTTTTCATTCAGTAGTTGGGAAACTCTGATATCTTACAATCTGAGAAGATGTATTTTCTAGAGCCTTCAGGCCTATGGTGAAAAAAGAAATATCTTCAGATAAAAACTAGAAAGAAGCATTCATGAGAAACTGTTTTGGGATGTGTGCATTCATCACATAGAGTTAAACATTTCTTTGGATTCTGCAGTTTTGTAACACTGTTTTTATCAATTCTGCAAATGGACATTTGGGAACTCATTGAGGCCAATGGCAAAAAAGCGATTATCCCTGGATGAAAACTACAAGGAAGTCATATGAGAAACTGATTTGTGATCTGTGCATTCATCTCACAGAGTTAAATATTTCTTTTCATTGAGGAGTTTGGAAACAGTTTTTTGAGAATGTACAAAGAGATATTTGGAAACGTATGGAGGCCAATGGGGAAACAGGAAATATCTTCAATTAAAAACTAGAAAGAAACTTAATCAGAAACTGGTTTGGGGTGTGTACATTCAACTCAGAGAGTTAAACTTTTCTTTGGATTAAGCAGTTTGGCAACACTGTTGTTGTCCATTCTGTGAAAGGACGTTGGGAGCTCATTGACTCCAATGGCGAATACTGCAAATATCTCAGGAGTAAACTAAAGCTATCTGAGAAATTGCTCGGTATGTGTGCATTCATCTAGCAGAGAAAAACCTTTCTTTTCATTCAGGAGTTCAGAAGTTCTGTTTTCTACAGACTGTGAAAGGATATTTGGCAGCACATTGAGGCCCATGGTGAAAAAGGAAAAATATTAAGATAAAAACTAGAAAGAGCCTTTCTATGAAACTGCTTTCTGATGTGTGCATTCATCTCACAGAGTTAAACCTTTCTTTTCATTCAGCAGTTTGGCAACACTGATATCTTAGAATCAGGGAAGAGATATTCAGTAAAGCATTGAGACCTAGGGTGAAAAAGGATATATCTTCAGATAAAAACTAGAAAGAAGATTCATGAGAAATTGGTTCGGGTTGTATGCATTCATCTCATTGTTAAACCTTTGTTCAGTTTCAGCAGTTTGGTAACACTGTTTTTTTTCCATTCTTTGAATGGACTTTTGGGAGCTCATTGAGGTCAATGGTGAAAAAGGAAATATCCCAGGATTAAAACTAGAGGGAAGCTATCTGTAAAATCTCTTTGTCATACATGCATTCTTCTAGCAGAGTTAAACATTTCTATTCCTTCAGCAGTTTAGAAACACTGTTTTTGTAGAAACTGTGAAAGAATATTTGTCAGTGCATTGATGCCTATGGTGAAAAAGGAAATATCTTCAGATAAAAACTAGAAAGAAGCTTTCTAAGAAACTCCTTTGTGATGTGTTCATTCATCTCACAGAGTTAAACTTTTCTTTGGGTTCAGCAGCTTGGAAACACTGTTATTTTCCATTCTGTGAATGGATATTTGGGAACTCATTGAGGCCAATCATGAAAAAGCAAATATCCCAGGATAAAAACTAGAAGGATCTTATCTGAGAAACTGATTCATGATGTGTGCATTCATCTCACAGATTTAAATCTTTCTTTTCACTCATGAGTTTGGAAACACTCTTTTCTTAGAATCTGTGAGTAGATATTTGGAAGAATATTGAGGCCTATAGTGCAAAAGCAAACATCTTCAAATAAAAACCAGAAAGAAGCTTAAAGAGAAAGTGGTTTGGGATGTTTGCATTCAACTCTGAAAGTTAAACCTTTCTTTGGATTCAGCAGTTTGTTGACACTGTTTTTGTCCATTCTGTGAATGGACATTTGGGAGCTCATTGAGGCCATTGCTGTAAAACCAAATATCCCAGGATAAAAACTAGAAGGAAATTGTCTGAGAAACTGATTCGTGATGTGCGCATTCATTTCACAGAGTTAAACTGTTCTCTTCATTCAGCAGTTTAGAAACACTGTTTTCTTAGAATCTGCAAAGAAATATTTGGAAGAGTGTGGAGGCCAATGGTGAAAAAGGAAATATCTTCAGTTAAAAACTAAAAAGAATCTTAATGAGAAACTTTTGGGATGTGTGCATTCATCTCAGAGAGTTAAACCTTTCTTTTCATTTAGCAGTTTGGAGACACTGATTTGCTACAATCTGTGAAGAGATATTTGGTAGTGCATTGAAACCTATGCTGAAAAAGGAAATGTCTTCATTTAAAAACCAGAAAGAAACTTAATGAGAAACTGGTTTTGGTTGTGTGCATTCACCTCACAGAGTTAAACCTTTCTTTGGATTCAGCAGTGTAGTAACACTGTTTTTGTCCGTTCTGCGAGTGGACATTTGGGGGCTCATTGAGGCCAATGGCGAAAAAGAGAATATTACAGGAAAAAAAGTAGAAGGAAGCTATCTGAGAAATTGCTTTGTGATGTATGCATTCATCTAGCAGAGTTAAACCTTTCTTTTCTTTCAGCAGTTTAGAAATATTGTTTTTATAGAAACTGCAAAAGGATACTTGGTAGTGCTTTGAGGCCTTTTGGTGAGTAAGAAATATGTTCAGATAAAAACTAGAAAGAGCAGTTTGGAAACACTCTTTTCTGAGAATCTTCAAAGAGATATTTGGAAGAGTATGGGGGCCAATGGTGAAAAAGGAAATATCTTCAATTAAAAACTAGAAAGAAGCTTAATGAGAAACTGGCTTGGGATGTGTACATTCATCTAAGAGAGTTAAACTTTTCTTTGGATCGAGCAGTTTCTTAACACTGTTTTTGTCCATTCTGTGAATGGACCTTGGGAGCTCATTGACGGCAATGGTGAATAAGCAAATATCTCAGGATTAAAACTAGAAGGAAGTGATCTGAGAAACTGCTTTGTGAAGTGAGCATTCATCTAGCAGAGATAAACCTTCCTTTTCATTTAGTAGTTTGGAAACACTGTTTTTTTAGAAACTGCAAAAGGAAATTTGGGAGTGCATTGAGGCCCATGGTGAAAAAGGAACTATCTTAAGATAAAAACTAGAATGAACCTTTCTGAGAAAATGCTTTCTGATGTTTGCATTCATTTCACAGAATGAAACGTTTCTCTGGATTCAGCAGTTTGGAAACACTGTTGTTGTAGAATCTGTGAAAGGATGTTTGGTAGCTCTTTGAGGTCAATGGTGAAAAAGTGAATATCACAATATAAAAACTAGAATGAAGGTATTTGAGAAACTGCTTTGTGATATGTGCATTCACCTCACAAAATTAAACTTTTCTTTTCATTCAGCAGATTGTAAACACTGTTTTCCTAGAGTCTGCAAAGTGATATATGGGAGTGCTTTGAGGCCTATGGTGAAAAAGGAAATATCTTCAGGTAAAAACTAGAAAGAAGCTTTCTGATAAACTGCTTTGTGATGTGTATATTCATCTCACAGAATTCAAACTTTCTGCTTATTGAGTACTTTGCAAACACTGTTTTTGTCCATTCTGTGAATGGACATTTGGGAGCTTTTTGAGGTTAATGGCAGAAAAGTGAATATCCCAAGATAAAAACTAGAAGGAAGCTATTTGAGAAATTGCTTTGTGATGTGTGCATTTACCTCACAGAGTTAAACCTTTCTTTTCATTCAGCAGTTTGGAAACATTGTTTTCAAAGTATTTATGAATGGATATCTGGGAGCGCCTTGAAGCCAATGGCGAAAAAGGAAATATCTTCACATAAAAACTAGAAACAAGCATTCTGAGAAACTGCTTTGTGATGTCTGCATTCATCTCACAGAGATAAACATGTCTGTGGATTCAGCAGTTTGCAAACACTGTTTTCGTCCATTCTGTGAATGGACGTTTGTGAGCTCATTGAGGCCAATGGTGAAAAAAGGAATATTGAAAGGTAAAAACTAGAAGGAAGCTATTTGAGCAATTGATTTTGATGTGTGAATTCTCACAGAGCTAAAACCTTCTTTTCATTCAGCAGTCTGGAAACAGTGTTTTGGCAGAATCCACGAAGGGATATTTAGGATTGCATTGTGATCTATGGTGAAAAATGAAATATCTTCTGATAAAAACTAGAAAGAAACTTTCTGAGAAACTGCATTATGATCTGTGCATTCTTATCACAGAGTTAAACCTTTCTGTGCATTCAGCAGTTTGCAAACACTATTGTAGAATCTGTTAATGGACATTTGGGAGCTCATTGATTCCAATGGTGAAAAAGGGACTATCCCAGGATAAAAACTAAAACGAAGCTATCTGAATAACTGCTTTCTGATGTGTGCGTTCACCTCGTAAATTTAAAATGTTCTATTCATACAGCAGTCTGGAAACACTGTCTTGGCAGAATCTACAAAGGGTTATTTTGAGTGCATTTAGGCCTATGGTAAAAAAGGAAATATCTTCAGATAAAAACATAAAGAGTCTTACTGAGAAACTGCTTTATGATGTGTGCATTCATTTCACAGAGTTAAACCTTCCTATGGAATCAGCAATTTGGAAACTGTTGTAGGATCTACAAAGGGATTTTTAGAAACTCATTGAGATCAATGGCAAAAAAGCAAATATTCCAGGATAAAAACTGGAAGAAAGCTATTTGAGAAAGCTCTTTGTGATGTGTGCATTCATCTCGAAAAATTAAACCTTTCTTTGGATTCAGCAATTTGGAAACCCTGTTTCTGTAGAGTCTGCGAATGGACATTTTGGAGCTCACTGAAGCCAATGGCAAAAAAGTGAATATCCCGGGATAAAAACTAGAAAGACGCTTTCTGAGAAACTGCATTTTCATCTGTGCATTCATCTTACAGAGTTAAACCTTTCAGTGTATTCAGCCATTTGTAAACACAGTTTTTGCTCATTCTGTGAATGTACATTTAGGAGATCATTGAGGCCAAATGTGAAAAAGCAAATATCCCAGGATGAAAACTAGAAGGAAGCTATCTGAGAAACTGTGTGTGATGTGTTCATTCACCTCATAGAGGTAAAACTTTCTCTTCATTCAGCAGTTGGGATACACTGTTTTGGCAGAATTCCTGAAGGTGTATTGGGGAGAGAGAGAGGCCTATGGTGAAAGAGGAAATATCTTTAAATAAAAACTAGAGAGAAGCTTTCTGAAAAACTGCTTTGTGATGTGTGCATTTCTCTCAAAAAGTTAAACTTTTCCTTGGATTCAGCAGTTTGGAAACACTGTTGTCATAGAATCTGTGAAGGGATACTTGGTAGCTTAATGAGGCCAAAGTTGTAAAATCGAATATCCCAGGAAAAAAATTAGAAGAATTCTATCTGAGAAACCACTTTGTGATGTGTGCATTTATCTCTCAGAATTAAAACTTTCTTTTAAAATTTTCCTGTGGATTCAACAGTTTGCAAACCCTGATTTGTTCATTCTGTGAAAGGAAATTTCTTCAGCTCATTGAAACTAACGGTGATAAAGTGAATATCCCGGGTGGATTCAACAGTTTGCAAACTCTGTTTTTGTCCATTCTGTGAAAAGAAATTTCTTCAGCTCATTGAAATCAATGGTGATAAAGCAAATATCCCGGGATAAAAACTAGAAGAAAACTTTCTGAGAAAGTGCTTAATGATATGTGTATTCATCTCACAAAGAAAAAACTTTCTTTTCATTCAGAAGTATGGAAACACTCTTTTGCAAGAATCTGTGAAGGGATATTTGGGAGCACATTGAGACCTATGGTGAAAAAGGAAATATCTTCAAATAAACACTAGAAAGAAGCTTTCTGAGAAACTGCTTTGTCATGTGTGTACTCATCTCACAGAATTAAACATTTCTTTGGATTCAGCAGTTTGGAAACACTGTTGCTGTAGAATGTGCAAAGGGATATTTTGGATCTTAATGAGGCCAGTGGCATAAAAACGAATATCCGAGGGAAAAAAATCTAGAAGAAAGCTATCTGATAAAACACTTTGTGATGTGTACATTCATCTCTCAGCATTAAAACTTTCTTTTCATTCAGCAGTTTGGAAACACTGTTTTGTAGAATCTGCCAAGTTACATTTGGGAGTGCATTAAGACCTATGGTGAAAAAGGAAATATCTTCAGATGAAAACTAGAAAGAAGCATTCTGAGAAACTGCTTAATGATGAGTGCATTCATCTCACAGAATTAAATATTTCTGAGGATTCAGCCGTTTGCAAACACTGTGTTTGTCCAATCTGCAAAAGGACATTTGGGAGCTCCTTGAGACCAATAACCAAACAGTAAATATCCAAGGATAAAAACGAGAAACAAGCTATCTGAGAAACTGCTTTGTGATGTGTGCATTCACCTCACAGATTTAAAACTTCCTTTTCAATCAGCAGTTTAGAAACTCTGTTTTTGTAGAATTTGTGAAGAAATATCTGGGACTGCATTGAGACCTATGGTGAAAAAGGAAATGTCTTCAGATAAAAACTAGAAAGAAGCTTTCTGAGAAACTGCTTTGTGATGTGTGCTTTCATCTGTAGAATCTGTGAAGTGATATCTGGGAGTGCATTGAGGCCTATGGTGAAAAAGGAAATAGCTTCAAATAAAAACTATAAAGAGGCTTTCTGATAAACTGCTTTGTAATGTGTGCATTCACCTTGCAGTGCTAAAACTTTCTTTTCAAATGGCAGTCTAGAAACACTGTTTTGGAAGAACCCATGAAGGTATATTTGGAAGTGCTTTGAGGCCTATGGTGAAAAAGGAAATATCTTCAGATAAAAACTAGAAAGAAGCTTTTTGAGAAACTGCTTGTGATGAGTTCATTCAACTCACAGAGTTAAACATTTCTTTGGATTCAGCAGTTTGGAAACACCATTATTGTAGAATCTGCAAAGGGATATTCCGGAGGTTAATGAGGCCAACAATGACACAGCAAATATCCCAGGAAAAAAACTAGAAGGAAGCAATCTGAGAAATTGCTTTGTGATGTGTGCATTCATCTCACAGAGGTAAAATTTATTTTCATTCAGCAGTTTCAAAACACTGTTTTCGTAGAATCTGTGAAGGGATATCTTGGAGCACATTGAGGTTTATGGTGAAAAAGTAAATATATTCAGATACAAACTAGAAAGAAGCTTTCTACAAATATGTTTGTGACGTGGGCATTCATCTCGCAGAGTTATAACTTTCTGTGCATTCAACACTTTGCAAACACTGATTTTGTTTATTCTGTGAATGAACATTTGAGAGCTCATTGAAGCCAATGGCAAAAAAGTGAATATGCCAGGACAAAAAGTACAAATAAGCTATCTGAGAAACTGCTTTGTGATGTGTGTGCATTCACCTCACATATTTAAAACTTTCTTTTCATACAGCAGTCTGGAAAAACTGTTTTGGCAGAATCTGTGAAGGGATATTTGGGAGCACATTAAGGCCCATGGTGAAAAAATAAATTTTTTCAGATAAAAAGTAGAAAGAAGCATTCTGAGAAACTTATTTGTGATGTGTTCACTCATCTCACAGAGTTAAACCTTTCTTTGGATTTAGCATTTTGGAAACACTGTTGTTGTAGAATCCACAAAGGGATATTTGGGAGTTCATTGAGGCCAATGGCGAGAAAGTGAACATCCCAGGATAAAAACCAGAAAGAAGCTCTCTGAGAAACCTCTTTGTGATGCATGCATTCAACTCACAGAGTTAAAAGTTTCTTTTCATACAACAGTCTGGAAAAAATCTTTTGGCAGGATCCATGAAGGGATATTTGGGAGTGCATTGAGGCCTATGGTGAAAAAGGAAATATCTTCAGATAAAAACTAGAATGAAGCTTTCCGAGAAACAGCTTTTTGATGTGTGCATTCATCTCACAGAGTTAGAATTTTCTTTGGATTCAGCAGGTTGGAAACACTGTTTTTATACAATCCGCAAACGGATATTTGGGAACTCATTGAGGCCAGTGGCAAAAAAGCAAAAATCCCAGGTTAAAAACTACAAAGAAACTATCTGAGAAGCCTCTTTGTGATGTGTGCATTCACCTCACAGAGTTAAAAGTTTCTTTTCATACAGTAGTCTGGAAACACTGTTTGGCAGAATCTGCAAAGGGATATTTGGGAGCGCATTCAGGCCAATGGTGTAAAAGGAAATATCTTCAGATAAAAACTAGAAAGGAGCTTTATGAAAAACTCTTTTATGATGTGTGCAGTCACCTCACAGAGTTAAACCTTTCTGTGGATTCAGCCATTTGCAAACACTATTTTGTCCATTCTGAGAATGGACATTTGGGTGCTCATTGAGCTCAATTGGCCAATTGCAGAAAAGTGAATATCCCAGGATAAAAATAAGAAGGAAGTTATTTTAAAAACCGATTTCTGACGTGTGCATTCACCCCAGAGACATAAACTTTTCTTTTCATTCAACAGTCTGAAAACACTATTTTCCAGAAACCACAAAGAGATATTTGGGAGCACATAGGGGCCAATGGTGTAAAAGCAAATATCTTCACATAAAAACTCGAAAGATTTCTGAGAAAGAGTTTGTGATATGTGCATTCATCTCACAGAGCTAAACCTTTCTTTAGATTCAGCAGTTTGGAAACACTATTGTTGTAGGATCTGCAAAGGGATATTTGGTAGCTAATTGAGTCCAATGGTGAAAAAGCAAATATCCCAGGATAAAACTAGAGGCAATCTATCTGAGAAATCGTTTGTGACGCGTGAATTGACTTCACACAGAAAAAAATTTCTTTTCATTCAGCAGTCTGTAAACACTGTTTTGGCAGAATCCGCAAAGATACATGTGGGAGTGCATTGAGACCTATGGTGAAAAAGGAAATATCTTCCAATAAAAACTAGAAAGAAACTTGCTGAGAAACTGCTTTGTGATGTGTGCATTCAACTCACAGATTTAAACTTTTCTGTGGATTCAGCAGTTTGCAAACACTGTTTTTTCCATTCTGCAAATGGACATTTGGGAGCTCATTGAGGCCAGTGACAAAAAAACCAATATCCCAGGATAAAAGCTGGTAGAAAGCTATTTGAGAAACTGCATTGTGGTGTGTGCATTCATCTCACAGAGATAAACCTTTCTCTTCATTCAGTAGTCTGGAAACACTGTTTGCCAGAAGCCACGAAGGAATATTTGGGAGAGCATAGATACCAGTGGTGAGAAAGGAAATATCTTCAGATAAAAATTAGAAAGAAGCTTTCTGAGAAACAGCTTTGTGATGTGTGCATTCATCTCACAGAGTTAAACCTTTCTGTGGATTCAACAGTTTGCAAATTCTCTTTTTGCCCTTCTGCAAATAGAAATTTTTGAGCTTATTGATGCCAATGGCAAAAAAGTGAGTATCCCAGGATAGAAAATAGAAAGAAGCTATTTTAGAAACCGCTTTTTGATGTCTGCATTCTTCTCTCAGAGTTAAACCTGTCTTTTCTTGCAGCAGTTTGTAAACCCTGTTTTCATAGAATCTATGAAGGGATATCTGCAAGCACATTGAGACCTATGGAGAAAAAAGAAATATCTTCAGATAAAAACTAGAAAGAAGGTTTCTGAGAAACTCCTTTGTGATGCTTGCATTCATCTCAAGAGTTAAACCTTTCTTTGGATTCAGCAGTTTGGAAACACAGTTGTTGTAGAATCTGTGAAGGGATATGTGGGAGCTCATTGAGGCAAATGGCAAAGAAGTAAGTATCCCAACATAAAAACTAGAAGGAAGCTCTTTGAGAAACTGCCTTGTGATATTTGCGTTCATCTCACAGAGTTAAAATTTGTTTTCACAGAATAGTTGGGAAACACTGTTTTCATAGAATCTGCAAAGTTATATTTGGGAGCGCTTTGAGACCTATGGTGAAAAAGGAAATAACTTCAGAAAAAAAGCTAGAAAGAAACTTTCTGGGAAACTGCATTGTGATGTGTGCATTCATCTCACACAGTTAAAGCCTTCTGTGGAATCATCAGTCTAGAAACACTGTTTCTCTCCATTCTGCAAATGGACATTTGAGATCTCCTTGAGGCCAATGGTGGAAAAGGGAATAATCCAGGGTAAAAACTGGAAGGAAGTTATCTATGAAACCGCTTTCAAAGTATGAATTCACCTCTCAGAGATAAACCTTTCTTTTCATTCAGCATTCTGGAAAAACTGTTTTGGCAGAATCTGCAAAGGGATATTTTGGAGCGCATTGAGGCCTGTGGTGAAAAAGGAAATATCTTCAGAGAAAAACTAGATAAAAGCTTTCTGAGAAACTGCTTTGTGATGTGTGCAGTCACCTCACAGAGTTAAGCCATTCTTTTGATTAGGCAGTTTGGAAACACTGTTGTTTTAGAGTCTGCGAAGGGATATTTGGGAGCTTAAAGAGGCCAAAGGCGAAAAAGCGAACACCCCAGGAAAAACGGAAAGGAAACTATCTGAGAATCCGCTTTGTGATGTGTTCATTCATCTCTCAGAGTTAAACCTTTCTTTTCATCCAGCAGCTTGAAAACACTGTTTTTGTGGTACCTGTGAAGTTATATTTGGGCGCACATCCAGGCCTATAGGGAAAATGGAAATATCTTCAGATAAAAATGAGAAAGAAGCTTTCTGAGAAGCTGATTTCTAATGTGTGAATTCATCTCACAGAGTTAAGCATTTCTGTGTATTCAGCAGTATGGAAACACTGTTGTAGAATCTGTGAAAGGATATTTGGGAGCTTATTGAGGCCAAAGGCAAAAAAGCAAATATCCCAAGTAAAAAACAAGAAGGAAGCTGTCTGAGAAACTGCTTGGTGATGTGTGCATTCACCTCGCAGAGTTAAAACTTCCTTTTCATTCAGCAATTTGGAAACACTGTTCTGGCAGGATCATTGAAGGGATATTTTGCAGAACATTGAGGCCTATGGTGAAAAAGGAAATATCTTCAAATAAAAACTAGAAAGAAACATTCTGAGAAACTGCTTTGTGGTGTGTGCATTCATCTCACAGAGTTAAACCTTCATTTGGATTCAGCAGTTTGGAAACACTGTCACTGTAGAATCTGCAAAGTTATATTTTGGAGCTCATTGAGGACAATGGTGAGAAAGCAAATATCCCAGGATAAAAACTACAAGGAAGCTATTTGGGAAACAGCTTTGTGATGTGTGCATTCATCCAGCAGAGTTAAACCATCCTTTTCATTCAGCAGTTTGGAAACACCATTTTAGTAGAATCTGTGAAGGGATATCTGGGAGTGCTTTGGGACCTATGGTGAAAAAGGAAATATCTTCGGATAAAATCTAGAAAGCAGCTTTCTGAGAAACTGCTTTGTGATGGTTGCATTAACCTCACAGAATTAAACCTTTCTATGATTTCAGCAGTGTGCAAACAGTTTTTGCCCTTTCTGCAAATGGACATTTGAGAGCTCATTGAGGCCAATGGTGAAAAAGCGAATATTCCAGAATAAAATTCTAGAAGGAAGCTTTCTGAGAAACGAGGTTGTGATGTGTGCATTCACCTCTAAGAGTTAAACCATGTTTTAATTCAGTAGTATTCAACACTCTTTTTGTAGAATCCATAAAAGAATATTTGGGAGCACATAGAGGCCTATGTAAAAAAGGAAATATCTTCAGATAAAAACTAGAAAGAAGCTTTCTGAGAAACTGCTTTAAGATGTGTGCATTCTTCTCACAGAGTTAAACCTTTCTTTGGACTCAACAGTTTGAAAACACTGTTGTTGTAGAATCTGTGAAGGGATATTTGGGAGCTCATTTAGGCCAAGGGCAAAGAAGTGAATATCCCACGATAAAAACTAGAAGGAATCTCTTTGACAAACCCCTTTGTGATGTGTGTATTCATCTCACAGAGTTAAACCTTTCTTTTCATTCAACAGTTTGGAAACACTGTTTTCATACAAAGTGTGAAGGGATATCTGTGAGCACATTGATGCCTATGGTGAAAAAGGAAATATCTTCTGATAAAAACTAGAAAGAATCTTTGTGAGAAACTGCTTTGTGATGTGTGCATTTACCTCACAGAGTTAAACCTTTGTGTGGATTCAACAGTTTACAAATACTGTTTTTGTCCATTCTGCCATTGGATATTTGGGAACTCGTTGAGGCCAATGGTGAAAAAGTGAATATCCTAGGATAAAAACTAGAAGGAAGCTATCTGAGAAAGAACTTTGTGATGGGCACGTTCAACTCGCAGAGATAAACCTTTCTTTTAATTCTGCAGTCTGGAAACACTGTTTTGGCAAAATCCGTGAACGGATATTTGGGAGTGCATTGAGGCCTATGGTGAAAAAGGAAATATCTTCAGATGAAACCAAGAGAGAAGCTTTCTGAGAAACTGCTTTGTGATGCATGTATTAATCTCATAGAGTTAAACGTTTCTTTTCATTAATCTGCTTGGAAACACTGTTTTCATAGAATCTGCAAAGTGATATCTGGCAGCGCATTAAGGCCTATGGTGAAAAAGGAAATATCATCAGAAAAAAACTAGAAGGAAACTTTCTGATAAACTGCTTTGAGATGTGTGCGTTCATCTCAAAGAGTTAAAATTTTCTTTTGATACAGCATTTTGAAAACACTTTTGTTGTCCATTCTGCAAATGGACATTTGGGAGCTCATTGAGGCCAATGGCAAAAAAGGGAATATCTCAGGATAAAAACTAGAAGGAGGCTATTTGAGAAACTGCTTTGTGACATGTGCATTCATCTCAAAGAGTTAAACCTTTCTTTTCAATCAGCAGTTTGGAACACTGTTTTCAGAGAATCTGTGTAGGGATATCTGGGAGCACATTGAGGCCTATGGTGAAAAAGGAAATACTTCAGATAAAAACTAGAAAGAAGCTTTCTGAGAAACTGCTTTATGATGTGTGCCCTCATCTCACAGAGTGAAACCTTTCTTTGGATTCAGCAGTTTGGAAACACTGTTGTGTTAGAATCTGCAAAGAGATATTTGGGAGATCATTGACACCAATGGTGAAAAAGCAAACATCCAAGAATAAAAACTTGAAGGAAGTTATTTGATAATCCGTTTTGTGATTTGAGCATTCATCTTCAGTGTTAAAACTTTCTTTTCATTCAGCAGTCTGGAAACACTGTTTCAGCAGAATCTGCGAAGGGATATTTTGGAGCACATTGAGGCCTATGGTGAAAAGAAAATATCCTCAGTTGAAAACTAGAAAGAAGCTTTCTGAGAAACTGCTTTGTGATGTGTGCATTCATCTCACAGAGTTAAACCTTTCTTTGGATTCAGCAGTTTGGAAACAATGTTGGTGTAGAACCTACAAAGTGATATTTGAGAGAATATAGAGGCCTATGGTGAAAAAGGAAGTATCTTCAGATAAAAACTAGAGAGAAGATTTCTATGAACAGCTTCGTGATGTGTGCATTGCTATCACAGAGTTCAACTTGTCTTTGGAGTAAACATTTTGCAAACACTGTTTATGTCCATTGTGTAAATGGACATTTTGGAGCCCATTAAGGCCAAAGGGAAAAAAGTGAATATCCTAGGATAAAAACTACAAGGAAACTATGTGTGGAAACACTTTGTGACTTATGCATTCATCTCACAGAGTTAAAACTGTCTGTTCATTCTGCAGTTTGGAAACACTGTTTTCCTGGAATCTGTGAAGGGATATCTGGGAGTGCATTGAGGCCTATGGTGAAAAAGGAAATAACTTCAGATAAAAGCTAGAAAGGAGTTTTCTGGGAAACAGCTTTGTGATGTGTGGTTTTGTCTCACAGAGTTAAACCATTCTGGGGATTCAGCAGTTTGCAAACACTGTTTTTGTCCATTCTGTGAATAGGCATTGTGGAGCTCATAGAGGCCAATGTTAAAAAAGCTAATATCCCAGGATAAAAACTGAAATGAAGCTATCTGAGAAACTGCTTTCTGATGTGTGCATTCAGCTCACAGAGATAAATTTTTATTTTCATTCAGCAATCTGCAGACATTTTTTTGGCAGAATCCGGGAAGGTATATTTGAGAGCACATTGAGGCCTATGGTGAAAAAGGAAATATCTTCAGATATAAACTGGAAAGAAGCTTTCTGAGAAACTGCCTTGTGATGTGTGCATTCACCTCACAGAGTTAAAACTTTCTGTGGATTCAGCAGTTTTCAAACACTGTTGTTGCACAATCTGTGAACGGATATTTGGGAGCTCATCGAGGCCAATGGCGACAAAATGAATATCCCAGGTTAAAAGCTAGAAGGAAGCCATCAGAGGAACTGCTTTGTGTTGTGTGCATTCACCTCACAGATTTAAAACCTTCTTTTCATTCAGCAGTCCAGAAAAACTGTTTTGGCAGAATCCGCAAAAGGATATTTGGGAGTGAATTAAGGCTTATGGTGAAAAAGTAAATATCTTCAGATAAAAACTAGAAAGAAGTTTTGTGAGAAACTGCTTTGTGATGTGTGCATTCATCTCACAGAGTTAAAGCTTTCAGTTGAGTCAGCAGTTTGGAAAAACTGTTTTTGTCCATTCTGTGAATGGATATTTGGAAGCTCATTGAGGACAATGGCAAAAAAAGTTAATATGCCAGGATAAGAACTAGAAAGAAGCTATCTGAGAAACAACTTTTTGAAATGTGTGTTCACCTCACAGAGTAAAAACTTTCTTTTCATACAGCACTCTGGAAACACTGTCTTTGTAGTATCCACGAAGTTATATTTTTGAGTGCATAGAATCCTCTGCAAACAAAAGAAATATCTTCAGATAAAAATTAGAAGGAAGCTTTTGGAGAAAATTCTTTGTGATATGTGCATTCATCTCACATAATTCAACCTTTCTTTGGATTAAGCAGTTTGCACACATTGTTTTTGTCCATTTGCAAGTGGACATTTGGGAGCTCATTGAGACCAAAGACGAAAAAGCGAATATGCCAGGATAAAAACTAGATGGAAGCTGTTTGAGAAACCATTTTGGGATGTGTGTATTCATCTCGTAGAGTTCAACTTGTCTTTTCATTCAGCAGTTTGGAAACACTGTTTTTGAGGAAACTGTGAAGGGATATCTGGGAGCTCACTGAGTCCAATGTGAAAATGCAAATATCCCAGGATAAAAACTAGAAGAAAACTAATTGAGAAACTGCTTCATGATGTGTGCATTCAACTCGAAGAGTTAAACTTTTCTTTTCATTCAGCAGTTTGGAAACACTTTTTTCATAGTATCTGTGAAGGGATATCTGGGAGTGCATTGAGGCCTATGGTGAAAAAAGAAATATCGTCAGATAAAAACTAGAACAAAGCTTTCTGAGAAACTGCTTTGGATGTGTGCATTCAACTCACAGAAGTAAACCTTTCTGTGGATGCAGCAGTTTGAAAACACTGTTTTTATCCATTCTGCAAATGGATATTTTGGAACTGATTGAGGCCAATGGAGAAAAAGTGAATATCACAGGATATAAACTAGAAGCAAGCTATCTGAGAAACTGCTTCTTGATGTATGCATTCATCTCAAAGAGTTTAACTTTTCTTTTCATTCAGCTGTTTGGAAACACTGTTTTCAAAGAATCTGTGAAGGGATATCTGGGGGCACATTTGGGCCTATGGTTAAAAAGGAAATATTGTCAGATAAAAACAATAAAGAAGCTTTCTAAGAAACTGCTTTGTGATATGTGCATTCATTTTACAGAGGTAAACCTTTCTTTGCATTCAGCAGTTTAGAAACACTGGTGTTTTAGAACCTGTGAATGGATATTTAGGAGCTTAATGAGGCCAATGGAGAAAAACGAATATCACAGAAAAAAAACTAGAACAAAGCGATAAGAGAAACCACTTTGTGATGTGTGCATTCATCCCTCAGAGTTAAATGTTTCTTTTCATTCAGCGTATTTTAAACACTCTTATTGTTGAATCTTCGAAGGGATAACTGGGACCACATTGAGGCCTATGGTGAAAAAGGAAATATCGTCAGATAAAAAGTAGATGGAAGCTATAGGAGAAATTGCTTTGTGGTGTGTGCATTCACTTCGCAGAGATAAACATTTCTTTTCATTCAGCACTGTGGAAATATTGTTTTGGTAGAATCCGTGAAGTTATATTTCAGAATGCATAGATGCCTAGGGTGAAAAAGGAAATACCTTCAGATAAAACTTACAGAGAAACTTTCTGAGAAACTGCTTTGTGATGTGTGCATGCATCTCACAGAGTTAAACCTTTCTTTTGATTCAGCAGATCAGAAACACTGTTTTTGCAGAATCTGTGAAGGGATATTTGGGAGCTCATTGAGGCCAATGGTGAAAAAGCCAATATCCCAGTATAAAAACTAGAGGGAAGTTATCTGAGAAGCCATTTTGTGATATGTGCATTCACCTCACAGAGTTAAAACATTCTTTTCATTCAACAATCAGGAAAAACTGTTTTGGCAGTATCCTCAAAGGGATAACTGGGAGCACATTAAGGACAATGGAGAAAAGGAAAATATCTTCTGGTAAAAACTAGAGAGAAGCTTTCTGTGAAACTGATTTGCGATGTGTGCATTCACCTGACACAGTTAAATCTTTCTCTGAATTCAGCAGTTTGCAAACACTGTTTTTGTCCATTCTGCAAATGGACATTTCGGAGCTCATTGAGGCCAATGGCGAACAAGCGTATATCCCATGATAAAAACTGGAAGGAAGCTATCTGAGAAGCCACTTTGTGATGTGTGCATTCACCTTGCAGAGATAAACCTTTCTTTTCATGCTGCAGTCTGAAAACACTGTTTTGGCAGAATTTGCACAGGGATATTTGGGAGCGCGTTGAGGCCTATGGTGAGAAAGGAAATATATTCAGATGAAAACTAGAAAGAAACATTCTGAGAAACTGCTTTGTGATGTGTGCATTCATATCACAGAGTTAAACCTTTCTTTGGGTTCATCAGTTTGGAAGCTGTTGTTTTAGAATCTGAGACAGGATATTTTTAGAGCACAGTGAAGTCAATGGCAAAAAAGCGAATATCCAAGGATAAAAAATAGAAGGAAACTGCCTGAGAAACTGCTTTGTGGTGTGTGTATTCATCTCTCAGAGTTAAATCTTTCTTTTTATTCAGCAGTTTGGAAGAAGCTTTGTTTGTAGAATCTGTGAATGGATATTTGGGAGTGCATAGAGGCCTATTCTGAAAAAGGAAATATCTTCCAATAAAAACTAAAAAGACACTTTTTGAGAAACTGTTTTGTGATGTGTGCATTTATCTCACAGAGTTAAACTTTTCTTTGGAATCAGCAATGTGGAAACACTGTTGTTTTAGAATCTCTGCAGGGATATTTGGGAGCTCATTGAGACCAATGGCAAAAAAGTGAATATTCCTGCATAAAAACTAGAAGGAAGCTACCTGAGAAACTGCTTTGTGATGTCTGCATTCATCTCACAGAGTTAATCCTTTCTTTTCACTCAACAGTTTGGAAACTCTGTCTTCATAGAATCTACAAAGGGCTATCTGGGAGCGAATTGGTGCCCATGGTGAAAAAGGAAATATCTTCAGATAAAAACTAGAAAGAAGCTTTCTGATAAATTG
This sequence comes from Homo sapiens, assembly GCF_000001405.40. NCBI lineage: Eukaryota > Metazoa > Chordata > Mammalia > Primates > Hominidae > Homo > Homo sapiens. Next base: position 62,796,919 of record NC_000007.14, read on the forward strand.
CTTTGTGTTCTGTGCATTCATCTCACAGACTTCAACCTTTCTGTGTATTCAGTAGTTAGTAAACACTGTTTTTGTCCATTCTGTGAATGGACATTTGGGAACTCTTTAAGGTCAATGGCCAAAAAAAGATTATCCCAGGATAAAAACTAGAAGGAAACTATTGGAGAAACCAGCTTGTGATGTGTGCATTCATCTCACAGAGTTAAACTTTTCTTTTCATTCAGCAGTTAAGAAAAACTGTTTTCATGGAATCTGCTAAGGGGTATCTGGGAGTGCATTGTGGCCTATGGTGAAAAAGGAAATATCTTCAGATATACAGTAGAAAGAAGCTTTCTGAGAAACTGTTTTCTGATGTGTGCATTCATCTCACAGAGGTAAACCTTTCTGCGGATTCAACAGTTTGCAAATACTGTTTTTATCCACTATGCAAATGGATGTTTTGAGCTAACCTGAGGCCAATGGCAAAATAGTTAATATCCCAGGATTAAAACTAGAAGGAATCTGTCTGAGAGACCACTTTGTGATGTGCACATACATCTAAAAGAGTTAAAACTTTCTTTTCATTTAACAGTTTGGAAACATGCTTTTGGTAGAATCCGCAAAGTTATAAGGGTGCATTGAGGTCTATGGTGAAAAAGGAAATATGTTCAGATAAAAAACAGGAAGAACTTTTCTGAGAAACGGTTTTGTGTTAATTGCATTCATCTCACAGAGATAAAACTTTCCGTGGATTCAGCAGTTTGCAAACACTTTTTTCTCCATTCTGCAAATGGACAGTTGGGAGCTCATTAAGGCCAACGTTAGAAAAGAGAATACCCCAGGATAAAAACTAGAAGGAAGCTGTTTGAGAAACTGCTTTGTGATGTATGCATTCATCTTGCAGAAGTTAACCATTCTTTTCAAACAGCAGTTTGGAAACACTGTTTTCGTAGAATCTGCAAAGAGCTATCTAGGAGTGCATTGAGGCCTATGGTGAAAAAGGAAATATCTTCAGATAAACATTAGAAAGAAGCTTTCTGAGACACTGCTTTGTGATGTGAGCATTCACCTCTCAGAGTTAAAACCTTCTTTTAATTCAGCAGTTCTGGAAACATTGTTTTGGCAGAATCCATGATGGGATATTTGGGAGCGCATTGAGGCCAACAGTGAAAAAAGACATATCTTCAGATAAAAACTAGAAAGAAGCTTCCTAAGCAACAGCTTTGTGTTGTGTGCATTCACCTCACAGAGTGAAAACTTTCTGTTCATACAGTAGTCTGGAAAACTGTTTTGGCAAAATCCTTGAAGGGATATAAAGGAGGGCATTGACACCTATGGTGAAAAAGGAAATATTTTCAGATAAAAACTAGAAAGAAGGTTTCTAAGAAACTGCTTTCTGTTGTGTGCATTCATCTCACAGAGTTAAAACTTTCTTTTCATTCAGCAGTTTGGAAACACTGTTGTGGAATCTGTGAAGGGATTTTGGAGCTAAATGAGTCCAAATGTAAAAAATGGAATATCCCAGGATAAAACCTTGAAGGAACTCATCTGATAAACTGCTTTTTGATGTGTCCATTCATCTCCCAGAGCAAAACATTCTTTTCATTCACCAGTTTGGAAACACTGTTTTTGTAGAATCTGTGAAGTTATATTTGGGAGCGCATACAGGCCTACTGTGAAACAGGAAATATCTTCAGATACAAACTAGAAAGAAGCTTTCTGAGAAAATGCTTTGTGATGTGTGCATTTATCTCACAGAGTTAAACCTTTCTGTGGATTCAGCAGTTTGCAAACACTGTTTTTGTCCATTCTGCAAATGGACATATTGCAACTAATTGAGGCTAATGGTGAAAAAGTTAATATCCCAGGGTAAAATCTGGAAGGCAGCTATCTGAGAAACTGCTTTGTGATGTTTGCATTCACCTTCCATAGATAAAATTTTCTTTTCATTCAGCTGTCTGGATACACTGTTTTTGCAGGATCCGTGAAGGGTTATTTGGGAGTGCATTGAGGCCTATGGTGAAAAAGGAAATATATTCAGATAAAAACTAGAAGGAGGTTTTCTGAGAAACTGCTTTTTGATGTGTGCATTTATCTTACAGAGTTAAACCTTTCTGTGGATTCAGCAGTTTGCAAACACTGTTGTTGTAGACCCTGTGAAGGGATATTTGTGAGCTTAATGAGGCCAAAGGTGACAAAGGGGATATCTGAGGAAAAAAACTAGAAGAAAGATATCTGAGAAACTGCTTTGTGATGGGTGCATTCACCACTCAGAGTTAAAAATTTCCTTTCATACAGCAGTCTGGAAACACTGTTTTGACAGAATCTGCAAAGGGATATTTGGGAGCACATTGAGGCCTATGTGAATAAGAAAATATTTTCACATGAGAACTAGAAAGAAGCTTTCTAAGAAACTACTTTGTGATGTGTGCATTCATCTCACAAAGTTAAACTTTTCTTTGGATTCAGCAGTTTGGAAACACTGTTGTTATTGAATCTATGAAGGGATATTTCAGAGCTTATTGAGGCCAAAGGAGAAAAAGCAAATATCCCTGGATAAAAACTAGAAGGAAGCTCTCTGAGAAACTGTCTTATGATGGGTGCATTCATCTCGCAGGATTAAACCTTTCTTTTCTTTCAGCAGTTTTTAAACTTTTTTTTTTTTTTAGAATCTGTGAAGGGATATCTGGGAGAATATTGAGGCCTATTGTGAAAAAGGAGATATCTTCAGATAAGAACCAGAAAGAAGCACTCTGAAAAGCTGCCTTGTGATGTATGCATTCATCTCACAGAGGTAAATCTTTCTGTGGATTCAGCAGTTTGCAAACTCTGTTTTTGTCCACTCTGTGATTGGACATTAGGGAGTGAAATGAGGCCAATGGCCAAAAAGTGAATAGCCCAGGATAAAAACAAGAAACAAGTTATCTGATGAACTGTTTTGTGACATATGCATTAACTCACAGAGATAAACCTTTCTTTTCATTCAGCTGTCTGGAATTATTCTTTTTGCAGAATTTGTGAAGGGATATTTGGGAGTGCATTGAGGCCTTTGGTGAAAAAGGAATTATCTTCAGATAAAAACTAGAAAGAAGCTATCTGAGAAACTGCTTTGTGATGTGTGAATTCATCCCAAAGAGTTAAAACTTTTTGTGGATTCATCAGTTTACAAACACTGTTTTTGTCCATTCTATGAGTGGACATTTGGGTGCTCACTGGGGCCAATGGCCAGAAAGGGAATATCCCAGGATAAAAAAAACACATGAAAAAGTGCTCACCATCACTGGCCATCAGAGAAATGCAAATCAAAACCACTATGAGATACCACCTCACACCAGTTAGAATGGCAATCATTAAAAAGTCAGACAACAACAGGTGCTGAAGAGGATGTGGAGAAATAGGAACACTTTTACACTGTTGGTGGGACTGTAAACTAGTTCAACCATTGTGGAAGTCAGTGTGGTGATTCCTCAGGGATCTAGAACTAGAAATACCATTTGATCCAGCCATCCCATTACTGGGTATATACCCAAACGACTATAAATCATGCTGCTATAAAGACACATGCACACGTATGTTTATTGCGGCATTATTCACAATAGCAAAGACTTGGAACCAACCCAAATGTCCAACAATGATAGACTGGATTAAGAAAATGTGACACATACACACCATGGAATACTATGCAGCCATAAAAAATGATGAGTTCATGTCCTTTGTAGGGACATGGATGAAATTGGAAATCATCATTCTCAGTAAACTATCACAAGAACAAAAAACCAAACACCGCATATTCTCACTCATAGGTGGGAATTGAACAATGAGAACACATGGACACAGGAAGGGGAACATCACACTCTGAGGACTGTTGTGGGGTGGGGGGAGGGGGGAAGGATAGCATTGGGAGATATACCTAATGCTAGATGACGAGTTAGTGGGTGCAGCACACCAGAATGGCACATGTATATGTATGTAACTAACCTGCACAATGTGCACATGTACCCTAACACTTAAAGTGTAATAATAAATAAATAAATAAATAAATAAATAAATAAATAAAAGTACAATGGAGCGATCTGAGAAACTGCCTTGTGATGTGTGCATTAACTTCACAGATTAAACTTTTATTTTCATATAGCAGTCTGGAGACACAGTTTTGGAAGAATCTGCAAAAGGATATTTGGGAGAACCTAGAGGCCTATGTTGAAAAAGGAAATATCTTCAGATAAAAACTAGAAAGAAGCTTTCTTGGAAAATGCTTTGTGATGTGTGCATTCATCTCAGAGAGTTAAACCATTCTGTGGATTCAGCAGTTTAGAAACACTGTTTTTTTAAGAAGCTGGGAAGGGATATTTGGGAGCTTAATGAGGTGAATGGCAAAAAAAGGATATCCCAGGGTAAAAACTAGAAGGGAGCTCTTTGAGCAACAGTTTTCTCATGTGTGCATTAATCTCACAGAGTTAAACCTTTCTTTCCTTTCAGCAATTTGGAAACACTCTTTTCATAGTATCTGCAAAATGATATCTTGGAGCGCATTGAGGTCTATGGTGAAAAAGGAAATATGTTCACTTAAAAACTAGAAAAAAGCTCCATGAGAAACTGCTCTGTGTTTTGAAAATTCATCTCACAGAGTTAAAACTTTCTGTGCATTCAGCAGTTTGTAAGCACTGTTTTTGTCTATCCTGTGAATGGACATATGGCAGCTCATTGGGTTCAATGGAGAAAAAGCGAATATCCCAGGATAATAACCAGAAGGAAGCTGTCTGAGAAACCGCTTTGTGATGTATGCATTCATCTCACAGAGTTAAACCTTTCTTTTCATTCAGCTGTTTGGAAACACTGGTTTCATATAATCTGCGAATGGATATCTGGGAGTGCATTGAAGTCTATGGTGAGAAAGGATATACCTTCAGATAAAAACTAGAAAGAAGCTTTCTGAAACACTGCTTTGTGGTGTGTGCATTCATCTCACAGAGTTAAACCCTCTTTGGATTCAGCAGTTTGCAAACACTGTTGTTGTCCATTCTGCCAATGGACACTTGGGAGCCATTTGTGGCCAATGGAAAAAAAGCAAATATCCCAGGATAAAAACTAGAAGGAAGCTATCTGAGAAACTGCTTTGTGATGTGTGCATTCATATCTCAGAGTTAAACCTTGCTTTTCATTCAGCAGTTTGGAAACACTGTTTTCATAGAATATGCAAAGGGATATCTGGGAGTGCATTGAGGCCTGTGGTGAAAAAGGAAATATCTTCAGATAAATCTAGAAAAAAGATTTCTGAGAAACTGACTTGATATATGTGCATTCACCTCGGAGAGTTTAGCTTTTCTGTGGACTCAGCCATTTGCAAACACTGTTTTTGTCCATTCTGCATATGGACATTTGGGAGTTCATAGAGGCCAATGGTGAAAAAGTGAATACCCCAGGATAAAAACTAGAAGGAAGCTATCTGAGAAACTGCCTTGTGATGTGTGCATTCATTTCACAGAGATAAAACTTTCTTTGGATTTAACACTTTGGAAACACTGTTGTTGGAGAATCGGGAGCTCATAGAGGCCAATGGTGAAAATGCAAACGTCACAGGTTAAAAACTAGAAGGAAGCTATTTCAGAAACTGATGTGTGTCGTGTAAATTCATCTCAAAGATGTAAATCTCCATTTCATTCCACAGTTTGGAAACATCATTTTTGTAGAATCTGCAAACAGTTATCTGTGAGCGAATTGAGGCCTACAATGAAAAAGGAAATATCTTCAGATAAAAACTAGAAAGAAGCTTTGTGAGAAACTGCTTTGAGATGTGTGCATTCATCTCACAGACTTAAATGTTTCTTTGGATTCAGTAGTATGGAAACACTGTTTTTGTCGAATCTTTGAAGATTTAGTTGGGAATTCATTGAGGCCAAAGTTGAAAAAGTGAATCTCTCAGGATAAAATCTAGAAGGAAGATATCTGAGAAAGCACTTGGTTATGTGTCTGTTCATCTTGCAGAGTTAAGCCATTCTTTTTATTCAGCAGTTTGGAAACACTGTTTTTGTAGATTCTGCAAAAGGACATTTGGGAATTCATTCAAGCCAAAGGCAAAAAAAATGAACAGCCTGAGACAAAAACTGAAAGAAGCTACAAGTGAAACCGCTTAGTTATGTGTTCATTCATCTCGCAGAGTTAAACCTTTATATTCATTCAGCAGTTTGGAAACACTGTTTCAGTAGTATCTGCGATGGGATATTTTGGAGCGCATTAAGGCCTATGGTGAAAAAGGAAATACCTTTAAATGAAAACTAGAAAAAAGCTTTTGAATGAAAAGAAAGGTTTCATGCCCTGAGATGAATGCACATGTCACAAAGCAGTTTCTCAGAAGCTTATTTCTAGTTTTCATCTCAAGATATTTCCTTTTTACCATAAGCCTCAATGTGCTCTCAAATAACCCTTTGCCATTTCTACAAAAACAGTGTTTCCAACTTGCAGAATGAAAATAAAGGTTTAATTGTGCAAGATGAATGCACACATCACAAAGCGGTTTTTCAGATAGCTTCCTTCTAGTTTTTATCCTGGGATACTCTCTTTTTCACCATTTTCCTCAATTAGCTGCCAAACGTCCATTCACAGAGTGGACAAAAACAGTGTTTCTAAAGTACTGAATACAAAGAAAGGTTTAACTCTGTGAGATGAAAGCACCTGTCACAAAGCAGTTTCTTAGAAAACTTCTTTTTAGTTTTTATCTGAATATATTTCCTTTTTCACCATAGGCCTCAATGTGCTCCTATATATACCTTTGCAGATTCTACCAAAACAGTGTTTCCAAACTACTGAATGAAAAGAAAGGTTTAGTACTGCGAGATGAATGCACACATCATGAAGCAGTTTCTCAGATAGCTTCCTTCTAGTTTTTCTCCTGGGATATTCACTATTTCACCATTGGCCTCAACAGGCTCCCAAATATCCTTGCACAGAATTGACAAAAACAGTGTTCCCATACTCTGGAATGAAAATAAATGTGTAACTCTGGGATATTAATGGACACATCATAAAGTGGATTCCCAGATAGCTTCCTTTTAGTTTTTATCCTGGGATATTTGCTTTTTCTCAAATGGCCTCAATGAGCTCCCAAATATTCTTCTGCAGATTCTACAATAGCAGTGTTTCCAAACTGCTGAATCCAAAGAAAGGTTTAACAATGTGAGATGAAAGCACACATCAAAAATCAGTTTCACAGAAAGCTTCTTTCTAGTTTTCAGCTGAAGATATTTCCTTTTTTACCATGAGCCTCAATGCACTCCGAAATATCCCTTCACAGATTCTACCAAAAGAGTGTTCCCAAACTGCTGAATGAAAGGAAGGTGCATCTCTTTGAGATGAATGCACACATCACAAAGGGGTTCCTCAGATAGCTTCCTTTAAGTTTTTATCCTGGCATAATTCCTTTTTTGCCTATGGCCTCAATAACCTCTCTAATACCCCTTCACAGATCCTACAAAAACAGTGTTTCCAAACTGCTGAATGAAAAGAAAAGTTTAATGCTGTGAGATGAATGCACACATCAAAAAGTGGTTTCTCAGATACATTCCTTCTCTTTTTTATCCTGGGAAATTTGCTTTTTCACCATTGGTTTCAATTAGCTGCCAAATGTCCATGTGTAGAGTGGACAAAAGCAGTGTTTCCAAAATGCTGAATCCAATGAAAGTTTTACTCTGTGAGATGAATGCACACATCGTAAAGCAGTCTGTCAGGAAGTTTCTTTCCAGTTTTTATCTGAAGATATTTCCTTTTTCACCCTAGGCCCCAAAACAATCCAAAATATCCCTTTGCAGATTCTACAAAAAACAGTGTTTCCAAACTGCTGAATGAAATGAAAGGTTTGACTCTGTGAGATGAATGCATACATCACAAAGCAGTTTCTCAGATAGCTTGTTTCTACTTTTTATCCTGGGGTTTTTGCTTTTGCACCTATGGCCTCAATGAGCTATCAAATATCTTTCTAGAGATCCTACAAAAACCGTGTTTCCATACTGCTGAATCCAAAGCAAGGTTTAACTCTGTGAGAAGAATGCACCCATCACAAAGCACTTTCTCAGAAAGCTTTTCTCTAGTTTTAATCTGGAGATATTTCCTTTTTCAACATAGTTCTCAATGTGCTCCCAAATATCACTTCACGGATTCTACCTAAGCAGTGTTTCCAATCTGCTGAATTAAATGAAAATTTTAACTCTGTGAGATGACTGCACATATCAAAAAGTGGTTTCTGATATCTTCCTTCTAGTTTTTACCCTGGGATATTCACTTTTTCGATTATGGCCTCAATGAGCTATCTAATATCCCTTTTCAGATTCTACAAAAACAGTGTTTCCAACCTGCTGAATCTAAAGAAAGGTTTACCTCTGTGAGATTAATGCACAGACCACAAGGCAGTTTCTTAGGTAACTTCTCTCTAGTTTTTATCTGAAGTTAGTTCCTTTTACGCCATAGACCTCAAAGCACACCAACATATTCCTTTGCAGATTCTACCAAAAGCGTTTTTCCAAACAGCTGAATGAAAAGAAAGTTTTAACTCTGCGAGATGAATGCACACATCACAAATCGTTTCCTCACACTACTTTCTTCCAGTTTTCTTCCTGGAATATTCACTTTTTCACCTTTGACCTCAATGAGATCCCAAATGTCCATTCACAGGAAGGAAAAAACAGTGTTTCAAAACTGCTGAATCCAAAGAAACGTTTAACTCTGTGAGATGAATGATCACATCCAAATTCATTTTCTCAGAAAGCTTCTTTTTAGTTTTCATCTGATGACATTTCCTTTTTCACCACAGGCCTCAATGCACTCCCCTATATCCCTTTACAGATTCTACCAAAACAGTTTACCAAACTGCTGAATGAAAAGAAAGGTTTAACTCTGTGAGATGAATGCAAATATCCCAATATTGTTTCACAGATGGCTTCATTCTAGTTTTTATCAAAAAATCTTTTTGCAGATTCTATAATAACAGTGTTTCAAAACTGCTGAATCCACAGAAAGTTTTAGCTCTGTGAGATGAATGCACATATCACAAAGCAGTTTCTCAAAAAGCTTCTTTATATTTTTTACCCAAAGATATTCCCTTTTTCATAGTAGCCCTCTAGGCACTCCCAAATATCCCTTTGCAGATTCTACCAAAACAGCGTTTCCAAACTGCTGAATGAAAGGAATTTTTAAATCTCTGAGATGAATGCGCACAGCACAAGGCAGTTTCTCAGATAGCTTCCTTCTAGTTTTTAACAAGGGATTTTCACTTTTTCCCCTGTGGTGTAAATGAGCTCCCAAATATCCCTTCAGAGATTGTACAACACCAAAGTTTCCAATCTGCAGAATTCAAAGAAAGGTTTAAATCTGTGAGATGAATGCACACACCACAAAGCAGTCTCTCAGAAAGTTTGTTTCTAGTTTTTATCTGAAGATATTTCATTTTTCACCATAGCCCTCAATGTGCTCCCAAATATACCTTAAAGATTCTACCAAAACAGTGTTTCCAAACTGCTGAATGAAAAAAAATTTTAACTCTTTGAGATTAATGCACACATCCCAAGGTGATTTCTCAGATAGATTCCTTCTAGTTTTTATCCAGGGATATTGGCTTTTTTCCCTGTGGCCTCAATGAACTTCCAAATATCCATTCACAGATTCTACAACAGTGTTTCCAAACTGCTGAATGAAAAGGAAGGTTCATCTCTTTGAGATGAATTTAGACATCATAAGGCAGTTTCTCAGATAGCATCCTTATAGTTTTTATACTGGGATAATAGCTTTTTCCTCCATGTTCTCAATGAGCTAGCAAATATCCCTTCACAGATTCTACCAAAACAGTGTTTCCAAAATCTTGAATGAAAAGAAAGGTTTAACTCTGCGATTTGGATGCACACATCACAGAGCAATTTTTCAGATAGCTTTCTTCTAGATTTCTGCTGGGATATTCTCTTTTTGGCCTTTGGCCTAAAAGAGCTCCCAAATGTCCATTTGTAGAATGGACAAAATCAGTGTTCCCAAACTGCTGAATCCACAGAAAGGTTTAATTCTGTGAGATGAATGCACACATCATAAAGCAGTTTTTCAGAAAGCTTCTATCTAGTTTTTATCTGAAGATATTTCCTTTTTCACCACAGTCCTCAATGAGCTCCCAAATATCCTTTTGTAAATTCTACCAATACAGTGTTCCCAAACTTTGGAATGAAAAGAAAGTTTTAACACTGTGAGTTGAAAGCACACAGCAGAAAGTGGTTTCTCAGGTAGATTTCTTGCAGTATTTTTCCATGGATATTGTCTTTTTCATTTTGGCCTCAATGAGCTCTGAAATGTCCACTCATAGAATGGACAAAAACAGTGTTTACAAACTGCTGAATCCAGAGAATCTTTAACACCATGAGATAAATGCATTAATCATAAAGCAGTTTCTCAGAAAGATTCTCTCTAATTTTTATCTGAAGATATTTCCCTTTTCACAATAGGCCTCAATTCAATCCCAAATATCACTTCTCAGATAGTAAAAAACAGTATTTTTAAACTGCTGTATGAAAAAACAGTTTTACCTCTGTGAGATGAATGCACACATCACAAAGCAGTTTCTCAAATAGCTTCCTTATAGTTATAATCCTGGGATGTTCACTTTTTTGCAATTGTTCTCAATTAGTTCCAAAATATCTGGTCACAGATACTACAAAAACAGTGTATAGGAACTACTGAATCCAAAGAAATTTTAACTCTGTGAGATGAATGGGCACATCACAAAGCAGTTTCTCAGAAAGCTTCTCTCTAGCTTTTGTCTGAAGATATTTCCTTTTTCACTGTAGGCCTCAAGGCATTCCCAAATATATCTTCTCAGATTCTACCAAAACAGTGTTTCCAAACTGCTGAATGAAAAGAAAGTTTTAACTCTATGACATGAATGTAGACCTCGTGAGGCGGTTTGTCAGATATCCTCCTTTTAGTTGTTGTTCTGGGATATTCGATTTTTCTCCTATGCCCTCAATGAGCTATCAAATATCACTTCACAGATGTGAAAAGCAGTGTTTCCAAATTGCTGAATCCAAACAAATGTTTAAATTTGTTAGCTGAATGCACACATCATGAAGCAGTTTCTCAGAAATCTTCTTTCTAGTTTTTATCTGAAGATATATTTTTTTTCACCATAGGCCTCAATGTGCTCCCAAATATCTCTTCACAGAATCTACCAAAACAGTGTTTCCAAACTGCTGAATGAAAACAAAGTTTTAACTCTCCGAGTTGAAAGCAACCATCACAAAGCTGTACATCAGAGAGCTTCCTTCTAGTTTTCATCATGGGATATTCACTTTTTTGCCCATGGCCTCAAGGAGTTCTCTAATATCCCTTCACAGATTCAACAAAAACAGTGTTTCCAAACTGCTGAATACAAAAATAGTTTACCTCTGTGAGATGAATGTGAACATCACAAAGCAGTTTCTCAGAATGCTTCTTTCTAGTTTTTATCTGAAGATATTTCTTTTTTCACCATAGTCCTCAATGCACTGCCAAATATCCCTTTACAGATTCTAACAAAACAGTGTATCCAAACTGCTGAATATAAAGAAAATTTTAACTCTGAAAATGAATGCACACATTACAAACTGGTTTCTCAGATAGCTCTCTTCTAGTTTTCATCTTGGGATATTCGCTTTTTCACCATTGGAATAAGGGAACTCCCAAAAGTCCATTCTCAGAATGGACAATAACAATGTTTCCAAACTGCTGAATCCAAAGAAAGGTTTAACTCTGTGAGGTGAATGCACACGTCCCAAAGAAGTTTCTCAGAAAGCTTCTTGCTAGTTTTCATCTGAAGTTAATTCCTTTTTATCCCTAGGCCTCAATGGGCTCCCAAATATCCCTTCACAGATGCTACCAAAACAGTGTTTCCAAACTGCTGAATGAAAAGGAAGTTTAACCAGTGCGAGTTTAATGCACACATCACAAGGTGGCTGCTCAGAAAGCTTTCTCTAGTTTTTATCCTGGGATATTTGCTTTTTCCCTTATGGCCTCATTGAGCTCCCAAATATCCCTTTGCAGATTCTACAACAGTGTTTCCATACAGCTGAATCCACAGCAAAGTTTAACTCTGTGAGATGAATGGACACATTACAAAGCAGTTTCTTAGAAAGCTTCTTTATACTTTTTATCTGAAGATATTTCCTTTTTCACCATAATCCTCAATGCACTCTGAGATATCCCTTGGCAGATTCTACAAAAACAGTGTTTCCACACTGCAGAATGAAAAGAAAGGTTTAACTTTGCCAGAGAAATGCACACATCACAAAGCGGCTTCTCAGATAGGTTTTTTCGAGTTTTTATACTGGGATATTCTCTTTTTTGCCATTGGCCTAAATGAGCTCAAAAAGTGTCCATTCACAGAAAGGACAAAAACAGTATTTCAAAGTTGCTGAATCCAAAGAAAGGTTTAACTTCATGATGTGAATGCACACATTGCAAAGCAGTTTCTCAGAAAGCTTCTTTCTGGTTTTTCCCCACATGCCACAAAGTGCTCCCAAATATCGCTTTGCAGATTCTGCCAAAACAGTGTTTCCAGACTGTTGAATGAAAAGAGAGGATTAACTCTGCAGGGTGAATGCACAAATCACAAAGTGGTTTCTCAGATAGCTTTCTTCTAGTTTTTATCCTGGGATACTCTCTTTTTCGTCTTTGGCCTCAATGAGCTCCCAAATGTCCATTCACAGAATGGACAAAAACGGTGTTGCTAACTGCAGAGTCAACAGAAAGTTTTAATTCTGTGATTTCACTGCACGCTTCAGAAAGTGGTTTCTCAGAAAGCTTCTTTCTAGTTTTCATATGAACATATTCCCTTTTTCACCATAGGCCTCAGTGCGCTCCCAGATTTCCCTTTGCAGATTCTATGAATACAGTGTTTCCAAACCGCTG